>NC_000015.10:30852631-31155661 GCF_000001405.40 Homo sapiens | reverse complement strand
TATATAAGTACACATGTAAAGTCACAACATCTGTAAAACAGAATTGTGGGTCTTCACTTGTCTGTTATATCAGTCTTGTCTATGATTTTGAAATTTAATTTTGAATTAAATGTTTTCACAATTTAAACATGTTTTGATACTTCGCAAGCGAGCCACAGGAAGAGTGAGGGTGAAGCTGAGGAGCACAGCCTCAACGGTTTGTGCCTGCCTAAGGCACAAACAGGTGATAGAGTGGAGCTAAGAAGAACTTCTGCAAACTCCCCTTGGTTATCTGAGCTTCCTTGTCTAACCATGTGTGGTTGGAGCTGCAGGCAGGAGCCTCCTTCACCAAGCTCCCCCACTGCAGTCTCCCACTCTTCAGAGCAACTGAGTAGCAGGCACGCCCCCGGCTCAGGGGACAGCAGCTCTCACCTCTCCCTGGGCCCGAAGCACTAGGACCACGCTTGGCTCCCTTTGAGGCTACAGCACCTCCATTTCCCAGAGAGTGTTGCTGGAACCCAGGGAAGTTTCATGTACGCTCACATAGGCTGTGTTTGGAATCTGCTTGGATGCAGAATTCCACATGGAAATTTGTAACCACCCAAGGGGTTCACCTTGCCTGCTGCTTAAACAGAGCCAATTCATGGAGACAGGGGAATTGCAAAGAGAAAGAATAATTCACACGGATTATTACTCAAATCAATCTCCCTGAGCATTCGGGGAGCAGAGCTTTTATGGATAACTTGGTGGGTGGGGGGAAGCCAGTGAGCCAGGAGTACTGATTGGTCAAGGATGAAATCACAGGGAGTCAGACCTGTCATCCTGTTTTCAGTCAGTTCCTGGGTGGGGGTCACAAGATCAGATGAGCCAGTGTATTGATCTGGGTGGTACCAGCAGATCCATCAAGTGCAGGTTCTGCAAAATATCTCAAGCACTGCTCTTAGGAGCAGTTTAGGGAGGGTCAGAATCTTGTAGCCTCCAGCTGCCTGACTCCTAAACCGTAATTTCTAATCTTGTGGCTAATGTTAGTCCTACAAAGGCAGTCTAGTCCCCCGGCAAGAAGGAGGTCGGCTTTGGGAAAGGGCTGTTATAGTCTTTGTTTAAACTATAAATTATAAACTAAGTTTATCCGAAAGTTAGTTCAGCCTGCGCCCAGGAATGATCAAGGACAGCTTAGAGGTTAGAAGCAAGATGGAGTTGATTAAGTTAGATCTCTTTCACTGTCTTAGTCATAATTTTGCAAAGGCAGTTTCAGATTCAAAACAATTCCTGTCTCACAGAAGGAGGAGACCCAGAAAACCTCCTCTGTTCCCCAGTCCTCATCAGAGGCCTTGAATGTAACACACCCCATGCCACCCTCACCCATCTCTCTATGGCTTCACATCATACAAAGAATAAAACCCAAAATCTGTCTGTGACAAAGGGCTCATTGCTGTCTTGCTAAATTTTTCAATCCATTGAAGACCTGTACTTTCATACAAGGCAATAAAAATGAATTGCCAAAAAATGAAATTTTAAAATGACATGCAAAATCCAAGCCCTAAGTTTTCTTTAATTGTTAAATTCCGTAGACAGACATTGATTCTTTCAAACTGCTAAAATTAGGTCTAAATGTAGGCTGTCGTTTCTGAACCCTCTGGGTATGGCCAGTAGCCAACAGTTTGCAGCCCATGCTTGGAACACACTTTGAGTACTGGGGTCCAAGAGACTCCACACATCCCATTCAATCCTCTCCCCAGTCCTGGGAAGCAGGACTCTGGTCCTCTCTCCAGCTGAGAAAGAATCTCAACGGTGGAAGCCTTGTCCAAGGGACCTTGTGAACCAAAAAGTATCTGAGACAAGTCTCAATCAGTTTGAGACTTGTCGATGTTTTCAATAACATGCCCGTGACACAGGCTCAGGAGCTCCTGACAACATGTGGCTCACACTGTTGTTGGCTCAGCCTGGAAAAGCAGAAAATCTTGAAGGGCGGGGAGGGGAGGCTTCCAGATGATAAGTGGATTCACAGATTTTCTGACTGGCGATTGGTTGAAAGAGTTCATCTAAAGACCTGGAATCTGGCCAGACACGGTGGCTCACACCTGTAGTCCCAGAACTTTGGGAGGCTGAGGTGGGTGGATTGCCTGAGGTTAGGATTTCGAGACAGCCTGGCCAACATGGTGAAACCCTGTCTCTACTAAAAATGCAAAAATTAGCTAGGCATGGTGGCAGGTTCCTGTAATCCCCACTACTCAAGAGGGTGAGACAAGAGAATTGCTTGAACCTGGGAGGCGGAGGTTGCAGTGAGCCAAGATCACACCACTGTACTACAGCCTAGGCGGCAAAGTGAGACTCCATCTAAAAAATAAAGACCTGAAATCCATAGAAAGGAGTGTCTGGGTTAAAATAAGAGTTGGGAGACCAAGGTTCTTATTATGCAGATGAAGCCTCCAGGTGGACAGCTTCAGAGAGAATAGATTGTAAATGTTTCTTATCAGACATAAAAAGGTGCCAGACTCTTAGTTAATTCTTTCCTGTATCAGGGAAAAGACCTGGAAAGGGAAAGGGATTCTCTACAGAATGTAGATTTTCCCCACAACAGACAGCTGTAAAGGACCATTCCAAAATATGTCAAAGAAATATATTTTAGGGTAAAATACTTTGAGTTCTTTCAGGGCCTGCTATCTGTCATGATGCTATACTAGAGTCAGCCTGGAATTTAGTGTCTTATTGCTACAAAGGCCTTGAGATCTCTGTTTTAGGCTGGGTGCAGTGGCTCATGCCTGTAATCCCAACACTTTAGGAGGCTGAGGCAAGAGGATCACTTGAGCCTAGGAGTTCAAGACCAGCCTGGGCAACATAGTGAGACCCTGTCTCTACAAGAAAATTTTAAAATTACCAGATGTGGTGGTGTGTGCCTGTGGTCCCAGCTACTTGGGAGGCTGAGGTGGGAGGATCACTTAATCTTGGTAGGTCAAGGCTGCAGCGAGCCATGATCGCACCACAACACTGTAGTCTGGGTAACAGAGCCAGACCCTGTCTCACACACACGTAGTCTCTGTTTTAATGTCAATGCTGGTCAGTTGTGCCTAAATTCCAAAAGAAGGAGGGTATGCTGAGGCATGTCCAAATCCCCTGCTTCCCGTCATGGCCTGAACTAGTTTTTCAGGTTAACTTTGGAATGTCCTTGGCTGAAAGGAGGGGTCCATTCAGATGGTTGGGGGTGCTTAGAATTTTGTTTTTAGTTCACAGCCTCAGTCAGGGGTCCACTTTGTCCAAGGCCCTGCAGTGGGCCACTTCCACAGGAGCATCTTCCAGGGCAGCAGTGCCCAGGGCTGCTGAAGACACCTTTTGAACCCAGTCCTGGGAGAACTCCTGAAGCGGAGACATGCCTGATTCACCAGCCTCCAAGCTGGGCAGGTGGTCCCACATCTGTGCCCATAGAGGGTTGGGGGGCACTTCAGACCCAGGCACTAATCCATGCCCATGCCTGAGCAGAGTTCTGCAGGCAACTGCCCTTGAGGGATGGGGCCCAGGGCCTGAGTGATGGGTTCAAGGACCCTTGAGTTGGGGTAGGGTGTGCTATAGAGGACCCCAAGCTTGAGAGCAGGCCAGCTGGCCAGTAAGTACTCCATTCAGCCATGTGACAGCAGGTCTTCCTAGGGACAACATGTCCAGCCCCCTCTCTAGAGCTTGCTGGAGTCACCGCCACCTACCAGGGAGGTCCAAGTCCAGTACCTCGTTCTCTTGGATTCCTTGTTCTTCTGTATCCTCTACTTTTAGCGGGATGGCAAAAAGGGCACTTGCCTGGTTCCTGCACACTGAGGGGCAAAGGCCTCAGCCAAGGCCAGGAGGTGGGAGGACAGGGAATGGGCCAGGACCAGGGTCATTTGCCAAATGGACATTGATCCCTGGAGAGCCAGAGAAGACAGTGTGAGGGAGATGTGAGGTCAGAGGTGAGGGAGACAGTCCCAGCAGGGCTGGAGGAGGATGTGGGACAGGGAGGGAACCAGTGATGTCTAAGAAGGTGTACGGAGTTTATGGTACACTGGGTCCAGCCAGGGCCAAGAAGCACCACTGGGCTGGATGGGGCTGGCAGCTGCCCCACACCAAACCCTGGCCAGAGCACCCCATGCCCACTGAATTGCCAGCACAGCCTGGAGACCTTCTGTAGGGTAGCTGCTCAGCAAGGGGGCCTGTGCCAAGGAGCTGTGTGGCCCTGGGCAGGCCACCCTCCAGGCTATGAGAGACAAGGGGATACCCTTGGCAGGAGTGGGTGCTGGGCAGAAGGCAGCCCTGTGAACTCCAGGGAGGACTCTGGCCAGGAGGGTATAAAACACTTGGCCGCTTTGTTTAGTTGGCCTGAGAGTGAGGGAGAGGGGTCTTAGACTTGAGTAAAAATCTCCGACCAGTTGGGAGTGACGGTAAACAACTGAGGTATTACCCTGCTTCAACCCTCACCAGAGTGTTAGAGTCTTGCCAATGCACCACAATGTCGCAGTCTCTCATTGTGAGGTATCGCCTGGAGTTTTTTGTCTCAGGATCAACAGGATTAAGGAGCCTGACATAAAGGGTGAGGTTGGAGGGAAAGTTTAACAAGCAAAAGAAGAAAGCTCTCAGCCACAGAGAGGGGGCCGAATGGGTTGCTGTTTTTGCAGTTGAATGCAAACGCTTTTACAAGAAACCAATGTGGGCTGGGCATCTTATTTGCATAGGGTGTGAATTTCGGGTAGCTTCACCCTGTCCTCCTAATGCGCATGTGGACTCTTGGCTTGAGATACTCCATATTGCTTTGTTCCCCTTACTGCGCATGTGTCAGGGGATGAAATTTTCCATGGCAGGCATGTCTGGGCAAGTCACCTGTGTAGACTTTCTTACCTGTGTAGCTGTGGGCATGTCTTAGGCAACTCCCCTGTGCAAGTTCCCATATCTGTGCCTGCTGGCTGTTCTTTTGTTCGAAAGTATTCAACCGCCAAGTGCAGTGGCTCATGCCTATAATCCCAGCACTTTGGGAGGCTGAGGCGGGTGGATCACGAGGTCAGGAGTTTGAGACCAGCCCGGCCAACATGGTGAAACCCCATCTCTGCTAAAAATACAAAAATTTTCTGGGCGTGGTGCGCATGCCTATAATCCCACCTACTTGGGAGGCTGAAGCCGAAGAATCACTTGAATCCGGGAGGCAGAGATTGCAGTGAGCTGAGATCGCACTACTGCACGCCAGCCTGGGTGACAGAGCAAGACTCCATCTCAAAAAAAAAAAAAAAAAAAAAGGAAAAGAAAAAATTCAACTGAGGAGCCACCCTAACTGCCTGCCTGACCAGTTTCTTCTTTTCTCCTCTTAAGGGGTCCCTCTATAGCCTAACACCAAATGCACCTGGGAACGCCAGCCTGAGGGCATGCCCAGCTCCAAACCAAAGGGATCACAGAGTCCTCCGTTAGAGATCCACAATGCACATCAGCAAACTAAAGGCTCTGATAAGTCCTGCAGGAAAGAAACCTCCTTTTAACCCAGAGTCACCTATAGAAGAAACCCTTTCCATGCAAAATACATCACCATTTCAGGAGCCCAGGCTAGGCTGAGGACACTTAAGAACACTTAGGGCTGCGGGCAACACAAGATTAGGAGTTAGCTCCTAAGGATGAAATGGAGAATGGGCTTTACCCCTTACTTCCTGCACAGCTAGAGGATGGGCTCCTCCTTCTGCCGCCCAGGCCTGGGGATGCAGCAAGCACAGGATATTTAAGAAAGAAAGACAGAAAAGAAAAGAATTTGCTGCCCAAAGTCACTACCAAATCGTCAATGCTCGCCAACAGAATATCTTCAAGTTTCAGAATTGAAGAAATTGGCAGAATGTCAAGATGGAAGAGGGATTTTAAAGATGCACGGCCTGGCGCCGTGGCTCACGCCTGTAATCCCAGCACTTTGGGAGGCCAAGGCGGGCGGATCACAAGGTCAGGAGATCGAGACCATCCTGGCTAACACGGTGAAACCCCGTCTCTACTAAAAATACAAAAAATTAGCCAGGCGCGGTGGCGGGTGCTTGTAGTCCCAGCTACTCGGGAGGCTGAGGCAGGAGAATGGCGTGAACCCGGGAGGCGGAGCTTGCAGTGAGCCAAGATCGCGCCACTGCAGTCCAGCCTGGGCGAAAGACTCCGTCTCAAAAAAAAAAAAAAAAAGAGAGAGAGAGATGCACATGACGAGCTATAGCAGCCATGCACCCCAAGGACCCAGGCAGCTCCCAGTTTATCCTCAAAGGCTCAGGGGGCCAGCCTTTGGTTCCTATGCATGCTGCATTAAACAGAGCCCTTTGTAGTTGCTGAAATACTTGAAAAACTTGGTTTCTTAAGCACGGCCAGAGAACACACACACCCGCCCCCCTCAGCTAAGCCAGGATGTTGTTTTCTTGCAGCAGTAGCTACCGGTGGCTCCTCAGAGACCAGGGTAAACTCTCAGGGGTCCTGAAAGCCACCTTCTCCTGCCTGCCCCCACCCTAAAGCCAATAGAGTCTCCCTCTGGCCATTCACGGATTTTGCTTCTTGCCTGGCCTCCCCAGCCCTCAGTTCCCTTCCACGTAGATCTGGGACATTGGCTATTAGGCTACTTGAGTGTTTTCCACTTTAGAAAGGTTGGTCACGGCATCTCACATGAACCAGCCACTCTCAGACCTGCGAGGTCACTCTTCCACTCTTCCACTGCAGCTTGGAGGGACACGGGTGGGTTGCACTCTTGCCGTGTGTGCTGTGCAGGGCATCTGCAGGTTGCCCAGGACTGCGGGGAGGGGAGGAGGAGACCTGGTGCCCACCCTGGCTGCCTGGCTCCCAGCATGCCTAGGGAACCATCAGACCACCCAGCTGTCTAACAGACGGCAGAACTGAGGCTACCCTGGGGTGGTGTCTGTGTGCTGGCAAAAATCAGCCAGCCACCTCCTTCTCCCCACAGGTTTCTGTGCAGATTACACACATTTGCTAGGGGGTAAGGTGACTAGCATCCCTTACAGCACCAAGGCCAGGAGAGTTCTTATCTGCACAGATGACAGGCTGCTGAAATAGACAGGTGCATGCCACTCACTAGCTGCTTTTCTGTCTCTTCATTCTTCGTGGTGAGGCATGGGAGTTTTTGATGAAGAGTTTACCTTTCCTCCTTTCACGGAACAAAGCCACTCCTCCACTGAGGGAGGCCTTGAAGCTCCATTGAAATTCACATCATCATAGAGGAGAATTCTTTGCTAGTGCATAATGTTGACAGTTGGACTTTGATTTACATAATCAGGATGGAGCGTTCTCTCCTACACAACGCAGGGTGCAGCTGCGCCCGAGCCAGGCCACCAGAAGGCTCCCAGCCCCCAACCCCCTTTGGAGCTGGAGGGTGTGAGCGCAACCTCATTGCACACCCCCAGCTCATTAACACATTTCCCAAGATCAAGGAGCCGGGTCCTGCTGTCCTCGCACCTACCATTCAGATCCATTTCATTTGAGAATCTTTGACTCAGAAAAGTTGTCTCTTGGTTTTGTCCCTTTGTTAGACCCTTGGGGTCAGCCTGGACTGCCCCATTCCCCACAAGGACACATTGTTATGGAAATCTTGGGGAAGGCTGAGAACACAGTAGACAAACTGCACAATCTCTGTGCCTCCCTGTTGTCCCTCCTTGACCTCTCTCTTCGCAGCCTCTGCTGACATTTTTTGTTTTGTTTTTTTGTTTGTTTTGTTTTGTATTTTAATTGGTCCCAGCAATGCCACAGGCACACCAGCCCCAGGCGAGATTTCAGTACTCAGCAGATCAGAAGCCGTAAACCGAAGCCACCATGATTGGCAGGCTGTTCAGCAGCCGCCCACCTCCCTGGGGACCTGGACCCCTGGCCCCCTTTAAAGCAGCTCCATCCCCAGGGTTATCTCAGCTACTAAGAAAAGTTATAGGTTTTTTTCCACATCAGTCTATTTGTGTCCTTGGAAATGCTCCCCCAAATGAACACAGGTAAATGTCTAGAGAAGACGCAAGTTACCCCGAGTGGTACCATCCAGCTGCACTTTGCCATACACAGGCCTCGCTCGCACCTCGATTCCCCGCCTGGGGACTGCAGGAGCAGCTAATCTGAGAGCAATCGGGAGTGATGAACAAGAGCCACTGGGAATCCTTAGTCCAAACCCCAGTTCAGATGTGTAGCCACAGGACAGCTGCTCCACCTCTCTGGGCCTGAGTTTCCATATCTGTGAAGTGTGATGACGTTGCACTTGCCTCTTCACTAGAAAATTCTTTGCTTTCTACATATTTCATGCCATTAAAGAAATACCCTTGTAAAAAGTCACAGATTTAATTTAATTTTAGAACCCCGACTGAAAAGTGAGCACAATCTTATTATCAGCTAGTAAAATGTTTATGGAAATTCAGAACGGTTCTTTGTTATTTTTCTCTGCAAGCCCACTGAGGTGCTTTAATAAAGATAAACGTGTGCGCATAGCACAGTTGTGTGCCAGGCAGTGTTCTTGGAGCTGGGGATCCAGTGATGACTGTGAAAAGACCAAATGACAACGAATCTAGTTTAAAGGCCTCAACTGGCTTTATTTGCAATTCTAGAATCAGGCAATACTTTATTCCATAAAAAAAGATAAGTTAATTCCAATGAGCTGAGCAAAGGAGATTGGCTTCATAGGCAGAAAAAGGGCTGAAGAAAACAGAAACAAGGAACAAACATTGAATTGGTCATTTTTTTTTTTTTTGAGACAGAATTTCGCTTTTGTTACCCAGCTGGAGTGCAATAACATGATCTCAGCTCACTGCAACCTCTGCCTCCTGGGTTCAAGCGATTCTCCTGCCTCAGTCTCCCAAGTAGCTGGGATTACAGGCATGTGCTACCACGCCCAGCTAATTTTTTGTATTTTTAGTAGAGATGGGGTTTCTGCATGTTGGTCAGGCTGGTCTCGAACTCCTGACCTCAGGTGATTAGCCTGCCTCTGCCTCCCAAAGTGCTGGGAATACAGGCGTGAGCCACCGCACCCGGCCTTGAATTGGTCATTTCAAAGTTACTTTCCTTGTAATGCAGGGACCGGGAGACTAAAAAATAGAAAACTCATGGATTGGTTAATATCAGGTTATTTCAAGTTAAGGATTAAAGCAAGGGGAACTTCATTATCATGCTGACTGAAGACTGAAATTGGCGTGTTTGGTAAATTAGGCTGTTATCTCTCTTTCCTGATTTCCCAGAAGGCCAGGTAACAACTTAGTTTCCATTTGGTGATGTGGAACTTTAACATGGGTGACTCCATTTTGATTTCTAGTCTGGTCTGTTGGGGCCTAGAGCAGGAACTTAGTCCAAGAGCAATGGCCTCTTTTAATTTTTATTTAATAATTCCCCCCTTTTGTCAGGCTGTCACCTAGGTGAGAGAGTGACCAGAACTATTAGCACTCCTCTCAGTTTCTGTGTTTCCAGTCTCAGCGTGTCACTCACAGGTTATGGTATCCTCATGATAATGCATTTCTTTGAGTTTTTGTCATTCCAGCTGAAAAGGGATCATTTGACATTTGGTGGATGGCTGCGTGCAAACATTTAAAACTTTTTTGAGAGGATACAGTGCACCAAGGAGACTACTATTGTGACGATAAGGAGTTTAATACTGAGTATGGAGTATGCTCCTTAGCCAGGGTCCTCATAAACCAAGTGTGTCCTACCTGTGGCCCAGGACAGCTTTGAATGAGGCCCACATTCAAAGCCTGGGCCAAATCAAAATCGTAAACTTTCTTAAAACATTATGAGATGTTTTTTGCGTTTTTGTTTTTGTTTTTTTTTTGTATCTGCTATCGTTAGCATTAGTGTATTTTACATGTGGTGCAAGACAATTCTTCTTCTTCCAATGTGGCCCAGGTAAGCCAAAAGACTAGACAACCCTATAACCAAACCAACTAAAATCAAATAGATCAAAAAATGAGCCTGTGAGTCCTCTACACATTTTGAGTGGCTGTGTATTGATTTTTTGCAGCCGTGTCTCTACGCTACCTGATGTATTCATCTATGTACAACGAGAAATGTCAGCAACTGCACAGCTTCCTCCCTGTTCCGTTGTTACATAGCAATTCTAACATCTAGCTTCCCAGGAGTAGGTTAAATTAAAAAAGAGAGTGCTACCTCTGGAAAAGAGACCACAAATACAATTTGAAAAAACAGTTGTGTTACGGATGTTGCTGAAGTTACCCACTAGGTGGACTAGAGGATTTGTTAGGTCCTGTAACTATTTAGGTTTGATATGACAGGTTCAACATTCCATCCAGTTACCCACAGAAGATACGGATTGTGAAATTCTAACTGCAGCATTATCCTGCCAAGTGAAAGAGGCAGGCATAAGTAAAAAAAAATTAAAAGGGGTAAGAGTCATTATGACATGGAGTCTTCTTCTGCCATCTTGGAGAAGGCTGTCCACAGCTTTAAGTCAGCATCTTGTTGTCCTGGCTTCCAGTTTGAACGTCTCTGACTGTGGCATTGCACGTTCTAGGGAACTCTGTGTGGCTCACACATCAAGGGCATGAGACGTTCCCTTGAGATTTATATCAAGTTGTCCAGCTTCACCTTATAGGACTTCAGAAACAGAGCAGTTTTTGGTTTTAGTCGGAGAGTTGTAAGATATTGGAGAAAATTAGAAGAAGTTAGAATCTAGTCCAGTCTACAGACAGATAATAAAAACTCAAAAACAAGGCCGGGGCTGGGTGCGGTGGCTCACGCCTGTAATCTCAGCACTTTGGGAGGCTGAGGCAGGCAGATTACCTGAGGTCGGGAGCTCGAGATCAGCCTGACCAACATGAAGAAACCCCATCTCTCCTAAAAATACAAAAATTAGCCCGGTGTGGTGGAAGTCACCTGTAATCCCAGCTCCTCGGGAGGCTGAGGCAGGAGAATTGCTTGAACCCAGGAGGCGGAGGTTGCAGTGAGCCGAGATCATGCCACTGCACTCCAGCCTGGGCAACAAGAGCGAAACTATGTCTCAAAAAAAAAAAAAAAAAAAATCTCAAAAACAATGAAAAGGGCCACAGTTTTATAATAGGTGTATTATAGCTTTCTTCTAAAATGTGATTTTTGTCTTATAGTCACCCCCATTTATACCAAAGATCAACAGAGTAAAACTAATTTGTTTGCAAAATAAATTTAGTCTCATTGACCTTATTTACATAATTAATTATATAATTGCAGCAAGAGTAACCACATAGGCTCCTTTTAAATTTGCATTGTTGCATATTTTGACAAAGAATCTCAGATTGGACTTTTATTTGTTCATTTATTTTGAGACAGAGTCTTGCTGTCTCACCCATGCTGAAGTACAATGGTGCGGTCATGGCTCATTGCAGCCTTGACCTCCCCAGCTCAAGTGATCCTCCCACCTTAGCCTCCCAAATAACTGGGACTACAGGCATGTGCCACCACACTGGCTAATTTTTGTATTTTTTTTGTAGAGACGGGTTTTGCCATGTTGCCCAGGCTGGTCTTGAACTGGGTTCAAGTGATTGGCTCATCTCGGCCTCCCAGAGTGCTGGGATTACAGGTGTGAACCACTGTACCTGGCCTCAGATGGGACTTTGAAAAACCTGGATACTAGGAAGCAGAACCAAGGCAGACATCAGACTTTGCCTGCAGTGTCCAATATATTGAGATTCCTGCACCTGCGATGACTTTTTACTCACTGTAAGGCTCGGAACTCTTGAAGCCTAACATTCCATACGTATTCTCAAATATGACATTCCAGTCAAAGCCTTGGTAGTATAACCAATGTTTCTAATTGTATCCTGTTATAAAGAGAGCAAATTATTATTGAAGTTATGCAAATAACCATATTACCATAAAAATAAGAATACTCACAAATAGCTTCTGAATTTAGGAAGTATCAGGTAAGAAGGAAAAGCAAACGTTCTAATTTTTGTTTACAAAAGTATGCTTCACAAAATTGCTGTAAGCTATAGATAGCTTAAAAGGGAAAAAAAAAAAACTTACTTTCCTTAAAACTGGAAGACAGGCTGGGCACAATGACTCATGCCTGTAATCCCAGCATTTTGGGAGGCCGAGGTGGGTGGATCACTTGAGGTCAGGAGTACAAGACCAGCCTGGCCAAGATGGTGAAACCCCATCTCTACTAAAAATACAAAAATTAGCCAGGTTTGGTGACACGTCTGCAGTCCTAGCTACTCAGGAGGCGGAGGTAGGAGAATCGCTTGGAGGCAGAGGTTACAGTGAGCCAAGATAGCACCACTGCACTCCAGCACCACTCTACTCCAGCGTGGGCAGCAGAGGGAGACTTTGTCTCAAAAAAACAAAACAAAACAAAACACAACAAAACAAAACTGGAAAACAAAACATTAAATGAACCAACAATGCTTCAAATTAAAAAGCTGTAAAAACTCGTAATTCTTCTTCATCAGTTCATTCAGCTTCATGTAATTAATTCTTGCTCTGTTTGATCTCAGCAGTTTCACAAACCCATCAGTTTCTTCAGTTGAACTTTAGACTTTCTTACTCAGTCCAATAGTATCTCAAAGTTATCGGAAGCCTATACTTGTTAGACTTCTTTCCATTCTTTCTATAAACCTCCTTGAAGACACAATACTTTAGAATTATAGTTGCCTGCAAAAAGCTTTCAGAAAGGCATCAGAATAAAGCAATTAACTGCAGACAACCAGACTTAAGGTGGCAATGGTTAAAAGCCTTTGAGAGTCCATTATAGAAAGGATGCAATTGACAGGAAAATTTGGTTATTTCTGCAAAGTACAACATTTTAACATAATAACTGACATTATGACTTGATAACACATCAGATTTCTAGAAATCTCATACAATTGTGGCACACCTTAGTAATGTATACAAATATAACTCAAAGAAAATTTAACACCATTTCTTATTTGACAATGTTTTCCACATAATTTAACATATCAAATAAGTCTAATTGGTTTAATATTTCTCTTTTGAACTTCCAGGGGCCCTTCTGGAGTGTCCAAAAGTTAGTTTGAGGTCAAAAATTAATTTTGAATTTGATTTTGGGAAGTTTGTCAAAAATAAAAGTTCAAAAGACTTGATCAAAAATAAGATTACAAGTCACTGTGAAATAATAGTCATTCATTTAGCCAGAGTGATAATTAAAAGACTTCAAAAGAAAATACAGGAAGTAACATAATTGTCAAAAACCTCAACTCTTTAATAGAGATGAGTGTCTGTTTTCCTAAGTAATCAATGACCTAATAAAGAAAACATGAAACATAGGAAATTATTTTGATTAAACAGAATCATTGTTTTCTAGGCCAATTACCTACAAGATCTCACAATAATTTACTAAGAGCAGATGAATACTTTAAAACAAAAACCTTGTTGTTTTAACACAATAAATCAAATTTCAGTTTTGCATCAGTGTACTTTTTTGATATTAAACATTAATTTTTAGAAAAACCTATACAAAGGTAAGGTTTGTTATGTAAACTTCAAGCCAATGTCTTCCCCATTGTAAAAGTTCCTAATGATTTAGATGCAGAGAGGGAGACACCCTTAAAAATAGAATTTCTTTTACAAAGAATTTCAAAAAAAGACAGCTAAGTGCCAAGAAATTGTGTTTTGGAAATCATTTAGTTGATACATACTCTTTTCTACTTTTTAAAAATTTTCATTTATTTATTGATTTGTAGATCAAGATGAAGTCCCACTAAATTGCCTGGGCTGGTCTTGAACCCCTGGGCTCAAGAGATCCTCCTGCCTCAGACTCCCAGAGTGCTGGGATTACAAGTGTGAGCCACTCTACCCAGTCTGGTCTTTTCAACTTAACCTGTTTCTTAATTAGACAACTGGCTTCAGGGCACTGGCCTTGAATAAATAGGGCAAAGAAGGTATTTTCTATTCCTGGATTCATTAATAGAACTCAATTTGATATCCCTCACAACCAATTTTAACCAACTTGATCACACACAAAATTTCTTTCATAAGATTTTACTTCCACAAATCTTCTACAACTTGCTTAAACCTTGTTGTCCTAAATTTCTTTCTTCATATTACAATAACCAATCATTCTACCTAAAGACAAAAATATACTTTTTTCCCCTGTCATTATGACCACACAAAATTCTCTCTCATACAAAAAAAATTACTTTCTCTTTTCAACATTTTTCTATCAAAAATACACACTTATATTTATAGATTTTTTTGCACCACTTTCTCCTACTTACTGGTTTCTGTCTGCCTTGCTTCTATTTTCTTCCTTAGTCCATATTTTGAGACATCTTCTAAATAACCTCCAAGTTAGATGAAATTAGTCTTTTCTTTAACAAAGGTATATCCTCATGTCCTTCTACAATTTTCTCACCAAAAACACATCTTACTTTTTTAATACACTTTGTGTACAGAATTACCTATATTAATTAAAAATTTTAATATGTAATAATCTTAATTTCTAGTGAAAGCCTAGGAAATAAATTTTGAACTGTCACATACTAACATTTTATAAACATGCATGTTATAATTTATAAAAATATGTGATTCCTCATAGAACAATTTTTTATGTTTACTAACAGACCCAAACATATTTAGCTTCACCATACCATATAAAAACAAGATTAGAGGCCAGGTATGGTGGCTCATGCCTGTAATCCCAGCACTTTGGGAGGCTGAGGGGGGCGGATCGCTTGAGGCTAGGAGTTCCAGGCTAGCCCGGCCAACATGGTGAAACCCCGTCTCTACTAAAAATACAAAAAAAAAAAAAAATTAGCTGGATGCAGTGGTACGCACCTGTTATCCAAGCTACTTGGCAAGCTGAGGCAGGAGAATCACTTGAACCCAGGAGTTGGAGGTTGCAGTGAGCTGAGATGGCACCACCACACTCCAGCCTGGGCAACAGAGCAAGACTCTGTCTCAAAAAACAAACAAACAAACAAACAAAGATTATAAAATGTCTTATTCTGTTTAGTGTTGCTATAAAGGAATATATGAGGCTGAGTAATTTATAAAGAAAAGAGGTTTGTTTGGTGCACAGTTCTGCAGACTGTATGAAAAGCATAATGCCAGCATCTGCTTCTGGTGAGGGCTTCAGCCTGCTTCCATTCATGGAGGAAGGTAAAGGTTATCCAGTATGTGCAGATCACATGGAAGAGAAGAAGCAAGAAGGATGGAGAAGGTACCAGACTCTTTCTAACAACCAACTCGTGAGGGAACTCTCACAGGAGCTAATTAAGCAAGAACTCACTCATTACCACTGGGGCGGGGGAAAGGCATTCATGAGGGGTCCCACCCCAGACCCAAACACCTCCCATTAGGCCCCACTTCCAACACTGATAATCACATTTCTTTTCTTTTCTATTATTTAATTTTTTTTTTTTAGACGGATTCTCTCTCTGTCGCCCAGGCTGCAGTGCAGTGGCACGATCTCGGCTCACTGCAAGCTCCGCCTCCTGGGTTCAAGTGATTCTCATGCCTCAGCCTCCCAAGTAGCTGGGTCTACAGGCTCCTGCCACCATGCCCGGCTAATTTTTTTTTTTTTTTTTGTATTTTTAGTAGAGACAGAGTTTCACCATATTGGTCAGGCTGGTCTCAAACTCCTGTCCTCAGGTGATCCACCCACCACGGCCTCCCAGAGTGCTAGGATTACAGGCATGAGCCACCGTGCCCAGCCAAGAATCAAATTTCAACATGAGGTTTAGAGGGCCAAATATCCAAACTGTAGCACAAAGCATATATACTTTAAACTTATGTTCAGCAATTAATGTTTCAGTGTTTTAACTTAGAAATGCCTTAAACGTTTCGTGAATATCTATTAATCATAACATGACTTTAAGATTAAGTTACTGAAAAAGATTTTAAAATTATGAGAATGCTATTTATATATTTGTATCCCATTTACATCCACATAATTTACTCATTCTTAACAATTATGCTTACATTGCTGGTTACACAAAGTTAGCCATCATCTCAATGATTTTCCTGCTAACCATTTTACAGCACGCAAGTGATAGACAGTTGCCACCTAAGCAAGAATGCTAAAGTTCAATACATTAGTATTTTGCTGATCAGAAGACACAGCTGTTTTTATTAAACCAACAATATTAAACTAGTCTTACTTACCAAAGATTTACCCAAGTCACACGAACAAAAAGGCATTGAGGTTAGTTTCTTTTTTCTGATAAAATATTTAAGTGCTAACTTTTTCTTTAAGCCAATTCATTATGACTCTTTCTTATATTTTGGTAGAGACACATCACATATACATAACACATATAGACATACAGACACACAGACAGAGGCAGATCTTATAGTTTTAATAAGATTATTCATTTGTAGGTTTTCAAATAGTTTCTCTCCCCTGTTTAGACTATTAATGTCCTGATTACCTGTTCTATTGGCCTAAACAGTTGTTATCTAGGCAACACCAAATTTGTACATCCAAAGGCAGGACTCTTAAAAAGGTAGAAAAGAGTGGAAAGAGGTAGAAAATTTACATGTCAAAGGCACAGAACCTACATCTCTAATTTCTAAAAATCTGAGTACTGTGCCTTCTGATATGCCTGCCTTTTTCATGGGACAAGAGTTATGGCCCCAGAAGCTGCAAATATTCTCAAAAGTGGCAAAGTCTTACTAAAGATAATTCAGAATGACAATGGCTGTTATATGGAATGTTCCAGGTGAACACAAAACTGGTTATGTAAGAAGTGCACTTGAGTCTCAAGTGCCATTTGCCATTATTTGCCAAGACAAAAAAGGTCATAGGTAAAGGCCTAGTTCAGGCAAAATGGCCAGCCAAAGCACCTTATACAAAGGTAAGTCATTTTTTTTTTAAATGTAAACTTCAAGCCAATTTATTCCCCATTGTAAAAGTTCCTAATTATTTACATATAGAAAGGGAAGCGCCCTTAAAAATAGATTTTCTTCATAGATATAAATTTCTTTTACAAAGAATTTTTTTTAAAAGTCAGCTAAGTGCCAAGAAGTTGTGTTTTGGAAATCATTTAGTTGATACATAGTCTTTTCTTTTTTAAATTTTCATTTATTTATTTATTTAGTTGTAAATAGAGATGAGGTCCCACTATGTCACCCAGGCTGCTCTTGAACTTCTGGGCTCAAGTGATCCTCCTGCCTCGGACTCCCAAAGTGCTGGGATTACAGGTGTGAGCCACTACACTCAGCCTGGTCTTTTCAACTCAAAAAACCTGTTTGTTAATTAGACAACTGACTTCGCGACACAGCCCTTGAATAAATAGGGCAAAGAAGGCATTTTCTATTCCTGGGCTCATTCCTAGAACTCAATTTGATATCCCTCACAATTGAATTTTTCTTTTTTATTCCAAGAGAGAGGTTGTCCCGTAAGAGTGGGGTTTAAAGTAGAAATAGGGGCTCTGGTGTCTACTCAGACTGGATAACTGGAGGAAGCTTATCAGAGCTTCCCTTGGAGGCCCATCAGTCTTGGTGGTTAATACGAAGATTGTCAGAGGGCTGGCAGGCTCTTTTTATGAGCTTCCCTCAAAATCTTTGTGAGGGCGGCCCCCTTTCCAGTGCCCTGGTTGTTTGCACCAATGACAACAATTTTCTGGAAACCATTGTTTCAGGGACCCAAAGGCCACCCTAGGTTGTTGGTTGCCATGGAGCTGAGGCTCTTCAAGAATGGCTTTCAATGGTCATTTTTCAGGCTTTGCTTGGCCCATAAGTTAGGGCTTGTGAGGTAATATCATTCTGCCTCTTTCTTCCATGTTTGGGCTTCCCCAGTTCCCACACACATGCGGGTTAGTTGGTAGAGATCAGATAACCCAGGGTCACAAGTTCTAGTTGAGATCCCAAATTCTTCAGAAAACTTCCGTAGGTTTTTTCTAGGTTTAGGAAAATTTTAAACTATGGCTCTGAGCTCTATTTTTATCCAGGGAATATAAGTCACTTGAGTATTATTTCCTGGAGTTTGGGGTGGTTTTCTCTTATAAGAAAACTGCTTAACTGTTTTCTTCTGAGAATATAGGCAATTCCGACAGAAAGTTAATAGATTGTGAATATTTAGGCAAAATAGGATAGAGAGGAGCAGTAGGGGTCATGTCAGTTTTACTGTCCTTGGTATGGGTGATGCCTTGCACTTTTAGCTTTTTATTAGCTCTTCACAGTGAATTTTTTAAAAAGCAATTTTAGAATCTTGTTGTCTCTTTGAGACTTCTGAATGCCTGTTAGAATAATAATCCCATTCTCCCTGCCTAATTCAAGGGGCTTGAGACTCAAGTGCACTTCTTAGATAACCAGTTTTGTGTTCACCTGGAACATTCCATATAACAGCCATTGTCATTCTGAATTATCTTTAGTAAGACTTTGCCACTTTTAAGAATATCTGCAGCTTCTGGGGCCATAATTCTTGTCCATGAAAAAGGCAGGCATATCAGAAGGCAGAGTACTAAGATCTTTAGAAATTAGAGATCCCATGTTTATGTTGGCTCTTGGGTATCTCAGAGCCACGATGACTTTTGCTCTGAGACCTCACCATTGAGAAGAGAAGAAATAAAGAGGATCCCTCCAGTAATAACCACTTACTGCCACTGTTATCAGTTACCTTAGAAATGACAGTTTTGTTGCCACAGTGACTCCTCAGTCACTGCAAACCGAAAGGTGGTGTGCCCTGCCACAGCACAAATTAACCTTGGTACTCCAAATGCCAAAAATATCAGAGAGCACTAATGCAAAAGAGAGCAGAACTTCTCAGGACTCCATGAGGAAGACAGGGACCTCCCCAAAAGGTAGAGCGAGCAGGGCCTTCCCTGTGCTCCTGCAGGGGTCTCAGGGTTGTCAGATCTCTCTCTTTCAGGTTCCTTCCTTGGTTGCCAGATCTGTCAAAAGAAGAAATTACAGCAAACTTAGTTTAAATACCTCAGTTGGCTTTATTTGCAATTCTAGAATTGGGCAATACTTTATTCCATAAAAAAGAATTAGTGTTCCAATGAGCTGAGCAGAGGAGGTTGGCTTTATAGGCAAAAAAAAAAAAAAGGGTGGGGGCGGCTGAGGAAAGCAGAAACAAACAGCAAAAAGCAGATTGGTCTTTTCAAAGTGACTTTCCTTATGAGACAAGGACAGGGAGATGGAACTTCGTTCGGGTTAAGGATTAAAACAGAGGGAACTTTATTATCATGCTGATTGAAGACTGAAGGTGGCCCATTTGGTGAATTAGGGCCTTGGCCCCCACAATGGCAACATTGTCTGTTTCAGTAGCAGCCTAACCCAATCTGTGATGATGGCAGATCAGTTACCTCGTAGAGGGTGGGAACTGGATTTACCACACATGGCATTCCATGTGCTTGAAAGAGATGCTTGTTTGAACAATAAAGTGCTACAAATGCCTTCCGATTATAAATGGTGCTGTGACATCCACCTTGTGGTGGAAGACAAGAGTCCCCATGCTCAAACAGCAAGCACGGCAGGGGCTGGTGTGGGAGAGACAGGCACATGGAAACACAGAGCTAATGTCTCCGCCTCCAGACACCTCCTGCTGCCTTGGTGACCCCATGGAGCCTGGATCCGATGCTCTCCCCATTCCTACCACCCATCCAGAGGAGGCGCTGCAACCTCCTCCCACCCCCTCCTCCCACTCTCCCAGAGATAAGAAGGAGATGGCCAACATGACCATGGCCACGCCTTCCTCGGAGTTCTACACACACAGACCAAAACGCCTATACACGTTCAGGGATTTGTTGACAGATTTGTTTTTACTGAACTAAAATTACACAATTCTCATCACTATGCAACTTTATTACTGCTCCACTTACTTTTTCAAGGGTGTCTTTGTCCATTTTGTATTACTGTAAAGGAATACCTGAGGCTGGGTAATTTATAAAGAAATCTCACAGTTCTGCAGGCTGTATAGGAAGCATGGAGCCAGCGTCTGCTTCCTGTGAGGGCTTCAGGCTGCCTCCACTCATGGTGGAAGAGGAAGAGGAGCCGGTGTGTGCAGAGATCATGTGGCGAGAGAGGAAGTAAAGGAGAGAGGTGCCAGGCTCTTCTTCACAATACGCTGTTGTAGAAACCAACAGAGTGAGAGTTCACTCATTACTGCAAGGATGACGGCACCAAGATACTCCTGAGGGACCTGCCCCCATGACGCAAACACCTCCCACTAGGCCCCACCTCCAACACTGGAGATAAAATTACAGCATGAGATTTGGAGGGGAAAATAGCCACACTATAGCAATGGGTATCCCTACAAACTTAGTAGATTTAGATCTAATTCTATCTTGCATTTCTAATTATTTCATCCATATGCATGTACTTGGGTAGGATGGATCATTCTCTTTTTTTAATTTAAAAATTTTATTTATTTTTAATTTTTTTAATTGACAAGTAAAAATTGTATGCATTTATCATGTTCAACATGATGATGTTTAGAAATATTTTAATAAGGTGTTTATTTTATTTGGCCTTCTCCTTTCTTCCTAGGAAGCCCATATTGGCTATGGTGGTGTGTAACCTTCCATAATTCTCTGCTTGAGTGCACATGTAGTAATGTGTATGGATACAGAATGTGTGCACATATCTAGGGTTTTCGTCAGTGTTTACTTCTAAAGATGGCATCATAGGGAAGGAAAAATAATTTTCTCCTTCACCCTTCATGAGTTCTTACCGGGACTTCTTGTAACAAAAGACAGATAACAAGAGAAACAAACAAAAGTTTAATCATATGTATCCTTCCTGTATATATGGGGGATAACCAGGGAGTTGAGCCAATCTCTTTTTTTTTTCCTTTTGAGATGGAGTTTCACTCTTGTTGCCCAGGCTGGAGTACGATCTTGGCTCACTGCAACCTCCGCTGCCTCCCAGATTCAAGTGATTCTCCTGCCTCAGCCTCCCAAGTAGCTGGGATTACAGGCATGGGCCACCACACCCAGCTAATTTTTTGTATTTTTAGTAGAGATGGGGTTTCTCCATGTTGGTCAGGCTGGTCTCAAACTCCCGACCACAGGTGATCTGCCCACCTTGGCCTCCCAAAGTGCTGGGATTACAGGTATGAGCCACCTTGCCCAGCCGAGTCAGTCTCTTTAGTAGATCTCAAAGAGTGGTCTTAGACTTCAGGTTTAAATACCAACTTTTTCTGAAACCAAGAAGGATGGGTGTGGGGAAAGACTTGGTTAAAATGAGATGGCCCAGGAAAATCACTGGAAAACCAGAGGTTAGGTTTGTTACACAGATTGAAGTTGGTGCCTTCTGCCTTGACTGAGTCTCTGGTGATTTAGTCACTCTTCTTTTCCTGGTGCAGAGAGGCAGACACCTTTACAAATGGAGATTTCCTTTATAGATTTAAATTTCCCTTGCAAAAGGGTAACTTCTATGGTGTTTTTCAAAGCTTTCCCTGTGCCTGCAGTTTCTTGAAATAGCCAGCTCAAAATAAACCTTATGCCAAAGAGGCATATGTGGGATGGCATGTTCTGGTCTCCTATAGTCATATTTTGGGTTGGCATGTCCTGAACCCCATTAGCATCATAACTAATATGCTTCTCTGCATTTTAGAACATAGATGATTAAGATTCTTAGAAGCAGTCCAATCCCTTCATTTGAGGAAACTGAAATCCAGAAAGGGGTGACCTGCTGAACTTGGCTAAGCCCAGCCCAACCTGAGCCTGTCCCATTCCCCTTCCTTCTCAACACTCCAGCCACACGGGCCTCCGGCGGCTTCCATCCACCCGTCCAGAGAGGGGGCCTTTGCATGGACTGCCAGGGCATCCTCTTCCCAGAGGGCCGCTTACTTGCTCAATTACTTGGGTCACCTCTGTCTTAAAGAGCTACTCCCATGGACTTCCCTTCCCTTTTTCTCCCCTCCCAGCCCTTATCACTGCCCTATATGATTATCTACTTGTTTATGCATCCCCAGGCCCACTTGAGGAAAAGCTCCAGAGGGCAGGCTCTGTCTCTATGTCCTAGCCCCACAAATACTTTCCATCTGCCATCTCGAGAGCCAAGGGGATCTTGTCTGGAGAAGCTCTAGGCTGGATGGGGCCTCTCCATTGTCTATTGTGTCCTTTTCCTTCAGTTTCCCACCCCCTCCCAATTTTTTTTTTGTTTTGTTTTTGAGACAGTCTCGCTCTGTCACCTAGGCTGGAGTGTCGTGGTACAATCTTGGCTCACTGTAACCTCCGCCTCCCAGGTTCAAGCACTTCTCCTGCCTCAGCCTTCTGACTAGCTGGGACTACAGCCATGTGCCATGGGCTAATTTTTTGTAGAGACGGGGTTTCACCATGTTGGCCAAGCTGGTCTTGAACTCCTGACCTCAAGTGATCTGCCTGCCTTACCCTCCCAAAGTGTTGACTACAGGTGTGCACCATTGGCTAATTTTTTTTACTTTTGGTAGAGACGGAGTTTCACCATGTGGATCATGCTGTTCTCCAACTCCTGACCTCAAGTGATCCACCTACCTCAGCCTCCCAAAGTACTGGGACTACAGGAACACACCACTGGCTAATTTTTTGTATTTTTAGTAGAGACAGGTTTTTGCCACTTTGGCCAGGCTGGGTCTTGAACTCCTGACCTCAAGTGATCCGCCCACCTCAGCCTCCCAAAGTGCTAGGATTACAGGTGTGAGCCACCACGCTCGGCCACTGCAGTTTCCTTATTGCAGCCTGACTCCCAGGGTCAGTGTCTCTAAATTCCTCAGGGGTCACAGAGACTGTCTGAAGAGGATTCATGACAAAATGAGTGAAATGCATCTGCAATCCAGTTTTACTGTATTAGTCTGTTCTCACGCTGCTAATAAAGACATCCCTGAGACTAGGTAATTTTAAAAAGAAAGACATTTAATGGACTTACATTTCCACATGGCTGGGGAGGCCTCATAATCATGGCAGAAGGCGAAGGAGAAGCAAAGCTGTCTTACATAGCAGCAGGCAAGAGAGAGTGCAGGGGAACTGCCCTTTATAAAACCATCAGGTCTCGTGAGATGTATTCACTACCACGGGAACAGCGCAGGAAAAACCCGCCCACATGATTCAATTACCTCCCACTGGGTTCCTCCCATGACACATGGGGATTATGGGAGCTACAATTTAAGATGAGATTTGGGTGGGGACACAGCTGAACCATATCACTGGCGCCCTGTCGGGAACTAGTGATGCTCAAAGTAAAGATGCCAGAGGTCTTCACCCAGAAGGAGAGTCCAGAACCCACCACAGTGTGGCTTCCTTTCCTTGTGTCTTACATGCCCTCACGTCCTCTGAAGCAAATATACTTTTTCATATGCGTTATCACAGCGACAAACAAAAGAGACATCAGGCAGTGGTAATCGGAGCCCTGATTTCACTGGGTAGCCAGTGGCTACTCTGTTGCAGGACTAGGGCTCCTTGGGTAGTAACTGAAAGAAATAGATTATGTCCAGCCATGTGTGGACTGCAGCTGGGGCTGGAGCCCTGAATCAGGAGCCGAGCACTTGAGCTTTCAGGGTGCAGGGCCTGTGGGAAACGGGCCATGGACCTCCTCGGGGGGATGGAGGCCCCTCAGTCGGGAGGTGCAAGAAAGAGGAGCTGCTTTTGGGGTCACAGAGGGGCCAGGGGAGGCAGAGCTTGTGCCCAACCTTGGGGTCAACCCGGCTGCCAATAGGCCCATGCAAACCCAAGACAGTGGGCCATCAGGAAGGCACTGTGGAGGGGTAATCCGCGTAATGGCCCAGAACACGGCGTAACAGCTGGCTGTGGCTAATGCTCCTCAATATCTGCTTTTATGTGATTAATGGCTGTGGATAAAACCTTGATCCCAGGAAAGCAGGCCCAGCGGCTAAGCCTAGCCAAGAGCACCACTTTGGTTATGCTGGGAGCCCGAGTCATTTTGGCGATTTTCATTTTAACCAAGCTGTCATTTTAGTATGTGAGGAAAAAAAATAAAAGTGGTAGGAACTACACTCACAGAGAGCCCAGAGAGGGGGCAGCAGGGGGGTGGGGGCGAGCCTGGTGCTGGAAGTGTGAAAACAGCTGGGGGCCCAAGTGCCCTGACTCCCCTGGCCACCCACTCACTGCTTCCACCCACTCTCACTTCCCTTGGGTTCACACTATCTCCCCGGACCCCTCTCTGACCCCTCCAGTCTAACCAGTGATCAGAGAATGTTTCTGCCACTACAGCAGTCCCCCCTTCATCCACAGGGGATGCCTGAAAGGGTAGCTGGTACTGAACCTGATGGCTGTCAATCAGAACACATCGCTGTCCATGTCTTCCACCCACAAATGTAATGCCTTTTCCATCTTAACTAAGCTCTTATCGCACATGGTGGCCGAAACTTTGGCAGTTTGAAGTGCGACAGCAAAACTTGCACACATTTTTTTTTCCTTCTTCATAATTTCACACATAGAAGATTCGTTCTTACTGTAGATCTTAGCAAACTAAGCATATGCTTTTTTCCCTTCAGTTGAGGACTTTCACCTTTTCACTGAAAGGAAGCACTGCGCTCGTCTCTTTGGCATATCTGAATTGCCAGCATCACTACTTTTGCGCGTTGGGGCTGTGATTAAGTAGCACAAGGCTGACCTGAACACAAGCACTGTGCTGCCGCAACAGTCGCTCTAAGTGGCTGATGGTTGGTGTAAACAACACAGATAGGCTGGATGAAGGGAGGATTCATGCCCAAGACAGGGCAGAGTAGCATGCAATTTAAAACCTATGAATTGTCCGTTTCTGGAGTTTTCTATTTGACCCTGGATAACACCCCAGAAAGTGAAACTGCAGATAAGAAGGACTACTGATTTGCACATCTTTTTTCTGTGCCTGTTTGTAACCGTTGCCCAACGGATTCTCCTTGCCCTCTGCCTAGACAGAGCCAATTTATCAAGACAGGGGAATTGCAATGGAGAGAGTTTAATTCACGCAGAGCTGGCCGTACGGGAGATGGGAGTTTTATTATTACTCAAATCAGTCTCCCTGAACATTCGGAGACTAGGGTCTTTTAAGGATAATTTGGCAGGTAGCGGGCCCGGGAGTGCGGAGCATTGATTGGTTGGACTGGAGATGAAATCATAGAGGGGCAAAGCTGTCCTCCCACACTGCAGTTCCTGGGTGGGGGCCACAAGACCAGATGAACCTGATTACCACCAGTCTGGGTGGCATCAGCTGGTGCATCAGAATGCAGGGTCTACAAAATATCTCAAGCACTCATCTTAGGTTTTACAACAGTGGTGTTATTTCCAGAAGCAATTTGAGGAGGTTTGGAATCTTGCAGCCTCTGGCTTCATGACTCCTGAACCTTATTTCTAATCTTGTAGCTAATTTGTTAGTCCTACGAAGGCAGATTGGTCCCTAGGGAAGAAGAGGATTTGTTTTCGAAAAGGGCTGTTATCATCTTTGTTTCAAAGTTAAACTATAAACTAAGTTCCTCCCAAAGTTAGTTCAGCCTACACCCAGGAATGAACAAGGACAGTTTGGAGGTTAGAAGCAAGATGGAGTCGGTTAGGTCAGGTCTCTTTCACTGTCATCACTTCCTCAGTTACAAATTTTGCAAAGGTGGTTTTATGATCTCTTTTGCTTCTCATTTTGACCCTGTAAATAGCAGGGTGGGGTGCACAAAGGTCAGATGCCAGGTAAGACACTGGGCAGGTCCTGGAGGTCCCAATGCACCCGGCATTAACCCTTCAGTTGCTGGGCCATGAAGATGTGTCCAGGAGTTTCAGGGGAGCCACACCACCCAGGCAGCTCTGAGCAGTGGCTACTTCCCGATCTGTATGGAACACCCTGATGTCTTTGTCCTGGAAGAGCATCCCTGCTGAAGACCAGCCCTGCCCAGGACATGGAGGAAGTGGATGCTTTGGTTCCAAATCACAGATGGGAAAACTAAGGCTCAGAGAGCATGTGGAGTCTGCAGAATGTCCCTGACAGAGTCAGCCACTGGTTGAATTTCACATATTCTCTCTTCTCTGCCAAGGTGGCCTACCGGAACCCATGGCCATTGGTCCACAGTGGGCTTTCACTCACTGTCCAGTGTTCTGTAATACCTGGGCAAGGAGGGAACCACACACGGGTGTCAGATGCCCCCAAAGTGACCACAGACAGCTGACACGAACATCTGGGCTATGTTTAGCATATACTACGGTTGTATGCCAGGATTCTCCGTAATACACACAGCCTTTACTCCTTTCTATCCCTCTGCTCCCATTTATAAGACCATTCTAAGCAATGGTATTATGTTGAACCACTTAAAATGGCCATCTTTGTAGGTCAAAATAGTCAGATAGCAGCAATTTCATGTATTTTTCAGAAAGTTGACAAACTACAGCTGAGTATCAGGTCGGCACTGGAGGCGGCCAGGTGGGGGCAGCAGAGAGCTGAGTGGGCAGAAACCGGGGCTCATAGGCGGTGAGGTTCTGTCAACGGAGCTGCAAGAGAAGTAACCCTGCAGGGTCCCACCAAATGACCCAAAGTGGAAAGGGCCAGGCGGCCCGGGTCCCTTACTGGACAGATCTGCGCAGTAAGCACAAGTCAGCACTGTTGCTGTGGCACTGGCACCATCAGTACTTGACCTAGGATCACCTGCCATGTCTAGTCCTGCCAACCTTCAAGACCGAGCTTCCAGGACAAGGGACCTGCCCAGCTCCAGCTCCTCCTGACCACAGTCCACAGTGGAGAAATGACACAGCACTTGTCCAAAAACAGCGCTACACGAAGCTCCAAAGGCTGATCCACATGCCATTCTCTGTGACTGAGCCTTTGACTCGTGAGCCTCCAGCAGGCTTCCTTTCCCCTCCTGCAAGCTCCCGAGGAGGCTGCCACCGGAATGGCATGTGGCCATCAGCACTGGCTGGAAGCGCAGATGATGCACTCTCAACCAGTGCAGTGATGCAGCCACCTCTGACTGGAAGCCGGAGCGGGGGGGCTTTCATCTGAATTAGCTACAAAATTTGCTGAGTTCTATGCAAAATAAAAATGCTGGCCCTCTGTTCAAAAATTGTAAAGAATTTCAAGATGGCAACAGCAAAGTATAAAACCAAATGCAGGTTTCTGATGGCAGGGCCCCATGAGCCTGCACAGGTCGCCCACCCAAGGGGCCAGCCCTGGCATTTGTCTTGAGTGGAGAGCCTGTCTGGAGTGGTATGGGGTGTGTTGGGGCTGCCTCTGCATGTCTGCCTATGCCCGTCAGTGATGCGGTGGCTTCATGGCTCTGGAAGCAGAGAATCCCTGGCACATCCCCATCCAGCACCGTCTCCCCCAGTTGTGAGCAGGAAGGGGGTTGTGGCACCTGAAATAAGAATGCAAAGAGCTCCCGAGGCTTGGGGGTGGTGTTGGGCACCCTCCTGGCGATATGGGGTGTGCACCTGTGCAGCCGGCCAGGTGACCAGCATCCCTTATGGTTCATGAGTCAGGAGCAGGGCTCAGAGAGAAGAATTCAGAACAAAGACAGACGATGCAGCCCACAAGCGAAAGAGACGGGCAGGCTAGAAAATGTGGGAGGGGTCAGAGCTCCACGGCAGCCGGTGGGCACAGCCCAGGACAGGGGGATGGCGTTCTCACCCCACAGTCATTAACTATTGAACATTGATTGATAGTGATTGTTGAATACTGTAAATATTGCTCCTGGGTGCCAGTGGGTTGGTTGCCCCCAGAGACAGTCACCAATCCTGAGCTCATGGGAATAGGGGAGCCCTTACCCTGTGTGCTGTGGTTAACGCACTGGTCAGCAGAGCGGGGAGGGGAGGCACAGGTCAAAGTCTGCAGATAATAAAGATCCAGTCCAGATAATAAAGATCTGGTTTCAGCCCTGGCTCTGCCTTGGACCAGCTCTGCTATGTCAGCCAAGTTACCACCTCTCTGAGTCGAGGGAAAGAATGCCAGCGCTTTCTCCTGGACTCCAGGCACAGACCCCACGAGCTACAGGGACCTCCACTTCCAGGCCCCTTGGCATCGCTTTAACACTTAAACCCCACTGGTTCGCGTCCTTGTTTCTCATCCTCTGGGAGCCGAGCGCCTGCCTCATTTCTGGGGCTCCCTGGCTGCCCTCGTTTCACAGTCACTGCTGGTTCCTGTGAGATCTAGATGCTCACCCTCCACCCCTTCCACCCAGCGCCTCTTGAAGCTCTGGTAGCTCTGCCTTCTCGCCACCCTGTCCCACCCAAGTATGGAACTGAGCTCTTTGTGACTCCACAAAACAAGACTTAGCTGAGGAAGCTGTGTGAGGTCAAGTTGTAGTGAAGGTTTGAGAACGACAGTGGAACCCAAACGGAATGTTAGCCTCACCACCTCCCTGTCCTGGGCTGCCCTCAGCTGCCACAGGGCCACCTTCCCACTTTCACCACATTTTTCTCTTGTGGAATTTTGAATTCTCTTGTGTTATTTGGCTTTGTTTTGAATTCCCCTGTCTGAGCCTTTCTCCTCAGAATTCTGCCTTCTGCGGAAACTCAGCGGTTAAGATGCTTTTCTGGTAAACTAAAGGCCACCTGCCCCTGGGGACTGGTAGGCCTTTGGCCACTCTGAATTGCACCCAGATGGCAGCTACCCACAAGAGGCCCCAAGTAGCAGAGAATGAGAAACATACACAAACTGACTGGGCATCCTTGGAGATGCCACGAGATAAGCTTTGCAATGGCCTCTTCTCCACAGTCAAGGTCAGGAATCACCTAGAAACCCAGAAGGAATGAGAAATCTCAAGACTTCAGCCTGGGGCCTTCACAAACCAGCTTCATGGGGTAAATTGCTTAACACCTTGATTTCTCCAGCTGAGAAATGGGGATACTAGCACCCTTTCCATTAACTTCTACAGTTATGAATATCATAAGGCAAATGCATTTCTGTTTGTTTGTTTGTTTGTTTGTTTGTTTTGAGACAGGATCTCACTCTGTCGTCTAGGCCGGAATGCAGTGGCACGATCTCAGCTCACTGCAACCTCCACCTCCCGGGTTCAAGCGATTCTTGTGCCTCAGCCTCCTGAGTAGCTAGAATTGCAGGCGTTCGCCACCACACCTGGCTAACTCTTGTATTTCCTTTAGTAGAGACGGGGTTTCACCATGTTGGCCAGGCTGGTCTCGAACTCCTAACTTCAAGTGATCTGTCTGCCTTGGCCTCCCAAAGTGCTGGGATTACAGGCTTGAGCCACTGCGCCTGGCCGGCAAATGCATTTCTAAAGTGCTTTGAAAAGCAAGCCATTTCTCAAATGCCTAATAAAAAAAATCTTCTGGCAACTCACCCAGCCTACACTGCCAGCATCAGCTCCATCCTCCCAGCTTCTGGCCACCACCTCCTAGGACACTGGACCCACTCTAAGAGACCATAGGTACTTCTAACCCTGCCAAGGATGGGAGAGTTGTGAAAGGAAGAGGAGTGGGGAGGAGAAGGGAACATCTACCAAACTGGGTTCTGTGTGCACATGCATTGATCACAGGAGGTATCCATAAGAGAGAGCCACACATCCCCACGGGAGTTTCGCAGTGGCTTCCTGCAGTTGTTGGATGCAGTCTTCTATGAATGCTCTTTGGTCAGTTTTGTTAACTGCATTCTTCAAATCTGTATCCTTCTTGAATTTGTTATCTGTTTTATTATCAATTACTGTGAAAGATGTGTTTAAATTTCTTATTATGATTTCTTATTGTGATTATGCCAATTTTTACTCTGTTTATTTTGTTTTGTTTGTTTGTTTCTTTCTTTTTGTTTGTTTTTTGAGACGAAGTTCCACTCTGTCCCCCAGGCTGGAGTGCAGCGGTGTGATCTTGGCTCACTGCAATCTCTGCCTCCCGGGTTCAAGTGATTCTCCTGCCTCAGCCTCCCGAGTAGCTGGGATTACGGGTGCCCGCCACCATGCCCGGCTATTTTTTTGTATTTTTAGTAGAGATAGGGTTTCACCATGTTGGCCAGGCTACTCTCGAACTCCTCACCTCAAGTGATCCACCTGCATCAGCCTGCCAAAGTGCTGGGATTACAAGCGTCAGCCACTGCACCCAGCCATACTCTGTGTGATTTTAATTTGTATTATTAGGTGCTGTTTTTTAGTTATATTATTAGGTGCATACACATTTTAATTTTAATTTTTTAATAATTTTTTTTTTTTTTTTTTTTTTTTTTTGAGACGGAGTCTCGCTCTGTCGCCCAGGCTGGAGTGCAGTGGCGGGATCTCGGCTCACTGCAAGCTCCGCCTCCCGGGTTCACGCCATTCTCCTGCCTCAGCCTCCCAAGTAGCTGGGACTACAGGCGCCCGCCACTACGCCCGGCTAATTTTTTGTATTTTTAGTAGAGACGAGGTTTCACCGTTTTAGCCGGGATGGTCTCGATCTCCTGACCTCGTGATCCGCCCGCCTCGGCCTCCCAAAGTGCTGGGATTACAGGCGTAAGCCACTGCGCCCGGCCGCATGTATTCTTTTAATGGCTAGAATTTCTTTTTCAGAGTAGTTTTAGGTTTGCAGAAAATTGAGCATGTAGTACAGAGAGCTCCCATGTACTTCCTGTCTCCCCCTCACAGCTGTCCCAGTTAGCAACATCTTGCACGGTGTATATTTGTTCTAACTGATGCGCCAATATTGACACATTACTATTAACTGAAGCCCAGAGTTTACATTGTAATTTACTCTTTGTGTTGTACATTCTGAGTTTTTTTGTTTTTTGTTTTGTTTTGTTTTTTGAGACACAGTCTCGCTCTGTCACCCAGGCTGGAGTACAGTGACACGTTCTTGGTTCACTGCAACCTCCTCCGCCTCCCAGGTTCAAGCAATTCTCCTACCTCAGTCTCCCAAGTAGCTGGGATTACAGGCATGCGCCACCACACCCAGCAAATTTTTTGTATTTTTGAAAGAGACGGGGTTTCACCATGTTGGCCAGGCTGGTCTCGAACTCCTAACCTCAGGTGATCCGCCCACCTCGGCCTCCCAAAGTGTTGGGATTACAGGCATAAGCCACTGCGCCCAGCCCATTCTTAGTTTTGACAAAACTTAATGTCAGGTATCCACCCACCATTACCATATCATACAGAATAGTTTCACTGCCCTAAAAATCCCCTGTACTCCAACTGTTCATCCCGCCCTGTCTTCCCCCAAAACCCTGACATTCACTGATCTTTTTAATGTCTCTATAATTTCGCCCTTTCCAGAATTGGAATCATACAGTATGTAGCCTTCTCAGATTGACTTTTTTTTTTTTTTTTTTTTGAGACAGAGTCTTAACTCTGTCATCCAGGCTGGAGTACGATGGTGCGATCTTGGGTCACTGCAACCTCCGCCTCCCGGGTTCCATCTATTATCCTGCCTCAGCCTCCCAAGTAGCTGGGATTACAGGTGTGCACCACCACGCCTGACTAATTTTTGAATTTTTAGTAGAGAGAAGATTTCACCATGTCAGCCAATCTGGTCTTGAACTCCTGGCCTCATGCGATCTGCCTGACTTCGCCTCCCAAAGTGGTGGGATTATAGGCATGAGCCACTGTGCCTGGCCTCAGATTGATTTCTTTGACTAAGCAATATCATTTAAGGTCCTGCAAATCTTGGGGCCTGATGGCTTATTTATTTATTTATTTATTTATAGACGGAGTCTCACTCTGTCATCCCTGCTAGAGCACGATGGCGCGATCTCGGCTCACTGCAACCTCTGCCTTCCAGGTTCAAGTGATTCTCCTGCTTCAGCCTCCCAAGTAGCTGGGATTGCAGGTGTGCACCACCACGCCCAGCTAACTTTTGTATTTTTTAGTAGAGATGAGGTTTTACCATGTGGGCCAGGCTAGTCTCAAACTCCTAACCTCAGACGACATGCCCACTTTGGCCTCCCAAAGTACTGGGTACCACACCCAGCCCCGATGGCTTATTTCTTTTTAGCACTGAATAATGCTCCATTGTCTGGAGGTACTGCATGTACCCATTGAAGGACATCTTGCTTGCTTCACATTTTTAGCAATTATGATGAATAAAGCTGTCATAGACATTTGTGTGCAGGTTTTGGTGTGGACATACATTTTGAATTTGTTTGAGTAAATGCCTAGGAGCCCATTTTCTGGATCATAAGATAAGACTATGTTTAGTTTTATAAGAAACTGCCAGACTGTCTTACAAAGTGGCACTCCAACCAGCAATGAATCAGTTTCTGCTGCTCTGCATTCTCCTAGCATTTGAAATTGTCAGTTTTTTGGGTTTTAGCCATTCAAATAGATGCGTAGTAGTATCCCATGGTTCCTTATATTCCCAATAACAAATGATGTTACAATTCCCACTATTCCTGATAAAAAATGATATTGAGCATATTTTGATATGCTTATTTACCATCTGTATATCTTCTTCGGTGAGGTGTCCAAATCTTTTGCCCATATTTTTAATTGGGCTATTTGTTTTCTTATTGTTGAGCTTTAGGAGTTCAACATATATTTTGGATACAAGTCCTTTATCAAATGTGTGTTTTGCAAATATTTTCTCCTAGTCTCTGTTTTTTAAATGTACATAGCCATGTCTTTTACAGAGCAGAAGTTTTTCATTTTAGTAAAGTTTATCAATTTTTTTCTTCCCTAAGCCATTCTTTTGACATTGCATCTGAAAAGTCATCGCCAAACTCTAGGTCTCCTGGATTTTCTCCTATGATATCTTCTAGATGTTTTATAATTTTATGTTTTACATTTAGGCCTGTGAGCCACTTTAATTTTTGTGAACGGTGTAAGGTCAGTGTCTAGATTCATTTATTTCCATGTGGATCTCAGTTGTCCCAGCATCATTTGTTGAAAAGACCGTCCTTTCTCCATTGGATTGCCTTTGCTCCTTTGTCAAAGATCACTTTATTGCATTAGTGCAGGCCTATTTCTGGGCTGTCTGCTCTGTTGCATTAAATTTTTGTGAGTGTGTATTATTTCACCAATACCACACTGTCTTAATTATTATAGCTTTATAGTAAATCTTGAGGTTGGGTAAGGTCAGTCCTCTGAGTTTGTTCTTCTTCAGTATTATGTTGCTTATTTGGGGTCTTTTACCTTTCTGTATAAACCTTTGAATGAGTTTGTCAGTATCCCCCCTGACCCAAATAACTTACTTGCTGGGGTTTTGACTGGGGTTCATTGCATCTATAGATCAAGTTGGGAAGAGCTGACATCTTAACAATATTGAGTTTTCCTATCTATGAACATGAAATATCTCTTCATTTATTTATAACTTATTTGATTTATTTCATCACAGTTTTATAGTTTTCCTCATGTTTATCTTGGACATATTTTGTTAAATTTATTACTAAGTACTCTATTGTTTGGTACTAGTGTAAAAGATATGTTTTTATTTGAAATTCCAGTTGTTCATATCTGATATATAGGAAAACAACTGACTTAAATCTATTAACCTTGTATCCAACAAACTTGCTGTTATCACTTATTAGTTCCAAGAGTTTTTTGGTTGATTCTTTGGAATTTTCTAGATAAACCATCAAGTCATCTGTGAGCAAAGACAGTTTTATTCCTTCCTTTCCAATTTTGCATAACTTTTATTTCTTTTTCTTATCTTATTGCATTAGCTGTAATTTTCAGTATGATGTTGAAAAGGAGTAGTAGGAGGGGACATTCTTACCTTATTCCTTATTTTAGTGGGAAAGCTTCTAGTTTCTCACCATTAAGTATGGTGTTAGCTGTAGGTTTTGTTGTAGTTGTTCTTTATCAAGTTGTGGAAGTAACCGTCTATTCTTAGTTTGCTGAGAGTTTTTATTATATACAGGTATTGGATTTTCTCAAATGCTCTTCTACATCTATTGATATGATCATGTGATTTTTCTTCATCCTGTGGATGTGATGAATTACAATGATCGATTTTTAGACATTGAATCAGCCTTGCATATCTGGGATAAATCTAATTTGGTCATGGTGTATAACTATATGTATTGTTCTTTATACATTTCATACACTAGTTTGATTTACTAATATTTTGTTGAGGAATTTTTGCATTTATGTTCATGAGAAATATTGGCTATAGTTTCTTTTTTTTCTTATAATGTCTTGGTTTGGTTTTGATATTAGGGAAATGCTGGCCTCATATAATGTTAGGAACTATTCCTTCTGCTTCCATTTTGTGGAAAAGATGGTGGAGAATTGGTATATTTTCTTCCTCAGACGTATGGTATAATTCACCAGTGAAACATCTAGGCCTGGTGCTTTCTGTAGGGGCAGCTTATTAGTTATTGACTTAATTTTTAATAGATATTGCCTATTCAGGCGACCTATTTCTCATTGTATGAGTTTTGAAAGATTGTGTGTTTCAAGGAATTTGTTCATTTCATCTAAGCTATTAAATTTGTGGACACAAATTTGTTCATGTTATTCCTTTATTATCCTTTTAATGTCCATTGGATCAGCAGTGATGGCCTTTCTTTGATTTCTCATATCAGTGACTGCATCTGATCTCTTTGGTTAACTTGACTAGAGATTCACCAATTTTATTGATCTTTTCAAAGAATCAGCTTTAGTTTTCTCTACTGATTTCCTGTTTTTAATTTCATTGATTTCTGCATTGATTTTTATTTCTTTTTCCTGCTTATATTAGTTTTAATTTGTTCTTCTTTCTACTTTTCTAAGGTGAAAACTTAGATTACCGGTTTTAGAGCTTTCTTTTTTTTTTTTTTTTTTTTTGAGATGGAGTCTTGCTCTGCGCCCAGGTCAGAGTGTAGTGGCACATCTTGGTTCACTGCAACATCTGCCTCCTGGGTCAAAGCAATTCTCTGCCTTGGCCTCCCAAGTAGCTGGGATTACAGGCACCCACCACCATGCCTGGCTAAATTTTGTGTTTTTAGTAGAGATGGGGTTTCACCATCTTGGCCAGGCTGGTCTTGAACTTCTGACCTCGTGATCTGCCCACCTTGACCTCCCAAAGTGCTGGGATTACAGGCGTGAGCCCCTGCACCAAGGAGATCTTTCTTTTTTTCTAATACATACATTCAATACTACAAATTTCTCTCTAAGCACTGCTTTCACTGCATTCCCACACATTTTGGTAAATTGTGTTTTCATTTTCATTTAGTTCAAAATGTTTTAAAATTTTTCTTTGACTCCTGTTATTTAGAAGGGTATTGTTTACTCTCCAACTATTTAAGGATTTCCCAGATATCTTTCAGTAATTTTTTTTTTTTTGGTCTAATTCCATTGTGGTCTGAGAGCATACTTCACGTGATTTTTATTCTTTAATTTTGCTGGGGTGTGTTTTGTCTCAGAATGTTGTCTTTCTTGGTGAATGTTTCATGTGGGTTTGAGAAGAATGTGTATTCTGCTGTAGTTGGATGAATTATACTGTAAATGTCAATTAGATTAAGTTAATAGATAGTACTGTTAAATGCAACTATATCCTTACTAATTTTCCCTGTGTTGGATCCATAAATTACTGATAGATGTGTTTTGGAGTCTCCTACTACAACAGTGGATTTTTATATTTCTCCTTGCAGTTCTGTAAGTTTTTGCCTTTTGCAAACTGACATCATTGTTAGACACATACACATCAAAAATTCTTACATCTTCTTGGAGAACTGACCCCTTTATTATTATTATGTAATGTCCTATTTATCCCAATAAGTTCCATTTTTCTGCTTTACCTGGAATTAATATAGCTACTCCAGCTTTCTTTTGACTAATTATAGCATGGTATATCTTTCCCTATATTTTAACTTTTAATTTGCTATATCTTTATATTTAAAGTGGACATTATAAATGGGAGCTAAACAATGGGTAAAAAAAAGAAAAAAGAAAAAAATGTAAAATAAAGTGAACAACATAGTTGGGTCTTATTTTTATTATCCACTCTTGACAGACTCTGTTTTTTAGTTGGTGTATTTAGGCCATTTACATTTATAGTAATTATTAATATAGTCAGATTAATATCTATCATATTTGTAACCATTTTCTATGTATTACATTTGTCTTTTCTTCCCTTCTTTTTCTGCCTTCTCTAGTTTCAATTGAGCATTTTATAAAATTCCACGTTCTCTCTTCTCTTACCATATTAATTATCTTTTTAGTGGTTGCTCTAGAGTTTGCAGTATACATTTAAAACTAACCTAAACCCACTTTCAATTAACACTATATCACTTCATGAGTAGTGCAAGTAGTTTATGGCAGAGTATTTCCAATTTTACACTCCTGTTCCTTATAACATCATTGTCATTTATTTTCCTTATATATGTTATAATCGCCAAATACATTGTTGTTATTATTTTTGTACAAACAGTTATCTGTTAGATAAATTAAGAAAAAATAAAAGGTTTTACTTTACCTTTATTTATTTCTTCTCTAACACTCTTCATTTATGTAGATTTGAGTTTCTGACCCATATCTTTTCCTTCTCTTGAATAACTTCTTTTAGCATTTTTCACAAAGTAGATGTACTGGTGACAAATTTCCTCAATTCTGTTTGTCTGAAAATATCTTTATCTCTTTTTCACATCTGAAGGATAATTTCTCTGGATACAGAATCTAGGTTGTTGGTTTGTTTCTTTTAACACTTGAAATATTTCTTCTCATTTTCTTCTTGCCTTAATGGTTTCTGACAAGAATGCTGATATAGGTTTTACCCTTGTTCCTCTATAGATAAGTTTATTTATTTATTTATTTATTTATTTATTTTTGAGATGGAGTTTCACTCTTGTTGCCCAGGCTGGAGTGCGATGGTGCGATTTTGGCTCACCACAACCTCTGCCTCCTGGGTTCAAGCAATTCTCCTGCCTCAGCCTCCCGAGTAGCTGGGATTACAGGCATGCACCACCATGCCCAGCTAATTTTTTGTATTTTTAGTAGAGACGGGTTTTCTCCATGTTGGTCAGGCTGGTCTCGAACTCCTGACCTCAGGTGATCTGCCCACCTCGGCCTCCCAAAGTGCTGGGATTACAGGCATGAACCACTGCGCCTGGCCAGTAAGTTATTTTTTAATCTGTCATGCAACGGACTGAATGCTTGTGTCCCTTCCCCATCAAATTCATGTGTTGAAACCCTAATCCCAATGTGATGGTAATTATAGGTGAGATCTTTGGGGAGTGATTGGGTCATGAAGACAGAACCTTCATGAATGGGATTCATGCCCTTATCAGAAAAGACCGGAGATCCAGCTAGCTTGCTTTCCACTATGTGAGGATACAATGAGAAGCTGGCAATCAGTCTTCTCAGCTTCTTGGCCTTTTGGGTAAGATCAAGTGAGAAGTTGGCAATCTTCAACCCAGAAGAGAGTTCTAACCCAACCATGGGGCACCCTGATCTTGGACCTTCAGCCTGAGAACTGTGAGAAATAAATTTCTGTTGCCACTCGTTCTACAATATTCTCTTATAGCAGCCCAAACTGACTAAGCCATCTTGTTTTTTTTTTCCGAAATTTTCTCTTTGTCTTTGGTTTTCTATAGTTTGAACACGATAGGTCCACATATTTTGGTATTTATCATGCTTAATGTTTTTCAACATTTCTGGTTCAGTGGTTTGGTGTCTGCCCTTAATTTTGGAAAATTCTCAGACAGTTACTACAAATATGTCTCCTGCTCCTTTCCCTCTTTCTTCTCCCTCTGGTATTTATATTACATGTACGATACAGCTTTTTATTTATTTATTTTTATTATATAGTTTTTGAGACAGGGTCTGGCTCTGTCACCCAGGCTGGAGTGCAGTGGTGCAATCTCAGCTCATTGCAACCTCTGCCTCCTGGGTTCAAGGGATTCTCATGCCTCAGCTGCCCGAGTAGTGAGATTACAGGCATGCACCACACCTAGCTAATTTTTTGTATTTTTAGTAGAGATGGGGTTTCACCACGTTGGCCAGGCTGGTCTTGAACTCCTGACCTCAAGTGATCCTCCCACCTCGGCCTCCCAAAGTGCTGGGATTACAGGCGTGAGCCACTGCGCCCAGCCTGATACAGCTTTTTTAACTGTTCCACAATCTTTGGATACTATGTTCCTTCTCTTAATTCTTATTTTAATTTGCATTCCAGTTTTGGAAGTTTCTATTTGCATCTTCAAACTCATTAATTATTTTCTTGGTAATGTCTAGCCTCTTGATCAATGGCATTTTTATTGCTGTAGGTGTTTTTGATCTTTAGTTTTTCCTTTTGATTATGTCTTAGAGTTTCTCTTTGATAATATTACACAGCTGCTCTTGCATGCTGTCCACTTTGTTCATTAGAGCCCTTAGTGTGTGTGTGTGTGTGTGTGTGTGTGTGTGTGTATTTTTTTTTTTTTCTTTGAGACAGAATCTCACTCTGTTGTCCAGGCTGGAGTGCAGTGAAGTGATCTCGGCTCACTGCAACCTCCACCTACCGGGTTCAAGCAAGTCTCCTGCCTCAGCCTCCCAGATAGCTGGGACTACAGGCTTGCACCTCCATGCTCAGCTATTTTTTTTTTCCTGAGACAGAGTTTCGATCTTGTTGCCCAGGCTGGAGTGCAGTGGCACGATCTCGGGTCTCTGCAACCTCTGCCTCCTGGGTTCAAGCAATTCTCCTGCCTCAGCATCCTGAGTAGCTGGGATTACAGGCTCGTGCCACCATGCCCAGCTAATTTTTGTATTTTTAGTAGAGATGTGGTTTCGCCATGTTGGCCAGGCTGGTCTCGAACTCCTGACCTTAGGTGATCCACCCACCTTGGCCTCCCAAAGTGCTGGTATTACAGGCATGAGCCACCATGCCCGGCCTAATTTTTGTATTTTTAGTAGAGATGGGGTTTTGCCATGTTGGCCAGGCTGCTCTTGAACTCCTGACCTCAGATGATCCACCCACCTCGGCCTCCCAAAGTGTTGGGATTACAGGCGTAAACCACCGCACCCAGCCAGAACCCTTAGTATATTAATTGTAGTTATTTAAAATTCCCAGCCTGGTGATTCCAAACTCTCTGCTGTATCTGAGTCTAGTTCCCTTGCTTGCTTTCTCTCTTCACACTGCCTTTTCTTGCGTTTTGGCATACCTTGTAATTATTTTATTGAAAGCCAGACATGATGCATTGCATAAGAAGAAGTGAGGTAAATAGGCCTTTAATGTGAGGGTTTATGTTTATCTGGCCAGGGATTACACTGTTTACCGTAGGTGTGGGTGTTTCTGGCTTCACTTTCCTCCAGCATCTTTTTTTTCTCTCTCTCTGTTATCTTTGGGTTCCCTAGGAAATTCTTAAATAGTCTAAGCCTTGCAGTTTTTCAGCTGTGACCCTCTGGAATTATACAGAAGCCTCTGGTGATGCCGGTAAGGTGTGGGAGTAGGGAAGCACTTTATTTATTTATTTATTTATTTATTTATTTATTTCAGATGGAGTTTTGCTCTCGTTGGCCAGGCTGGAGTGCAGTGGCATGATCTTGGTTCACTGCAGCCTCTGCCTCCTGGGTTCAAGTGATTCTCCTGCCTCCCAAATAGCTGGGATCACAGGCTCATGCCACCACACCCAGCTAATTCTTGTATTTTTAGTAGAGATGGGGTTTCGCCGTGTTGGCCAGACGGCTCTCAAACTCCTAGCCTCAGGTGATCCACCTGCCTCAGCCTCCCAAAGTGCTGGGACTGCAGGCATGAGCCACGGCGCCGGGCACTTTAGAATGCTGTAATTAGACTTCAGCCTGTGTTCTTGGGCTGTGACTTCTACAAGTGCTTCTCAGCAGCTTTTCCCCAACTTATGTGAGACAGGAGGGCTGGAGAGAGCTGGAGTGTGGTATTTCCCTTCCAACACTGGGAAGACTAGAGGGGGCTGCAGTTTGGTATTTTTCCTCCCCCACATTGGTTAGGCTCTGCTATGGCTTCAATGTTTGTGTCCCTGCCAAAATTATTGAAATGCAACCCCAAATGTGACAGTATTAAGAACTGGGGCATTAGGGAGATGATTAGATCAAGAGGCAGAGTCCTCAGGGATGAGATTAGTGCCCTCATAAAAGAGGCCCCGGAGAGCTATCTCGCTCCTTCCACCATGTGAGGACATAGCTGAAAGGTGTGTCTATGAAGACACAAGCTCTTACCAGGCCCCAAATCTGCCTACACTTTGATTTTGGACTTCCCAGCCTCCAGAACTGTGAGAAATAAATGTTTGTTGTTTATAAGCCAGGCAGCTTATGACATTTTTTGTTTTAGCCGCTTGAATGGACTAAGACAGGCTCTGATAATGTAGTTTCCCTTGATGGCAAGCAGAAGAGGGCTCTGGGTGTGTCTCAACAGGGTTACTTTTCTCCATCCCCTGCTGGAAACAGGAAGGGATTTTTCTGTGGTATTCACTGTGAGAATCTGCTGGAGTGCTTGGAGGTAAAACTCACAAAAGTGTGAGGGGTACCCTAAGATTGGCCATCTCTGGAACCTTTACCATCTAAGCTAGTCCACAGTCAGCCTCCAGAAATTCATCAATTACAGCTTCAGTCCTACCCATTTCTGGCTCTAGCATTTTCTCCGATTCTAGAAGCTATAATTCTATTTCCCTTTCTCTTCATTTTTCAGGGTGTCAGTTTGCCCCTGTGACCTCAACTGTCTGATTGATCTAAACAGCTTTTTCGTGCTGTGAGAATGAAAGTGATGGCTTTTTACACATACAAGCCGAAACCAGAAGTTTTTTTTCATTTATTTAATTCCAAATCTGTTTTATTTTACTTTTTACTTATCTATTATTATTATTTTTTAGACAGAGTCTTGCTCTGTTGCCCAGGCTGGAATGCAGTGGCGCGATCTTGGCTCACTGACATGGTCGCCTCCTGGGTTCAGACGATTCTTCTGCCTCAGCCTCCTGAGTAGCTGGGATGACAGGCACCCGCCACCATGCTCGACTAATGTTTTTTGTATTTTTAGTAGAGACAGGATGTCACCATTTTGGCCAGGCTGGTCTTGAACTCCTAACCTCAGGTGATCCGCCTGCCTTGGCCTCCCAAAGTGCTGGGATTACAGGCATGAGCCACAATGCCCAGCCTCAGATCTATTTTAACTCCTGCAAGATATTATTGCTATTCTGTTATACAATTGGTATCCATTTAGATGTACACACATATTTACTATTTTCTTTGTTCTTTACTCTTTTTTGTGCTATGCTTTTATTTGTGATATTTTTACTTCTGTCTGAAGAAAGCTCTTTGTTAAGTCTATTACAAATTAACTCTGTTAGTTTGTCTAAAAATGTCTCCATTTTTCTTTTGTTGTGGAAGAATATTTTTTCTGGACATAAAATTCTAGGTTGGCAATTATTTCCTTTTAGCACTCTGAATATATAATTTTGTTACCTTCTGCCCTTCTTTGCTTCTGTTGAGAGGTCAGCTGCCTTTTTAGTAGCAGTCTGCTGTATAGAAGATAATCTTTTTCTTTTGCAATGTCTTAAAATTGTACCTTTGTCTTTGGTTTTCAACAATTTCACTATCGTTTGACTAGATGTGTATTTCTTTGTGTTTATTATGCTTGGAGTTCATTGGGATTCCTAAATTGTGGATTAACATCTTTCAGCAAGATATGGAATCAACCTAAATGCCCATCAATAATAGACTGGATAAAACATGTGGTACATATACACCATGGAATACTAGGCAGCCATAAAAAAGAACAAGATCATGTCCTTTGCAGGGACATGGATGAAGCTGGAGGGCATTATACTTAGCAAATTAACACAGGAACAGAAAACCAAATACCACATGTCCTCACTTATAAATGGGAGCTAAATGATGAGAACACTTGGACACATAGAGGGGAACAACACACACTGGGGCCTTTTGGAGGATGGACAGTGGGAGGAGAGAAAAGATCAGAAAAAAATAAGGGTACTAGTGAGAGGTGAAGCCAGCTGGGCTTCTGTGTCCAGTGGGGACTTGGAGAACTTTTCTGTCTAGCTAGAGGATTGTAAATGCACCAATCAGCATTCTGTAAAAATGGACCAATCAGCACTCTGTAAAATGGACCAATCAGCACTCTGTAAAATGGACCAATCAGCACTCTGTAAAATGGACCAATCTGCAGGACATGGGCAGGGCCAAATAAGGGAATAAAAGCTGCCCACCCGTTAGCCAGCAAAGTCAATTTGCTCGGTACCCTTCCAGCGTGTGGGAGCGTCGTTGTTTTGCTGTTCACATCTTCACAATAAATCTTGCTGTTGCTAACTGTGGGTCCTTGCCACCTTTAAGAGCTGTAACACTCACCGGGAAGGTCCGCATGCTTCATTCTTAAAGGCGGTGGGACCAGAAATCCACCGGAATGAACTAACTATGGGCACAGTAGTCTTAAAACGTGGGTGATGGAGGGCAAAAAACTAGTTGATAAAATAATTTGTACAGTAAAGTGCTATGACACAAGTTTACTTGTGTAACAAACCTGCAGTTGTATGGGGGAACCTAAAGTTAAAAAAAAACATTTTAGGAGTACAAAGAAAAATGTTTTTTGACAGTTTGGAAAATTCTCAGTCACTGTCTTTAAGATATTGTTTGACCCATTTTTATCTCTATACCTTAGAGATTTTGAAAAAAAAAAAACTGTCAGAGCTGGGTATTGAATTCTGTATGCATAGGTGACCCTTTGGAGAACCCCGTTGGTTGTGACAGTCCATGGTGGCCCTGGCTCTTTCCAAGTCTTTCCCAGTCAGGGGCTCAGAGGCAGCACTCTTCCTGGAGAGTTAGGGAGGAGCAGGCAGAATCAGGGGTCCTGTCCTGTGGAGCCCTCCCTTTCTTGTTGATTTGGCTGGGAGATTCACTCCTGTGAGTTACCATTCACCAGCTGGAGAAGGTGGGCCGTGGTGAGTTTTGAAGGGGGTGATTCAGGCAGAAGACACAGTGAGAGGTGATCTTAGCTACCTAAAGCCAAGACAGCAGCCCTGGACAGGGGTTCTACTGTCAGGAACCTGCTCCAGCCTTCTGAATGGGACTTCAGGAAGCAGATTGCTCCAACACGGAACACTTACCGGCACCTCAGATGGTTAAGCTTGTGTTAATCGAGTTTTTCCCAAGTCCTCTGTTGTGATACTTTCGTTATGTGAAATATTAAGAGGTATTTCAGAAGAAAAAAGATCCTATGGGCAAATGAGTTTGAGGAATGCTGGGTTACAAGAAAGAAAAGGGGGTTCTTTGTGGCAGGACTTCTCAGAATTTTAATATCCTAATATGCATTGTGAATCTCCAAGAGGAAAATACAGGAAGCAGAGTTGCCCAAATTTAGTTCACGTGGAATCTTTTTTGTTGAGAATGCCTGAGCTCTAAGAGGCCGAGTTTAGAGAATATCACCTTTGGGCAGACGCAGTACTCTAAGAGCTATCTCTGAATCAGGAACCCCTCAAAGTGGACACCACGCCTTTTCATCTCAGCCAATTAAAAAAAAAGTTTAATTGGCCCCTTGGGAGGAAGGAGCTGGGCACCATGAGATGGAGAAACCTCTGCTAAGCAAAGTTTCCCAGGACTGGGGAGCATTTGGGACTAATTGTTAGCAATCCTTAACTAGGGTGTTATTTGCTCAAGAACCCAGACTGGAGTGCAGTGGCACGATCTCGGCTCACCACAACCTCCACCTCCCAGGTTCAAGCAAGTCTCCTGCTTCAGCCTCCTGAGTAGCTGGGATTACAGGCATGCACCACCATGCACGGCTAATTTTGTATTTTTAGTAGTGATGGGGTTTCTCTATGTTGGTCAGGCTGATCTCAAACTCCCAACCTCAGGTGATCCACCCACCTCGGCCTCCTAAAGGGATTACAGGCATGAGCCACAGCTCCCAGCCACTCAATTTCTGAATCAACTCGGGAAGAAGGAATGAGCTTTAAAAAGTAGAATGCCACATCCCTTCTTCTATTGCCACACTTTCCAGCACTTGTCCTACCCAAGCTCTGTATGCTCACACTCTCTACCTTTCTGTTAGCAGCCTTGCCTTGGCCTGTGTTTCAGACTTTTCCAAAGATTTTTTCAAAAGATAAAAATGCGAAGTCTTTGTGCTTATTTAAACAAAAGTTTCGGGTAACAATACTCTATTCCCAGAACAAAAGTTTCACTGCGATTTACTAGGTACAGCCAAATTTTTTTGGGGGGGTGGGTGCTTTGTTTTGCTTTATGGGTTATTGTAACCAATGGGGTAAAATTCAGATTTTAGAAGCGATAAAGCATTACTTAAGGACATGACACTAACAGGAGATCAACTTGAAGACTGTTACGAGCTCTCCCGTTCTAAGAGGGCATGAGGACACAGGAGATAGAAATAACGCCCTGGGCGCCAGGTGTTGAAGAGGGGTGCCATGCGTTGAGCTCTTCTAAACACTGAGACGTCTTCCCGTGTGGACTGTGAGGAGCCACAGCTGCCTACATGGGGCTCAGGAGCATCATTTTGTCCCCAAAGATCCTGTTTTCATGCAGTCTGCTGCTATCAACAAAAGAAGCTTGAAGTCAGATTGAGGCAAAATCATCTCTTGCCATTATTCCTGCCCACATTTCTTCTCAGGAACACAGACATCTTGAAGGAAGAAAAGGTCGAATCAACTTCCATATAATTGGACCCACATTTTGGGAATTTTGCCATCACTCCAGAGTGAAGACTTCAGAAGTGTTAGCCATGGTGTTGGGATTTGAAAGTCCTCCATTAGGTCCCAGCAAAGGGCAGAACGTTACACTCAGACTCTCAGGGATGCCAGCACAGTGACACACTGGGGCTTCTTACGTGCAGTTAGTGGAGTTGCGGATTAATGAGATGTTAGGAGTTTGATGAGAAGGAAAGCCAGCTCAGATAATGCTCTCTGCTAGGAATTTCCGGAAGCTCCAGCTGCAACCTTTACTCATGGCAGGATCCAGGACCAACCAGGTTTACAGCTACAAAGCTGTAACACAATGGATTATCTCCACTACAGAGTCACTGGTTTTATTTTCATTGTAGAGAGTATTCTGAAGATTAAAACAAAGAAACAAAAAACCATTAAATGCTTGGCAGGTTTTTAACCGTGTGTTTGTTATTCTAGCACATATCATCTGCCAGCACTGCAACACAACCCACTGAGGAGCAGAAAAAGCAGAAGGGAGGGAGGGAAGGGGGGGGAGAGAGAGAGAGAGAAAGAGAAAGAAAGAAGAAAGAAAAGAAAAAGTGAGAGAGAGAGAAAGAAAACAGAAAGGAGAAAAAAATGAAAAGAAGGTTCTTAGAATCAGACAGGAAGTAACTGTCCAATTTCGATCCTCCCACTGATAACTCCATGGCCGGTCCTCACAGGCCTGTGCCCTCCAATGGAGGATGGGGAGCAATAGAGGGGCCTCAGGAGGTCTCACTTCCTGAATCCTGAGCCGTAGGGTGCAGAAGAGTGGTGCAAAAAGACTGCTGCCAACGTTCACCTGTTGACGAGGCTGGGCGGCCTACGGAGAACGGCCAGCATATTTTGGCCAACTTGGATCTTAAGGCTCACCAGGAAGACCCTCTGCCTTCCAGACAAAGAGAGGAGTTTCCAAGACCCACGTTCCAAATATCCGACGACCTTATTTTCCTCCAAGTGGGGAAACCTACTTTATTTTTTTCGTCAGTCAGTGGAGAAATGGAAGCAGAGTTTACGGTAATCAAAAGTATTGATAGACCTCTATGTCTTTGCCTAATCTAGTTATCCATTTGTTTATTTTTGTAATTATCTTTTACAACGACACCAAAGATTTTAAATTATTCTCTAGCCTTCTTAATTCATAGAGACATTGTTCAATGAAATATAAATTTAATTTACAAATGAAGATTTTTTTAACCTACCACTTTTATTTCTTTATTTCAGAGATTCTGCCAACTGAGAATCAGTAGTACTAAGCTAGTAGTAGTAGTGCTAACTTATTTTAAATATATGTAAAGAATTCAACAGTATGCAAAGTGGAAGCCCACCTCTGCAGCCAATGCCAGGAGCAATATAATTTTTTGAACCAATATAAGCCTTACTTCAAATAAGACTTTGAAAAGGAAGGTTTTTGGATCAGAGCTTTCAGATCAGGATTCACAAAACTTTTGCTTGGCCAGTGCTGGCCTGAGCCCTTGGACTCCCATCCTGCCCCACACCTGCCCTCTGTCCCCAGCATTATTGTCCTCTTTCTTTGCCCATCGCCCGTCTCCAGCCTGGGAACCAAGCTCCAGCTCACAGGATGTTTCCCTGATGCCCTACTGTCTGTCATCTCCAACTCTAAAGTGCCCCCTTTCCTCAAGTCTGCTGCCAGGACTCCCATCCAAACTATATGCTCAGTTTGAAGCCCCATTACTCCTGGTTTTTTTTTTTTTTTTTAGACAGAGTCTCACTCTGTTGCCCAGGCTGGAGTGCAGTGGCATGATCTTGGGTCACTGCAACCTTTGCCTCCCAGGTTCAAGAGATTCTCCTGCCTCAGCCTCCATAATAGCTGGGATTACAGGCACCCACCACCACGCCCAGCTAATTTTTTGTATTTTTAGTAGAAATGGGGTTTCATCGTGTTGTGGCCAGGTTGATCTCGAACTCCAGACCTCAGGTGATCCACCTGCCTCGGCCTCCCAAAGTACTGGGATTACAGGCGTGAGCCACTGCACCTGGCCTCTTCTTTCTATTTTTTCTTTTTTCTTTTCTCTTCTTTTCTTTTTCTTTTATCTTTTTTTTTTTTTTTTTTTTTTTTTTTTGAGGCAGAGTCTCACTCTGTTGCCCAGGCTGGAGTGCAGTGGCGTGATCTCGGGTCACTGCAACCTCTGCTTCCCAGGTTCAAGTGATTCTCCAGCTTCGGCCTCCATAATAGCTGGGATTACAGGCGTGAGCCACCTCACGTGGCCCATTACTCCCCTTTCTTTTGAAAGCTCCCTCTCCCTTTATGCTTTCCTCTTGCGTGTCAAAGCTGATTGCAGTGCTTCCTATAGTCTGCCTTGTATTTCAAATGTGTTTATATGAGCACTGGCTCCCCTACTAGCATGCAAATCCTCAAAAGTCATTTCTGAGTCATTCCCATATCTCCACACAGCACCAGCAGTGTCTGGAGCATGGGAGAGGTGATCTCAATGATAAATTCAATTAAATAGACTGTGGATATCAAGGAAGCAAGAAGCCAGGGCAAGTAGGTAAAGTCAAAAGACAAGTGACAAGCTGGAAAAAAATACTTTCCACTTCATTACAGTCAAAATTTCACCATATTTGGTATGTAGGAACAAGCTTTAAAAATAAAGAAAAAAGGCTGGGCACGGTGGCTCATGCCTATAATCCCAGTACTTTGGGAGGCCAAGGCAGATGGATCACCTGAGGTCGGGAGTTCGAGACCAGCCAGACTAACACAGAGAAACGCTGTCTCCACTAAAATATACAAAATTAGCTGAGCATGGTGGCACATGCCTGTAATCCCAGCTACTTGGCAGGCTGAGGCCGGAGAATCACTTGAACCCGGGATGCAGAGGTTGCAGTGAGCTGAGATCGTGCCGTTGCACTCCAGCCTGGGCAACAAGAGCAAAACTCCATCTCAAATAAAATAAAATAAAGAAAAAGAGTCTCTAGAAAAATGAGCAAGAGATGTGGAAAGTTCACAGACACAGAAATACAGATGGCCCTTACACATGAAAAGATGCCAACCTTACTCATAGTAAGATAAATGCAAATTAAAACTACATTGACCTAACAGACGTCTAAGAGTATACTACACCCAACAACAAAATACACATTCTTATCATGTGCACATGGACCATTCTCTAGGACAGACCATATGCTAGGCCATAAAACAAGCCTTCATAAGTGTAAAAGGATTTTTAAAGCCATGCAAAGTATGTTCTCCAACCACAGTGGAATTAAATTAGAAATCAATAATAGAAAAAAAAATTGGACAGGCGTGGTGGCTCACGCCTGTAAACCCAACAATTTGGGAGGCCGAGGTTGGTGGATCACCTGAGGTCAGGAGTTCGAGACCAGCCTGGCCAATATGGTGAAACCCCATCTCTACTAAAAATACAAAAATTAGCTAGGCATGGGGTCACACACCTATAATCCCAGCTACTTGAGAGGCTGAGGCAGGAGAATCACTTGAACCCTGGAGGCAGAGGTTGCAGTGAGCTGAGATCATGCCACTGCACTCCAGCCTGGGCAACAGAGCAAGACTCAGTCTCAAAAAAAAAAAAGAAAAGAAAAGAAATTTACAAATTCAAAAGTAAGTGGACATTAAATTACATACTTCTAAGTAACCAGTGGGCTAAAAAAGTCACAAGAAAAGTTATAAAATATCTTAAGATGAACAAATATGAAAAACTATATTGGATGCAGCTAAAATAGTGCTCAGAGGGAAATTTATAGCTGTAAACACCCGTATTAAGAATGAAAGATCTCAAATAAATAACCTAACCTTCAACTTTAGAAAATAGAAAAAGACAAGCAAACTAAATCCAAATCAAGCAGAAGGAAGAAAATAAGACTAGCGTGGAAATAATAAAATAAAGCGTAGAAAAACAATAGAAGAAATTAATGAAACCAAAAGTTGATTCCCTGGAAAGGTCAACAAAATTGAAAAACCTTTAGCTAGACTGGCCATCTAAACAACAGAGAAGACTCAAATTGCTAAAATCAGGAATGAAAAAGGGGCATCACTAATGATTTTCTAGACATATTAATACAAAGGATCATAAGGGAATACCATGAATAACTGGATGCCAACAGATTTTAAAACCTGGATGAAATGGACAAATTCCTGCAAAGACAAATTACTGAAACTGACTCAAGGAGAAACAGAAAAATCTGAACAGACCTATAAAAAGTAAAGACATTGGAGTAGTAATATTTAAACTTCCCATAAAGAAAACCACAGGCCCAGATGGCTTCACTGGTAAATTCTACCAAACTTGTAAAGAAGAATGAAGACCAATCTTTCACAAACTCTTACAGAAAATATAAGTGGCGGGGAGTCATTGCCCAACTCATTTTATGAGGCCAGTTTTACCCAGATATCAAAACCAGACAACAATATCCAAAAAAATGAAGACAACTATATTGCAAAACTATATTGAGAAACCGTTTCTTAATAAGATTGGCAAAATTCTAAAAGTGTAACAACGTATTTTGTTGGTGAGGCTGTGGGAAAACAAGGACTCATAAAATCCCACTGGAAATGCAAAATGCTACAATCTCTATGAAGGGAAGTTTTGCAATATAAGCAAATTTCATATTTATACCCTTAATCCCAGCAATCTCACTTCTCGGAATCTAGCCTAAAGATTACAGACAAATGCAAAAGGACATGTGGCAAGACTTTTTGTTGCTGTGCTATTTGTAGAGACCAAGAGCCACTCAAGTGCCCATTGACACGGGTCTGGTGAAATCAACTCTCATGCATCCACTCAGGGATTCGGGCCACACAGCTGTCAAAAGAAATGAGAGGCAGCCATGTCACCTCCAAGAAAAGTGGAGAAGAGAAGTGCCAAAGGCAAAGCAGAGAAAAGTGTGTAAAGTCCTCTACCATCTTTGTGAGAAAGAGGCGGAGAGAAACAATACATATATATTTATACTTAAAAAGTGAAAGGATAAAACAATAATTTTTTTTTAAGTTTACTTGTGGCGGCCAGGCGTGGTGGCTCACACCTGTAATCCCAGCACCTTGGGCAGCCGAGGCGGGTGGATCACCTGAGGTCAGGAGTTTGAGACCAGCCTGACCAACATGGTGAAACTGTCTCTACTAAAAATACAAAATTAGCCAGGCATGGTGGCACGTACCTGTAGTCCCAGCTATTTGCAAGGCTAAGGCAGGAGAATCCCTTGAACCCAGGAGACAGAGGTTGCAGTGAGCTGAGATTGCACCACTGCACTCCAGCCTGGGCAACAAGAGCAAAACTCCATCTCAAAAAAAAAAAAAAGAAAAGAAAAAGGTTTACTTGTGGGGAAAGAAGAATGAGGGAGAAAGACAGATGCCACAGCCAGACTACTCTGAAAGAATCTTGTTTGCAGATTGGACTTTGCCAAAATGCAAACGTTTCACTTAATTATAAAACAGACTTATATTTAAAAACTAATTCCTAAAACAATGCATGGAAATCCAATGGAAAATTCAATGAGTGAATCTTACTGGAAATCTGCCTTTAGTGTTAGTGCTATTGTTATTTGCTCAGACAGCTCACTAGACACATAATAATTCTCAGACATTGCCAGCGTCTCCCCACAGTCCTCGGATACTGTGTTCCCCGAACTCGCTGTGTATCAAGTGTGTAGAATAACCACACAGAGAATAATAACTTTAAGTTCTTGAAAAAACCTAATAGGACATATGCAAGGTGAAAAAGAACAACAAAACAGTCTTTTAAACTGCTTCCAGTACTGTTAGCAATATGGGTGTGTTACTTGAAACTATATTCAGGATAAAGCAAAAGAGAAAGCTTTTAATGTCATTAGGAATAGGGCTTTTAGCATAAGCAAAAAGAGACACAAACATGAAATCAAGGAAGTTAAGTAAAATCCCTCTGTTTCTAAATTTGAATTGAAAATTATCATGATGCATTTTCTTTACAGATGCACGCGCGCGCGCGCGCACACACACACACACACACACACACACACACACACACAGAGACACACAGCTTCATAGTTCCGCCTGCTGAAAAGGCTCAGAAACAATTCAGTTCAGAAGCAGATCCTAGTTTCTGAATACTGTTTCTCACTCAAAGGAACCAGGGCTCCTTGGAGAAGTGCCTGAGCCTAGATCTGCGGCAAGAAATGTACAAGATGATCCCAAACATCTTTGCATTCCAGATAGCAAAGAGGCTCTCAGAGATTCCTGGGGTGGCGTCAGAAGGATTCAGGAGGCTTTGTGAAACTGGGACCATGTGAACAATAGTAAGAAAAATAACTGCTGTGGATTTAAATGCATCAAATATGTTCAAATCCATGAATTTATACTGACACTCTGAAGAAAAGGAATGCATTAGTCACATTGGAATGAGGCCAAGGAAGCAACCAATTCCACTGGAGATGGAAACCTTTTTCTTGCCTTTCCTCTGCAAGCTGTGCCTCAGAGTGACCAAATCTGCCCAGGGAAAGTTTCTATTTATGGATGAATTCCAGCTAACAAATAAAGAAGAGTCGACCTAATTAGAAGATCACCATTTTGCAGCTGGGCATGGTGGCTCACACCTGTAATCCCAGCACTTTGGGAGGCCAGGGTGGGCGGATCACAAGGTCAGGAGATTGAGACCATCCTGGCCAACACGGTGAAACCCAGTCTCTATTAAAAATACAAAAAAATTGGCCGGGCGTGGTGGCAGGCACCTGTAGTCCCAGCTACTCGGGAGGCTGAGGCAGGAGAATGGTGTGAACCTGGGAGGCGGAGCTTGCAGTGAGCCGAGATGGCGCCACTGCACTCCAGCCTGGGCAACAGAGCAAGACTCCGTCTCAAAAAAAAAAAAAAAAAAAAAAAAAGGAAGATCACCATTTTGCAAGTCCTAGGGATATCATGGCCCTAGACAGTCATCACCAAAGTCCGCCGGCATTGCAAAAGAGATGTCTCCTAACAGAAGGACACACTACCACCAAAAAGTCTTATTGCAAAAGTCCACCTTGAATCTGAACAGGTTTCGAGACTAACTATTGGTCAGGAAGTGCAGGGAACAAAGGAGCATGAGAAACAATATTGCTGGCTCATCTCAGAGTCCAACCAGGACCCTTGGGCCTCCACCTGGGGTGTCCCCTGCTAGCCTGGGGATCTCCCATGACCTCATCAGGGCCCCACACAGGTGAGCATACAGGTCACTGTCCCCACACTCTCACCAACTGTGACCGCCAGCCGGCCTCTTATTCCCTCTGAGGAATGTGTCCTCATGGCTCCCCCATGAGGAGAAGGACTGCACCCCCGCAGCTGGGTGAGGAGTGAGTGGTCAGTATCCACCCTTCACGGTGGTGTTCTTGTGTCCTCAGACGGCTCCACAGACACATAATGATTCTCAGACCTTACAGCGTCTCTCCACAGTCCTCACACACTGTGTCCATGCACCAGGTCATCCAAGTGACTTCATGGGGGAGGATGCCTCTGGAGAGTGGACAGTCTGGTGAGAACCCCTTTTCCCCACAGCTGCAGCTCAACACCGCCCAACAGAAATACAAGGTGAGCCATAGCTGTGAGCCACAGAGCAGAGGCAATTTTAAATTTTCTTTTTTTTTTCTTTTTCTTTCTTTCTCTCTTTTTTTTTTTTTTTGGATACAGAGTCTCACTCTGTCACCCAGGCTGGAGTGCAGTGGTGTGATCTCAGCTCACTGCAACTTCCGCCTCCAGGGTTCAAGTGATTCTCCTGCCTCAGCCTCCCGAGTAGCTGGGATTACAGGCACCCACCACCATGGCCGGTTATTTTTTATATTTTTAGTAGAGATGAGGTTTCACCATGTTGGCCAGGCTGGTCTCGAACTCCTGACCTCAGGTGATCCACCTGCCTCAGCCTCCCAAAGTGCTGGAATTGCAGGCGTGAGCTGGGCCAATTTAAAATTTTCTAGTAGTCAGTTTTGAAAAGTAAATAGAAGCAGGTGAAAAAAATTAATAACATTCTATTCAACCCAACATGTTCTAAATATTTCAATGTGCAATCGATTATTATCACAAGTCTTGGCAATCCCGTGTATATTTTACATTCGGAGCATATCTCAATTCTGACTGGCTCTGTTTCCAGCACTCCATAGCCACGCGTGGCCTGTGGCCACTGTGTGAGACATCTCAGCTCCCAGTTGCAGGCCACACTGCATGGACCCTGGGGAGGAGGGGTGTTCTCTTGGGGAAGGATGGGGCTCCCATTGTTTCCATCTTATCTGAACCTGAAAAAGAGCTTATTTGTCTAGTGAAGGGCCCACTGCCTGGAGAGCCACTGACTGGCAGCCGGTCGGGCTGGCCATTGGTGCTGACCACAGAGCCTCCACACCTCCCAGCCATGGCAGTGCCGGCCATCAGCTCACTTCCCCATGTGGTCTTTCCCCACTGCTCCCAGACTGATTTCAGATGCCCCGGATTGCCCTGACTGTGCCTTCAGAATTCCGGCCACGTAGCACCCTCCCTCAGCCCCCGGAAGGGTTCCCGCTGAAGCCGTGACTCTCTCAGGCCTCAGGAGCCAACACCAGTTCAAGAAAGAAGACTCGGGAGCCAGGCCAGGGAGGCTGCTGCGGTCATTGTGCGCCCAGGGGCTGTGCGCGCTCCAGCAAAGCACGTGGGAGCCACTCACCAGACCCTTTGCACGCCCACTCTGCGGTGACAGACCCTGAGAGAAACGAATGAAAGCAAAGACAGACCCAGAAAATGGCCTGGCACATGTGCTTCCGTCAGAAGTTCAGAGATTCCCTGAGCCCCAGGCTGTCTGCCAGGCATTGGGTGGGGGAGTGAGCCCAGCCTCCAGCTTCAGGACTCTACATATGGGCAGAACTTGACAACCTGGGCACTCCCACTCCACCCCACCTGCTCTCTGGGCAAGCCACCCTCTCACATGACTCAGAGTCCTCATCTGTAAAATGGGAACACCCCTAATTGCCCTTACGTCCAATCTGTCTGCTCCTCTGTGAGAAGCGGGAGGCGGACAATGCCCAAGAGCCTCAGATGCTGGGGAAGACCCAGCCCCTCTGCAGAGAGGGATAGTTCAGGGTTTGGGTTTTTTCTTTCCTCCTGGGCTGAGAAAGCTCATGGAAAGCTGGAATAACCACGCATACTGTTACAGCAAATCCAACAGAGCTCCCACCGTGGTGGTTTTCAGGTGACTGTGGATGCCAAGCAGGCAAGCTCCTGGTGAAGGGGGGAGAGCAGGGATTAGAAGCACTCAGAAGGGGCTGAGAGTCATGTGGGGCTCACACTGCATTTGCAGCTGGGTTCACCCTGACCTCAGGCCCAACTTAGATGAGGAAGGATTAGCAGTAATTAGTGCCATGTGCCGCCTTCTCCCAGCTCCCCGGGGCACGAACACTGCCCAGCTGATGAGGGGATTCTGAAAGAACCATTATGTCCAATTGTCTCAATTATGCAAACCCTGCTGACATTTCCAGCCAGGGAAGGGCGGCTGGGTGGGAGGGGGCCATGGCGGGGCCACTTCAAAGGAAAAGCTCTAGCTCCCCTACCTCTCTCACATCCTAAGGCTGCCTTTGTGGGATTCCACACAGAACAGCCTGGAAGCTTGGGGCCCTGGCTTCCTTTTCTGGCCTGGGAGTCAGGTCATGGGGCCATCGCTTCACAGCAATCATGAGGGCCCAGGCCCAAGTGCTCACATGCTCCTCATGGGGACTGCTCCTCTTAAAGGGTGGGCCCTCCTCACCCAGCTCCCTGCCCTGGCCAAGGAGGAGGCTGAAAGAGCCTGAGCTGTGCCCTCTCCATTCCACTGCTGTGGCAGGTAAGCTCAGATGCGGGTAAGCACAGGTGAAGGGAGGTCAGGTGCAGGTATCCTCAGGTGTGGGTAAACTCAAGCGTGGACAAACTCAGGTGCAGATAACCACAGATGCAGTTAAGCTCAGGTGTTGGTAACCTCAGGTGCAGGTAGGCTCAGGTGCAAGTAAGAGCAGGTGCAGGCAAGCTCAGGTGTGCTTTCTGGGGCCTGTTACTCATCTCCTCTTGAGGCTGGCTGGACAGGACCCTATGGAGCAGCTGGTGAACCTGTGTTCAGCCTGGGTTCCAAGAGGCTGTCTCAGCAGAAGGGACCCACCAGGTTGATTCACAGAGGGGATAAGTACTCTGTCAGCTGGTCTCAAAGAGGCTGAAACCCTCTGAGCTTCCCTCAGGGCCAGCTTCTAAATCCAGGTGCCAGGGATCTGCTCAGGAGCCCCGGCTCCAGGCCTCAACCTCTTGCCTGTCATTCCTTAGCATCTTACTTTGCTTCAGGGAAAAGGTGCACCTTCCTTAGAACCCCAGAAAATGCTGAAGTTCTAGGAGAGACAGGGTTTATACTTGTAAGCCTTTATCAGCTGATATTTCACCTGTGAAAGCCTTGGGGAAGAGATTGGTTACACGGAACAGGATCAGGAGGGGAGATTACTGCTCCCTCTCACTGCTGGGAGCAGTGCAAACTGGTTTCTGGAAGGCAGTTCAACAACATGCAGCAAAGCCCTGCAAGTCCACACCTAGGAACCCATCCTGAGGAGCGAATCCTGAAGGGATGCCAACATTGACACAGCTTTGTGTGCTACCGGGAAGCACAGCAAACAACCCAAACGCCCAGAAGCAGAGGGCTGGACACATCAATCATGGTCTGTCCATAGGATGAAACATCACGCAGTCACTTTTAAAATGACAGAGAAAAAGGCATAATAACCGTACAGAATTATTGTGTTTTTCATTACACACACATGCACCTGTCTAATCTATTCACGGAAAAAGCCTAGAAATACAAGGAAATATCAGTTGTTTTAGGATGGAGGCCTTATGGGTGGTGTTTATTTATTCTTTTGTACATTTCTACATTTTTTGTCTTCTTTAATCATTTTCTATCACAAATTAATTTTCCTTTTTTTCCCAGAAAATATATCTTTTGTACTTTTTATTAGTACATCATAGTTGTGCATATTGTGGGGGTACATGTGATTTTTTGGTGCATGTATACAATGTGTATGTTTTTTTAAACCTTAGCAAAAATTAGCAAAAGTAGTGGGGGAGGTAGGGAGGAATGAAAATATTTGCAGGGCCAGGCGCGATGGCTCATGGCTGTAATCCCAGCACTTCGGGAGGCTGAGGCAGGCAGATCACGAGGTCAAGAGATAGAGACCATCCTAGCCAACATGGTGAAACCCTGTCTCTACTAAAAATACAAAAATTAGCTGGGCATGGTAGTGCGCGCCTGTAGTCCCAGCTACTCGAGAGGCTGAGGCAGGAGAGGTTGAACCCAGGAGGTGGAGGTTGCAGTGAGCCGAGACTGCGCCACTGCACTCCAGCCTGGGCGACAGAGTGAGACTCCATCAAAAAAAAAAAAAGAAGGAAAGAAAGAAAGAAGAAAGAAACAAAGAAAGAATATTTGCATAAATTGTGTTTGCGTTGACAAGGGATAGGAACTGAGAATGGGGAAGGAAGATGAGACACATTTTCTCTGTCTGAATCAGATATTTAGGGAGGAATTAAGAACGGAGCCCTGCCTCTCTATGAGTGCACTTGATGAATACGGGACTGATTCTGGGAAAGACTGCCTTTGGTCAGGTTCTCAAAACACCATTGTTTTGAACTATCCAGCAGCAGTTTTAATTCATGGCATTTGCAATTATATTTATAGCATAAATTGTCTATTCTCTGCAGTGTATTTTTTAGCCCTCCTCCCCCAGAAAATGTAATTGGAAATATCAACTCATGTTGAATGTGTTTGCTGTACCTGTTTATGTTTTATTGATTATTTTCTGGGAGAAGTTTGGAGTTGTGTTTGGTTTGGCTCTGTGCAACCTCATTTATTTGCTCTGTAAAGCTGATAAGCACAAGAAGTGAAATGACACTCAGGCATTTTAAGATGCGAGTCATCTTCATTCTGAACTAAGTGAAAACAAAACAGATTTTCTATCAACCTAAAATCCTCCTACTGGGGGCAGTAGATGTTTTTAGAAAATTGGCTTTGGCTTTGATTGACAATGTTTGGAAGATGTCCTATAATTTGAGAGTGTATGTGTGTGTGTCTGGGTGTGTGTGTGTAAATGCTGGACCTGGGAAGATGGAAGCCCTCAGCCAGGAGAATAAGAGGACACAATACCCCCAAGCCTTCCATGACCTAGAGATTAAGGGGATTTAACGTCTTAAAACCTCCATTAAGTAGACAGTAGCAAGAGACATGTTGCCCTCAGTGATATGCAAAGGCATATCTGATGGGTCAGTATCTGCCATCCTCCTCTTTTGCAAGCTCTGAGGTTAGACTCAGCCATGGGTGAAGGAATTACAGCATCCATTGGGAGCAGGCAGAGTCCAGGAAAGAGATTTTTCTGTTACCTCAGATGCCCATCGCGCCAGGAGCAATTTTCCCAGCCTCTTGTAGAAAGCACATATTAGTATCTATCTCACTGCTTTTCAGAAACTGTATCTTCAATTGCTAAGTGGGGAAAAATGCATTTACAATGCTAGAGCTGACTTTAAGAAAACAAGTTAACATCAGGCCACAGCACTCCCCTCCCCCGCTGCTGAGACCTTGTCGCTGTGCACCTTGTCCCCTCCCTCACGGCTTCTGGCTCCCGCTCCCCCAATCCCTGGCCCCCTGTCTGCCCCTGCCATTAAAGTGGCAAGCACAGGTATCCTCCTCCCTCATCACAACTTATCCATCCTGTGTCTGCTCCCCCAGGGTGGGTAATGCCTGAAATGCCTTAAGGTAGGGGTAACGCTCATGGCAGGTGGCCCTGGCTCTCCTGGAGACAGGGCACAGGAATGGGCAAATTCTTCAGGCTTGGTGAGGTGGAAAGCTTGCTCCTCGGGAATCATGGCCACAGTGCCCTTTTTTGTTTGTTAATCATTAAAAAGCATACTACATGAATATATAAAGTTGGAAAACCCCACAGAAGAGCCAAGTGAAGTCCTGCTTACACACTCCTCCTGATCCCTACTCTCCCGTGCTGTGGACCATGCTTAGTGTTTGACGTGTATTATTATTATTTTTGTGTGTGTGTGACAGAGTCTTGCTCTGTTGCTCAGGCTGGAGTGCAATGGCATGATCTCGGCTCACCGCAACCTCCGCCTCCCAGATTCAAGCGATTCTCCTGCCAACTAGCTGGGATTACAGGTGCCCGCCACCACGCCCAGCTAATTTTGTATTTTTAGTAGAGACAAGGCTTCACCATGTTGATCAAGCTGGTCTCAAACTCCTGACCTCAGGTGATCCGCCCACCTCAGCCTCCCAAAATGCTGGGCTGGGATTACAGGCGTGAGCCACCACGCCCGGCCTGATGTGTATTATTCTAGACCTCTGCTGCCTAATAGAAATAGCACACGCGCCACAGACATAATTTCAAACTGTGTAGTAGCCACTTAAAAAGGAAAAGTAAAAACAAATAAGTGAAATTAACTTTAATTCTATAATTCATTTAACACAATATATCTAAAATATGATTGTTTCAACATGTAGTCAATACCAAACACATACTAATGAGGTATTTTATGTCTTTCTTTATTGTTCTAAGTCTTTGAAATCCTGCCACACACCTCGTTTTCAGCTCTCATGTCACAGTGAACATTAGCGTGCCATCTCACACTCACAGCATGTCTCCATTCACCCTGGCCACATCTCAGGTGCGCAACAGCCCCAGGTAGCCAGGGTCTACCATGCGGGACAGCTCTGCTCTTGAATATCGGGAAGTTTGTTCCTGTAGAGCTGGATCACATCGGAAATATTTTACTACGCTTTTTTTTTCAATTCATAATGGAGACGTTTACACTTTAGAGTTCTGTGTTAGTCTTGTTCATGGTTGCATAGTCCATGATTTGGTACGTCGTTAATTGGTTTAATCAGTCCCCCAGGTAGACTAACAAAAAAGTGGAGGTTTCCAATTTTTCACTTAGCTTAAAATACACTGCAACAAGCATCCATACATTGCCTATTTACATGCAAAAGTATTTCCAGGTGATCGATCCATGGAAGTGAAAGTGCTGGGTCAAAGACAGGCATGCACCCTTTGCTCTGAGAGGCAAGCCAGTACTCAGCCAAGCCGGCCACCAATTTGCCTTGGGGTTTGGACGTTGTTCCCTTAGAGGTAAAAGCAAAGAGTTGGGCTGGATACCCTCCATAGTTCCTAAATGCTCAGTTCCATGGCCCAAAGGGTGGTGATTCCTGCCAATGCCTTTGGTGGACGTAGTCTTGGGTGGGTGGGTGGGTGACAGCTACCTGCTCCCACTGGAGGGCAGGCCTGGATTGGGCAGATAAGCAAATCAACCACACACACCTTGTCTAGATAAGCAGAAAACACTCAGAAAAGACCCCAATTGTTTTATTTGTAAAATTGCTCTTTGGCTAATTTTCATGAATGTGGATCATTCATTAAACGTTATCATAGAAAAAGAGCAGAGCAACAAAGGGGCCCGGCAGTCTGATTCCCGTGCTGGCAGCCTCCACCGTCACGCTGAGCTGTGGTGAATGCCTAGGGTTTCACCCGCCTACCCCTCACTCCTGCTGGCGTGCACCCTTTCCCCACCCTGGTGGCCCCAGCAAACATCACAGTCCCTGAGGGCCAGGAGGCTTGGGTCCCCAGATGCCCACACCTGACAGGCCTAGTGCCTGAGCACTCTGGTGAGGGACTTCCCTGGACCATGGGAGCACTGCCAGAGGAGGCTCGAGGGCAGGGACCTGGATGGGTAGCAAAGGACAGAGAACATCGGGAAAGGAGAGGGTACTACCTGTGGGAACCAGGCAGGCACAAGAGGCTGGCCCTGAGCCTCTGCGCATCTCTCCTGCAGACACTGGCTGCACCTGCCTAGCCTCTGAAACCCAGACCAGGCACTCAGGCAATGAGGGGAGCTCCTTAACACAACACCTTCCCAACTGCTGTGCTTTTCGGAGTGAGCTGGCCAGGTGATGTTGGCCAAAGCAGGAAGGGGAGCTGTTGAGGTGCCCCAAGATCCTTGCTGGAATCCTCAGGTTCCCAGACAATCAGGGTAGACCCGGTGATGGGAGAAGGAGATGGGGACACACATGGATCCGAAGCTACAAGATTCTGCTTCTCTCTCCTGTTTTTGTTTATTCTTTTAAGATGTTTTATTGCTAAATAAAGCATTTTAAAAAGTGTATAAGATGTCTGCACATAGTTTAGAGAATGATAAAGCAGATCCTTGTGTTTTACCATGGGGCCCTTTCCCACTGCACTCCTTCCCTCCCAGAGGCAGCACTGCCTGACTTCTGCCTGGCTCGTTCCTGCCTTTGCTCTTTCTTTCTCTCTTTTTCCCTCCCTTCCTCCCTCCCTTCCTTCCTTCTTCCCTTCCCTTCGTTTCTTCTTTTTCTTTCCTTCCTTCCTTCTTTCTTTTCTTTTCTTTTCTTTTCTATTTTTATTTTTATTTTTTTGAGACAGAGTTTTGCTCTTGTCACCTAGGCTGAAGTGCAGTGGTGCTATCTCGGCTCACTGCAACCTTCACCTCCCATGTTCAAGCGATTCTCCTACCTCAGCCTCCCAAATAGTTGGGATTACAGGCAACTGCCACCACGCCTGGCTAATTTTTTTGTATTTTTAGTAGCGATGGGGTTTCACCACGTTGGCCAGGCTGGTCTCGAACTCCTGACCTCCAGAGATCCACCCACCTTGGCCTCCCAAAGTGCTGGGATTACAGGTGTGAGCCACTGCGCCTGGCCCCTGGCTTTTCTTTATGTTTCATTTAGTTTAGTTTTGAGGTTTACATATTTTTTATATTTATTTATTTATTTATTTTCAAATGGAGTCTCACTCTGTCGCCCAGGCTGGAGTGCAGTGGTGTGATCTCAGCTCACCGCAACCTCTGCCTCCTGGGTTCAAGCTATTCTCCTGCCTCAGCCTCCCGAGTAGCTGGGATTACAGGCGCCTGTCACCATGCCTGGCTAATTTTTGTATTTTTAGTAGAGACGAGGTTTCACCATGTTGGCCAGGCTGGTCTCGAACTCCTGACCTCAGGTGATCCACCCGCCTCGGCCTCCCAAAGTGCTGGGATTACAGACATGAGCCACCATGCCCAGCCATATTTTTAAATAATTTATTGAGATGAAATTTGTATCACATAAAATGGACCATTTTCAAGTGACCAATTCAGTGGTATTTAGTACAGTCATGAGGTCATGCAACTACCTTGTCTCTCTGTCCTTACTTCCAACACTACAAAGTAAAACCCCCTACCCATTAAGCAGTTCCTCCCCATTTCCTCTCCCTGTGGCCTTGCCCCTGGAAACCACTAGTTTGTGCTTTGTCTGTATGGATTTATCTATTCTGGATGTTTCATCTAAATGGAATCATACATATGTCACCTTTTATGCCTGGCTTCTATCAGTTAGCATCACGTTTCCAAGGTTCACCCATGTGGCATGCTTCAGAACTTCGTTCATTTATGTGGCTAAATAATATTCTTTTGTTTGTATAACATATACCACAATTTGTTTATCCATCTATCCACTGATGGACATGTGAGCTATGGCCACCATTTGGCTGTTATGAATAGTGCTGCAATGCTACATGTTTATTTGAGTCTCTGTTTTCATTTCTCTTGGGTATATACCTAGCAGTAAAATTGCTGGGTCATATGGTAATTCTACATTTAACTGAGGAACTGCCAAATCATTTTCCAAAGTGACTGTACCATTTTACACTTTCACCAGCAATGTCTGAAGGTTCCAATTCCTCCACATCCTTGCAAACACTGGTTACTATTTTTTTATTTTGGGATGTTTTTAATTATAATCATCCTAGTAGGAATGAAGTGGCACCTCATCATGGTTTTGATTTGCTTTTCCCTAATGTCTAAAGATGTTGGGTATCTTTTCATGTGTTTGTTGGCCATTTGTATATCTTCATTGGAGAATTGTCTATTCAAGTCCTTTGCCCAGTTTTTAATCGGGTTGTCTTTTTGTTGTTGAGTTGGAAGAGTTCTTTTATATATTCTGGATATTAGACCCTTGTCATATTTTGATTTGCAAATATCGTATTCCATTCTATAGGTTGTGGGTTTTTTTCCTTTCTTAATAATGTCCTTTGATGAATTTGATGAACAGTTTTTCATTTTAATGAAGTTCAACTTACCTGCTTTTTCTTTTCTTGTTCATGCTTATGGTATCATATCTATAAATCCATCGATCATGAAGATAATGAAAATTCACACATATATTTTCTTTTAAGAGTTTTATGGTTTTAGGTCTTACAATTTAGTCTGATCCATTTTGAGTTAATATTTATAGCTAGTGTGAAGTAGGGGTCCAAATTCATTCTTTTGCATGTGGATATCCAATTTTCCAAGCACTATTAGTTGACAAGACTGTCTTTTCCCCCATTGAATGGTCTTAGCACCTTTGCTAAAAATCACTTGGACATAGATATATGGACTTATTTCTGAAATCTCAATCTTACTCCACTGGCCTGCATGTCTGTCCTTATGCTAGTACCATACTTCTTTGATTACTGACGCTTTGAAATTCTGAAATCAGAAAATATGAGTCCTCTAACTTTGTTCTTTTTTTCAAGATTGCTTTGTCGGCCATGTGCGGGGATCATGTTTGTAATCCCAGCACTTTGGGAGGCTGAGGCGGGCAGATCACTTGAGGTCAGGAGTCGGAGGCCAGCCTGGCCAACATGGTGAAACCCTATCTCTACTAAAAATAAAAAAAATTAGCCAGGCATAGTGGCACATGTCTGTAGTCCCAGCTACTCCAGAGGCTGAGGCACAAGAATCACTTGAACCTGGGAGGCAGAGGCTGCAGTGAGCCGAGATCATGCCACTGCACTCCAGCCTGGGCAACAGAGCAAGACTCCATCTCAAAATAAAAAAACAAAAAAAAAAACCAGATTGCTCTGTCCATTTAGCCCATTGCAATTCATGAATACAGGATGTCTTTCCATTTATTTATTTATGCCTTCTTTAATTTCTTTCAGCGAGGTCTTGTCACTTTCAGTGTACAAGGCCTTCACCTCTTTGGTTAAATTTATTTCTAGATACTTTCTGATTTTTGATGTTATTATAAATTGAATTGTTTTTGCTGTACAGAAATACATCCAATTTTTGTATGGTGATCTTTCACCCTCCACTTCTGCTATATTAGTTTATTAGCTCTAGTAGCTTTTTTGTGGATTCTTTGGGAGCTTTTTTAATCTTTTTTTTTTTTTTTTTTTTTTTTTTGAGACAAAGTCTCACTCTGTCGCCCAGGCTGGAGTGCAGTGTCATAATCTCAGCTTAGTGCAACCTCTGCCTCCCAGGTTAAAGCAATTCTCCTGCCTCAGCCTCCTGAGTAGCTGGGACTACAGGTGTGTGTCACCACACCCAGCTAATTTTTTTATTTTTAGTAAAGACAGGGTTTCACCATGTTGGCCAGGCTGGTCTCGAACTCCTGACCTCAGGTGATCCACCCGCCTCAGCCTCCCAAAGTGCTGGGATTACAGGCATGAACCACTGTGCCCGGCCCCTTATTGTTTTATTTTGAACTTCATCTGTATTTCTAAATAATGCATTGTTGAGCTTCACCTGCTTTTGAACTTTATACAAATGGAATCACACTGTGTGTATCTTTGATGACTCATTTCTTTTCTTCTGTGCTGTGTTTGGAGAGTCACCCATATGGTAGCTGCAGTTTGTCTGTTCTCGCTGCTGTGTGATATTCCTGCGGGACTATACGGCAATGTACTTGTACATGCTACCGCGGCTGGGCATCTAGACGGCTCTGTGTTGAGTGCTTATGAACAGTGCGGTCTCCTGGAAGATACATACATGCACAAGTATATTTCCAGTAAACCTCAGTGTGGAAGTGCTGGGCTGTGGAGGATATGCCTGCTCCACTTCCTGAGACAACGAGAAATCGTTTTCTGTCCTCCTGAAAGGGGAAGGCTCAAAAGCAAATGCCCATTTTGGAGAAAACATTTTGAATCTGCCAAAGGAGACCCTGAGTAATGAGGGACAGGGCTGGGGGTCCAGGTCCGGCTGCCTGGCCGCGTGGTCGGCCTGGGCTGGTGGCTCCACTGTGACCCTCCATCTCCTCTTTTGGTGCCACTCGCCTCCCAGAGCCCCTACCAAAACCCTAACTCATCCACAGCCCCAGTTTCTTCGTTCGTAAAACCAGGAGAGCTGGTGGTCTCTGCAGACTTACAACGCACCGACACCACACCTTTATTCTGTGGGACCGTCACGGTGGTCACCACAGTTAAGAAATGAGACCCTGCACTCTGCCTTGCCCCTGCTGTTCCCACTCCCAAGAGCATTTTCCCCAGAGCTCCTGCCTGGACCAATCCTCTCATCCTTCAGGGCTAAGCCAGTGTCCCACCCCACCCCACCCCACCCCTCAAGAGCCTCCTCAGTCCAGAGAGAAAAACTTTCTCCCTCATCCCGGCCCCTCCTAGACCACTTTATGGGGGCTTGGGCCCACCTGGGAGCTCCGAAGGGCTGAGTCCCCTTGACATATCTGGAGCCAGCAGAGCCCACCTCGTAAGAGGGCTTTGCAAGCTAACAGTTGAGCCACATGCATGCTGGGCTTTTTGTGTGACATTCAAAGTGGTCCAGGTTACAAAGGCCCCACTGAACTTTTGAAGAAGGTGTTTTTTGTTTTGTTTTGTTTTGTTTTCCCATAATCCTCCCAAGTTTTACAAGCTGAGTTGTGAGATGTGTGGGAACGTTCATCTATAAATATATGAGCAGCCCAGACACTGACCATGAGTCACTGGTCACCACAGACCACACTGGGTCAGGACAGCCCCAGAGGAACACAGCGCACATGTGAACCTCTTTGGGGGGTTCTCCCGCCCTCACCACCAAGTGCCACTCCTTATTCTTCTCTGTAGGACCACTCCCACCCGGTCAGCCTCCCAGGAACAACCCCTGCTGCTCCCAAGCCCAGCCCTTCAGGAGTGCCCCTCCGTGCCCTTCCCTGCCCTTCGGATCTGCCCCATCCTGGGTCTCCATCCCTCAGAGCCGACTGCAGCTAACTGGCCAACCTGCTAAACAGGTGGTGCTGAGATCTGAGAGGCGCTTACTGACTTAACATGTGCACGCTGGTCCCCAGCAGCCCCAGAAGTCCATTTAACATGGATAGTGACATCGTCCACAAAGGGCAGAGTGGGCAAATACTTGCAAAAGCCTTGGAAAAACACAAACCAAGATTTACGTCCAGCACTGTTAGGGCTGTGAGTTCTGGAGTGAAGCATCTCTGTCTCATTGTGTCCGATCTCCAGCACAGCAGGCGAGGCCCGGGTTTCACTCTCAGCTCTGCCATCCCACTGGCCTGCTGCTTCCTCGGCCATGGATGAGGGAATTGCAGACAATGTCATCAGTCCACCCAACCTACCCAACAGATCCCAGGCATTGAAACAGAAGCAGAACTATTACCCTCGTTGCACTTTTTTTTATCAGCTAATGCTTAAGAAACTTCAAAACTGTTTACTGAATACAATCGCTGCTAGACATTGGGCTTGAAGTTTTACACACTTAATCACACTTAATCCTTACAGAAACCATGAGAAATCAGCCTCATTACTCCATGTCATAGACAAGCTAATCAAGACTCAGGAAAGTTAAGTAAGTTGGCCAAGGTCATAAAGATAAGAAATGGTGGATCTGGGAGCTGACTCAGGTACGTCTAAAGCCCAAGTTCTCCTTCCACCACACTGTTTACTGTATTTTTTTTAAAAAAAGAGCCACTTTCAAAGCTTAAACTCGAAGAAATGGCCTTAATAGTAAAGCTTTCCAGCACCATTCAGACTTGTTGGGAAGATTTTTTCCAGGGTGCAGTTTCTTTTTTTTTTTTCTTTTTTGTTTTTGAGATGGAGTCTCACTCTGTTGCCCAGGCTAGAGTGCAGTGGCACAATCTGAGGTCACCGTAACCTCTGCCTCCCAGGTTCAGGTGATTCTCCTGCCTCAGCCTCCCGAGTAGCTGGGATTACAGGTGCCCACCACCACACCTGGCTAATTTTTGTATTTTTAGTAAAGATGGCATTTCACCATGTTGGCCAGGCTGGTCTTGAATCCCTGACCTCGTGACCGGCCTGCCTCGGCTTCCCAAAGTGCTAGGAGTACAGGCATGAGCCACCACGCCCAGCCCCAGGATGCAGTTTCATATGGAAAATACCACATGGAATCATTTCTAGAAAGCAAGAATCCCGGGGACAGCCACACCGGAGAACACCATGCAGCTGGTTGAAGGGTGAGGAAGCTGTCTGTGTAATGGCTCAAAAAGACTCCCATAAATGTTGCTAAAGTTTCCTTTTAAAAAGTCCTTTACGAGAGCATGTGTGCTGAGAACCAGGAAGAAATAGCTGAAGGGAACGCACCAGTGTTCATGGGGGTTACTGCTAGGGGCTAGGGTTGCAGAGGAAAAAAAGATAATCACTTTTTTGTTTCAATATTTCCGTATACTTTTAATTTGTTCCATTGAGCACATACTAGTTTAGGGTTTTTTCATTTGTTTTAAATTTTAAGCAAAGAAAAACCAAACACACACACACCGTAGTCACTTCCCACCCCCACACGGTGCTCCCGGCCAACCCAGGATCCTCTGCCCCAGGTGACATCAGTTCCCTGTGCGCCACATGGCACAGTTATCCCCTTACTCACAAGGGCAGGCAGAAGTGCCTTCCGCGGTGTTCTGGGGCCCAAAAGCTTATGCACTTTGGGGACACCATGTTGAGGAAAATGATACTAACCTATTACAAGTCTAAAGCAAGCTCCAGGCCTTGGAGAGGTCATCCAAGTGTCGGCCCTGGAGCTGACGCTTCCTCAATCATAGGGTGAACCGTCCCAGGGTAGCTGGGCCTGGACCCGTCTCATCAATTACAAACTCTCCCGAGCCAGTGACCCTGGGCCTCCTCGAGTTACAGAGCAAACGGTGCCGCTCAGGCCTGTCTCGGCCCCCCATCCACCGCTGCCCGGGAATGTGCTATTGCACACAGGCCTCCCCAGTGTTCTCCAGCAGTGTTGTGGGCCAGCACTAAGGTCAGCAGGCCATGGTCACCAATGACCTGTCATAGGCATCAAGCCAAATCCTACTGGACTCTGTAGGGAAGAAACAACGTATACTTCATAGATACTTACCAAGATAGCCTCCCGGATTTTGAACCAAGTGGGAAAAGTTAACAACCAAAAAAACATAACTATATATAAACCCTCCCGGGCAATGTTGGCCCACCATTGCCAACCCTCAGAAACCCACCCAGTGGGGGACACGCTGGCCACATGGTCAGAGAATTACGAACTACCTAGAAATGACCACTCCTGTTGCACAATAATGCAACACCAGAAGGCAAACAGCAGCAGCCTGTCTTCAGTTTCCACACTGTATTCATCACGAATTTTCTGTATTGATTTTTGTTTTTTAAAAATATGGCATTAAATGTTACTTATCCTAATTACTGGATTTCTGATACCCCCATTTGAGTGCCTCACTTGCCTCACCCTAAATCTAGAACTGCCCATCAGCCAAGAAAGTGCTGGGAGCCCCACTGCCTCACAGAGGCGCCAGCAGCTTCCACGCAATTCTGCCACCAGACTTCTGGTAGGCAAACACTGATCTCCCGCTCGGGGGGGCCAAATGTCAATACCCGCAGCAGGGCTTATCGCATCGCCCCGGTACAAAGGCCTCCTCTGACGCATCCCCCCAGCAGAAAGAACGTTCAGGTGTTTGATACCATGGTTGGGAACGTTCCCACAGGTAGCAGGAAGACGAATACCGCCGCTTCAGTCAATCTCATACGACGGCCCCCAAATCCCAAAAAGGCTTAGTATGAAATGCCCATCCTAGTCCGTGAGTGTGGCATGTCCGCAGTTTGTTCCTTCAGATGTTTCCTACGTTTCTTCCTTCCGGTGGGTTCTTGGCCTTGCTCACTTCAGCAGTGAAGCCGCAGACTTTTGCAGCAAGTGTTACAGCTCTTAAAGGTGGCGCATCCAGAGTTGCTCGTCTTTCCAGGTGTGTTCGTGGGCTTGCTGACTTCAGGAGTGAAGCCACATACCGTACAGTCAGTGTTACAGCTCTTAAAGGTGGTGCCAACCCAGACACTTTCTGCTTGCAGCAATAACATTTATTGCCAAGGGAGAAAGAACAAAAAGAAGAAAGCTTCCACAACCAATAAGGAGACCCGAGCGGATTGCCAGGGCTGGCGCTGGTGACCAGCTTTTATTCCCTTATTTGGCCCCACCCACATCCTGCTGATTGGTCCATTTTACAGAGAGCAGATTAGTCCATTTTAAAGAGTGCTGATTGGTCCGTTTTTACAGCGTGCTGATTGGTGCGTTACAAACCTTTAGCTAGACACAGAGTGCTGATTGGTGCATTTACAATCCTTTAGCTAGACAGAAAAGTTCCCCAAGTCCCCACCCGACCCAGAAGCCCAGTCGGCTGCACCTCTCACAAGGACTAGAGTGAAGCGCAGATAGCTGCATTTCTTAAAAAGTTGTTTTAATTGTGGTAAAATACACATAACATAAAATTTACCATCTTACCAGTTTTTAAATGTACAGATTGTGTTAAGTACATTCACATTGTTGTGCGACCAATCCCCAGAACTCTTTTCATCTTAGAAAATGGAAAAACTACCCATTCCTCCCTCCCACCAGCTCCTGGCGGCCACCATTCCATTTCCTGTCTCTATCAGTTTGACTGCTCTTGGTACCGCACATCACACAGCAATTGTCCTTTTGTGACTGACTTATTTCACTTATCGCCATGTCCTCAAAGTCCATCCCTGTTGTGGTATGTTCTGAATGCCCTTCCTGCTGAATCATATTTCATTGTGTGGATAGATCACATTTTGTTTATCCACTCATCTGTCGATGAAAACCTGGCTTACTCCTACCTCTTGGCTATTGTGAATAATGCTGCTATGAACACAAGTGTAAAAGTCCCTATTGAGGCCGGGCATGGTGGCTCACTCCTGCAATCCCAGCACTTTGGGAGGCTGAGGCAGGCAGATCATGAGGTCAGGAGATTGAGACCATCCTGGCTAACATGGTGAAACCCCGTCTCTACTAAAAATACACAAAAAAATTAGCGGGGCGTGGTGATGGGGGCCTGTAGTCCTAGCTACAGGACTACATGGAGGCTGAGGCAGGAGAATGGCGTGAACCCGGGAGGCGGAGCTTGCTGTGAGCCAAGATTGCACCACTGCACTCCAGCCTGGGGCACAGAGCAAGACTCCGTCTCAAAAAAAAAAAAAAAAAAAAAAAAAAAAAAATCCCTATTGAGACCTGCTTAACTGCTGGATCATAGGATAATCCTGTGTTTCATTTTCGAGGAACTGCCATACTGGTTTCCACAGTGGCTGTACTCTTTTACATTCCTGCCAGCAATGAACAAGTTTTCCGATTTCTCCACATCCTCACCAGCACTTGTTATTTCCTGTTTTTTCAGAGTATCCATCCTAATGGGCATGAGATAGTATCTCATTGTGGTTTTAATTTTTAGTTCCCTAGTTAAGATGAGTGATGTTGAGTATCTTTTCATGTTTGTTGGCCATTCATACATCTTCCTTGGAGAAATGTGTAAAGTCCTTTTTTAAATCAGTTTGTTCATTTGTTTGCTGTTATTGGGTTGTAAGGTATTGTAAATATTAATATATTTTAAATATTAATTGCTTATCAGATATATGATTTGCAAATATTTCTCCACATTGCATAGGTTGTCAGATATATACACTTTTAACAACCTCCCTTAGACCAGGGGAGAAATGCTTTGAAGAACCTGGCACAGGATCTGTGGGCCCCTTTCTAGAAGCAAGTTTCTGGGCCAGGTTCCACCTAGGAGCAGGGCCCAAGGGGAGGAGACAGGGAGGAGTGCTGGCTCCACTCAGACCCTGGAGCCCCTGCTGGGAGAGGTGGGGATGCTGACCTAGGCACCCACAGGCACCCAGAAGCCAGGGCCTCCCCCATTTACAGGGCACATCATGTCCCTGGTCACCACCCCTCGAAAGAGCATGATGCCAAAAAGCCCGGGCTGTGCCTGGGTCCCCTCTGCGATGGGGCAGGGGGCTGCACACATCTGCAAGGCGCAGCTTGTGTTAGAAGCACCTGCCTGGCTTATCTCCATGTGACTCTGTAAATGGGGAGCAGTGGAGTCTGATACCAGCAGGTGCTCCAGGCATCCAGTCTGATGCCTCGCAGGAGCTCCCTGCTCTGCTAGCTCCACCTGAGGGGCTAGAGGCCAACCTTGCCGCTCCCCCTCTCCTCCCGTCCCTTCCTCCCAGCCTGGTCTGATGCCCCATGGTTCTCCCCACAGCCCCCAGGTGTTCCCCAGTGGTCCCACCCTTTTCTTCAGGTCCAGCAGATGCCTTAGCTGGAGTTATCTGCTTATGACAGCCCTTGTTTATGACCACTGTGAAGGTAGTTCTCTGAAGGGTGAGAGAATTAGATAATCCAACACCCAGCCCAGTTTTCCTTTGCTTTTCTCCTCGGAACGGTCAGAGATCAGTGATCGTACAAGTTAGTCCCACAGGTCTTCCTTCCAGGACATCCTACACCCATCAGTCTGGGCCTGGGGTCTTTCTCTAAGCGTGAGGCCTGTGGCTGCGGGTCCAGGGTATCTTTTCTGCCAGTGGTAAAAAATGAGAAGCAAATATCAAAAGATTCAAAAGCCTGACCCTGGCTGCTGTCTGTGTCCAGCCAGGATAATTCGGGGTCTGCATTGCAGCTCTTCTGTTTTTGTTTGGTTTTGTTCTCCTAATTGACTATTTGCACTAACCAGGTCAGGGCTAACTAGTAACACCCTACATTCTGCACAAAAAATCAGCAACCCCATGACCTGTGATGAGGGTGGCCTGGCAGGAGGCAAAAGCGACAAGCGTTCCTGGTATCTGACCAGCACCACCTTGAATTAGGACATCAACACATGCGATTGGACTATAAATCATGTAATGACAACTGCAATGACAACTCTAAAAACAATTGGGCGTGTGCTCACATTTTCACAGTAAAGCCCCGACAATGTTGACAAAATCCACTGTTTGAATTCTGATACGACTTTCTTCCATTTTGTGATCTTTTTATTGCTCTTAATTACAACGGTTAGCATTAGAGACATACCCTATGATTCCATTATTTGCAATTGCAGCTTAAATATGCATATGTCCTAAATGATGGAATGATAACCAGCAGTGCCATTGGAAAATGAAAATATTAGTGATGCTGCAGAAATGCCAAGGATGTAACCATGAGGCTGGACTCTTGGAACTGGCCATAGCTGGGGAGACCTTGGACTGAGGCACCCTGGTATTGGCTGGGTGACCCTGGGCACATTCTCCTTTTTCTCTTTTTTAAAATAAGCTATGTTGGTCTTTAGAAAATTAAAAACACAACACGGACAATGAAGAAATTAAAGAAAAAGTCTGTATCCCCTCCCACAAACACAAAATGAACAAGTTAATGAATTTGCTTCCTTTTTTCCTAGCCATATTTTGTATTCACTTTAAAAAGAAAAAATGTTGGCTGGGCACGGCAGCTCATACCTGTAATCCCAGCACTTTGGGAGGCTGAGGCAGGTGGATCACCTGAGGTCAGGAGTTCGAGACCAGCCTGGTCAACATGGTGAAACACCCATCTCTACTAAAAAATACCAAAAAAAAAAAAAAAAAATTAGCCAGGCGTGGTGGCGGGCGCCTGTAGTTCCAGCTATGCAGGAGGCTGAGGCGGGGAATCACTTGAACCCAGGAGGTGGAGTTTGCAGTGAGCCAAGATCGCGCCACTGCACTCCAGCCTAGGCGACAGAGTGAGACTCTGTCTCAAAAAAAAAAAAAAAGAAAAGAAAAAAGAAAGAAAGAGAGAAAAAATGTCTTACTGATAGCACTATTCACAATAGCCAAAAGTGGAAACAACCCAAATTCATCAACTGATGAATTCATGTAATGGAATATTACAGAGGCATAGAAAAGAGTAAAGTCCTGATCTGCGCTACCTGGATGACCCTTGAAAACATGACGCCGAGCAAAAGGAGCCAGACACAAAAGGCCACACGTTGAATGATTCCATTCATATAGAGTGCCCAGAATAGGCAAATCCATAGAGACAGAAAGTGGATTTGTGGTTGCCAGGAGCTGGGCAGGGTCAGGGAGGAATGAGGAGTGACTGCTAATGGGTACCGGCTTTTTTTAGGAGTGATCAAAGTGCTCTGGAATTAGGTAGTGGTGATGGTTTCACAGTCTTGGAACTATATGTAAAACACTGAACTGCAGACTTTAATAGGTGAATTTTAGGGTATGTGGATTATATCTCGATTTTTAAAAAAGAAAGTACAAAGAAAAATATCACTGTCTTTAAAGATCCAGCTCTGTTTCCTGGACTCTAGTCTAGAGGAGGATCTCTCAGTGTCCCCAGAGGAGAGCCCCTGGGAGAGAAGAAGGCTAGAAACCCGGAGGAAAGGGAACCCTGGCCCAGGAGAGGGGTCGGCTGTGACGACCTCCAGCATTTCCTGCAAGCCAGCCCTGTCACCTTCCTGCGGATAGTGATGATGAAGCAGAGGACAATAGGTTTCAAAGGTCTTCCAAGCATGGTGTCACTAGGCTCTCACACCAGCCTGTGGGGCAGATGTGAGGGGTATCATTGTCCTCATTTTGCAGGTGACGTTCCACAAGATGGGACTGAGGTGACCCTCAGCTGGGCCCTCCTACCTGTGCTCTCTGCAGCTAGGGGCAGGAGGCTGCATCTGACCTGAGAGTATCCCTGAGAAGCCAGAGCAGGACTCTCAGCTGAACCACCCAGAAATGGCCAGTTGGACCCAGGCCAGGACCTCCAGTGGCAGTGGAGCGAGGGGGTGGGAGGGTGGAGCAGGAAGGAGTGGTTGTGGCTTTTAATCCTTTCTGCATATAAGGCTGGGCGGCTTGTGCTTTGGCTGGCAGGCTTGTTTGATTCTCCTGCATGGAGAGTTTCAGGCATGCAGGTGCCACCCCAGGTGGGGCCCACAGGTGCCCCTAGGAGCCGGGCAAAGGCAGGTCCCAGGGAGCTGTCAGGGCACATGTGGGAACCCGCCGCCACCTGCAGCTGTGCCAGGACACCAGCCAGCGTTCCCACATCCTGAGGGCTTTCAAGAGAAGCCATAAGTATAATCTCCCTCTTGGTTAATAATGGCAGCTAAATGTAGTTTTCACAAAAGGTTCCAACCAAGCCCATATGTGGGCCACATGTAGCTGTGGGAATGAGAGTTTGAGTCGTCTGCTCTAAATATATACACAAAACAAGCAGTTTCTTCTGGATAAACTGGTCCACACATCATTCATTTCATTGCGGGGTTTGCTTGTTAATTTTGGCCCAAGACATAGGGCTTTGAGTAAACAGAGCCTCGCCCGGCAGTACACCAGCTCTTACATTCAGAAGCCACTTCCCCGAGCCATGTCCTCCCAGACCAAAGTCACACTGTGTCTTTGCAGCCTTCCTCCTTGTCTCCGTCCAGCCTTCTCAAGGTATCCCCCTGCACCTTCCTGTACCCCTCCTTGTGGGTCGCCCCCACCTGTGTGTGTAAACACCTTCTAGAAGGTCACATTGTTAAAGCCCCCCATGACCCTTCATTCCACTCCAGCTCCCACCATTTCTGGGCTCCCCTTCAGGGGAAGACTTCTCCTCGGGGTTGACACTTGCTGTCTACACTTCCTCGGCCCCCTCACTCTAAAACTACGTAAATGCCCAGAGAATAACATGACAACGTGCACCTGAGCAACCCCCACCCAGATGGTACAAAGGTTTCCTTGGCCATGTTTGTAGCAGATATTTCTTTCTTTAAAAAATAAATAAGTACAGAGCTGGCAGAACATTTCCCATTGCCCTTCAGCCCACTCCTCTTGGACTTTCTTCCCGCAGCCTCCCCGTGGCCCTTCATGGACACATGGTCCTGGCTACAGATGAAAAATCGCTGGGTCCTCAGCAGGGCAGTCATATTTGATAATGACCAGGATTGCATTTAAATCTAGTACCTCCCAGATACTGTACAGATAAGATCCCAGCTAAGGCTCAAAACCACTCAAAGCCATTTCCATTTCAGAGATGAGAAAATCACAGCTCAGAGGGGTTGGGGGCGTGGTGGCAGTGCCAGCAGTCCGCCTCCAGTATGACCTCCACTGTCCCTTCACTCAGCCGGGGTAGACAGACTTCCCAGCTGGGACAAGCACTCTTAAAATCTCAGTGGGATTTCCATCTCCAGTGCCAGTGCTCCTATCATCCGGCACAGAGGCATTCAAAATAACCATTTCTGATGGACTGGAATATTTTGCACAAGTGGGCAGTATCTCACCTAATGGGGGTGGGGAGGTTATGAAGGGTTTGTGAACAAACCACAGGAAGCCCTGCTTTCTCCTTTCACAAGGACAGGTGGCACCTGCAGGGTCTCCCCTGCAGTGGCGTTATCGTTGCACTGAAACTTGCATGACCAATCTGTAAGGAGTCAGGGTGGGTTCAGCCATTTGTTATGACCTTGGCATTGTTCAGCCCCAGAGCCTGGCAGGAGGGGAAGGAGGAAAGTTTGACTGAGGGGCCTCCACCCATTGCCTTTCACCTGCACACTGCCTCTGAGCAGATTCAGGAGACCAAGCTCCTCCCCAGGTGAGCCATGCCTCTCCTGGGGTGACCTGGCTTACTTCATGTGTGCCCTGCTGGCAAATGCTCTGCTGCTGTAGGTGGCATTAGCAAGGGCTGAGCAGGTGGCACTGCTCCACCGGGAGGTTGAGTAAATCACTGAGTCATTAGGAGATGTTGAGCTCTCGCCAGGCCCTCCTGGAGGCACAGGGGATACAGCAGAGAACTGAAGGGGGCTGCTGCCTCTGTGGCTTTGGTGCGAGGTTGGGGAGGAGGGGACAGGCAGGAGGTGGGGGAGAAGGTTTATGGAGAACAGAGCGCAGGGGTTGGGGTAGATGGGGAGTCAGGGAGCCCTGGTGAAGAGGCCACATTAGAGCAGAGACTGGAACAAAGGGAGGGCAGGATTTGTTCATCTTGCTTCCCAAGAAAGAGGCTGCAGGCAAAGTGACTCTTACTCCTCTTGTTTATCCTCGTAGGTTCTAGAAGATTTCTGAGGACTCAGCAGTAACTTGCAGTGCTGGACTGAGGCTATTTCCTTATATCAACTTTTTGAAAACTCATGGTTAATACCTAAGTAAAGCACTTCCACCTTCCCCCCCTCCCCCCCTGAGAAAGTACGTTAGTCACATGCTAGCGTTTTTATTAGGAAAAGACGGATTTCCAGTGAAGCAGAGGGAAGTGGATTGAGCCTGGCTCGGGCCATGGCGCCAGTTGCACTTGCCCTGGTGCCGAGCCACAGCAAGGGCTGGCACTCGGCACCATGAAAAGCCCTCCTTTTCGGAATCTGGGGGACAAAATGCAAGACCGATGCCCCAGAGTCATCACAGATGACCTTCATTGGCACGATAAGGGGGGGGACAGGGGGCCCTGCCTTGAAGGAGGCATCTAAACACCCCTTGTGATGGAACAGACTTAGCCACAAAAGCCAGCGAGGGGCACGTTGTTGCTCCCTCATCCGCCGGTGGCATTAAGTCCTGTAGGGCAGGCTGCGTTTCCCCCTTTCACGATGAGGGGCCTGAGCCTAAGCGCTCGGAGCCTGGGCTTTAGTTTCTGATTCCCCACGCTGTGCTGGCACAGGTTTCCTGGACAGCGCCCCAGCGCGGGTTTCTTATCCTAGGGCGGTGAGAGGGGCTGCCAGGGAAAGTGTGGGAAAGGACGAGGGGCGGGACTATGAGAGGGAGCGGGGCTGGGGGCGGGGCCTGGAGGACCGGGCTGAGAGGGCGGGACCGTGAGAGGTAACAGGGGGCGGGGTGAGGGGGCGGGGTCGAGGACGATGGGGGCGGACTTGGGGGCGGGGCCTGGGGGCTAGGGAAGGACAGTGCCAGATCTTGTGTCCAGCCTCTGGAATCTTCCCTCAGTTCTTCCTTGTCTTTTCGTGGCCTTGACGTTTTTGAGGAACGCAGGTGGGTTATTTCGTAGGATGGCCCTCAGTTCGGGCTGTCTGATGATCCTTCCTCCAGATCAGGTTCAGATGATGTACTTTGGGCACTTTTGTTCCTCTTGGTGCGTTTTATCCAGAGCCTCATAATAAATATTTGTTCCATGACAGGCGATGTGCACTTTGTTTTAGGTGGTTCTCCCCAGAATTCTCCACTGTCAAGTTACTAATTTCTCCTTTGTAATTAATAAGTATCCATGGGAAATACTTTGAGATTATGTAAATACGTTGTTACTCTTCAGACTTTTACCCACTACTTTTAGCATTCATCAGAGATTCTTGATGGTTGCCAAATGGTGATTGTCGGATTCCATCATTCCTTCCACATTTAATAGGGACTTTCCACTGGAAGAAAGAGCTTTCTCCCTCCCCTGTGCGTTTATTTACATATGTATTTATATCAGTGTGGACCCATGGGTCTTTATTTAAGTCTAAAGGTTATAATTCTTCATTGTAGTCATTTATTTTCATGCTGAAGGGACCCCAGAGAAAGCCACTGGGAGCCCCTTCAAGCAGCCACTGTGTTCTTTTGGCATGTTCCCATGTCAAAAGTAAAGTTTCTCACTTGCTGGTACAGTAAGGTGTTCCAGGCTCTTCTTATACTTCCCCGCCCCAGCCCTGGATTCCTTTTAGTGGAGAATGGTATTTGGAAACCAGTATTGGAGCATGAGTATGCTCATTGCTATTGAAGTGTTATTGTGAAGCCCATTAAGGGAGCCAGGGAATGTATGAGTGTGTAAGCATACAGGCATGCATGCATATGTGCATATGTATGTAGGCATATGGCCCCAAGGTCCCTGCCTGCTGATATGCATGCTTTGTGTAACCCCCTCCCTTGAGTGTGGGATGGACTGAGTGACTCAATGCTAATGAATGGGCTACGGCAAAAGCCATGGGCTGTCACTTTGGACACCAGGTTATAAAGAGACCTGGCTTCTGTTTTGCATGCACTCTTTTGCTTGCGCACTCAGAGGGTGGTCAGCTGCCCCTTCGTGAGCTGCCCTGGAGAGCGGTTTCCCTGGCAAGGAGTTAAGGGAGGCCTGGGCCAACAACCACATGAGTGAGCCTGGAAACGGATCCTTCCAGGTTTCCTTCCTTCCCTTAAGACCACAGCCCCCACCCATAGCTCAGTCAAATCCTTGTGAGAAACCAGAGTCAGAAGCACCCAGCTAAGCCACATTCAACTCCTGGTCCATAGAAACTGGGAGATAATAATTGTTTGTTATTCTAAGCCACTAAGTTTTGGGGCAATTTGTTTTGTTACTCCATAGTTAATTAATGCAATATGTTATATCTCTATATATGTGTATATGTATAGACAGGGACCACACATACATTTATATCTGTTTTTATACCTGTCTCTATATATTACAAACCATGAGTTCACACTGATAACTTTAATTTTAGCTCAGTGCTACAAGGTTCATTGTGACCTTCCCCACTTTCCATATTTGTAACTCCTTTCTCCAGCAGTGAGAAACCCAGCTCCAATCATCTGCAATGTATTAATTTATTTGTTCAGTCCTAGAGGACACAAAAACAGCTTCAGAATTGCTATCCTATGTTCCAGAAAAAGTAACCTACTCATGGGAGTTCAATCTTTGTTTAGAGTTCTTGTCTTTAGTTGTCATATAGTCCAAATACTGCAACCCCTATGTTATAAAAAACAAGGGCTTCCCAGCTTCTCTGGGAAGTAAGGCATGAGATGCAAAGGGGAAAAGCACAGTTTCTTTCCAGGCAGCAGGTGCTGGGCTTCGCTGTCTTGCGCTGGAGAAGTGCGAAACAGACGGGAAAAGTGCAAAACAGAAGGGCAGGGCGGGGCTTCAGAGGCTCCCGCTCCATGCTTTCTTTCTCCCCTGAGCCCACACTGCCTGCCTCCCTTGCATTAGCACAAAAGCACCAACCTCTGAGGCCAGCGATGTTGTTTTTAAACAGTCATTAAATTATTTACAGAGAAAAGTGTACGGTGTTGCTTTTTGAAGGCTACTGAGGAAGGTTTGAATTTTCATCATTTCTATTATTCAAAAAGCCAAGTAACAAGCCGACTTGGATCTTCCCAGAAAGGCTGAGTTTGGGGGGTACTTGCACGCCCTAGTCCGCACAGCTGGGACTAGGGCTGGGGCTCTCCTAGAGTAACAAATGGGGCATCGGCATGACCTCTCTGCGGAGGGCCTCTCTGACATGCAGTTGTCACTGCAGACCTCTGCAGAGGTGACCTCCCCAGAGACAAGGGACCTCCCAGAGCAGCACTGCTGCTTAGGTAAATGGGGACAGCCAGGAGGCCAGCTCCAAGCCTCACCCCGCAGATACCTCAGTCCCATCCTGGTCACAGGCACATGGGGCACTCCTCATGGCAGTTGTGGGAAAGTGGCCAAGGACACAAGGCTCCCGCCGGCCATGGTTTCTCTAAGATCTGACTCAGGATTGTCACATGCTAAGCGTTCTACTTCCCCATGCCTGCAAGCACCCCACAAGCTCCCCACAGACATACACACTACACAGGTCATAGTCATGCACACGCCACACTACACAGGTCATAGTCATGCACACAACACACTACACTGCACACATACCACACACATAACACCACACACACATCACAAACACACACCACACATGCGTGCGCACACACCCACTCACATACAGACTCATCACACACACACACATGCATCACGACACACTCTGCACTCGTACAACACACATCCATCAGACACATACACAAACATAGCACACACACACACACATCATACATCCACAAATAGCACAAATACGCACTGAGCCAGGCCTCATGGAGATCCAGCGAAGGGTGCTGGCTCTCTCCCTGCCTCCCACGAGCCCTTCCAGGGATCCCCGAGGCCCCTGCCCCACAGCCTGCCTGCACCTCCCTCCCACCTGCAGGAAGGGCTCTCCCCAGCTCTCTCTGCCAACTGACTCCACAAACCCTGGGAAGCAGACCCAATGGGGCCCTTCAGATGCAGGCCGGTTCACTTCCCAGTGCCCAGCCTCTGTGTGAGATGTCCCTGGTGACAGAACAAGAGGCCATGTGGGATAAAGCCAGCAGAAATCGCTGAGCATCCAGCACCAGCAGGGCCTCCACAGGGGATTTCCCTCCCACCTCCTTCTGCTCCAGGTGGCCTCCCTGAGCCACACCCCTAACGTGCCATTTCCAGATGGTAAACAACACTTGCACTGCAGTTTATCTCCTTGGAAATCCCCACAGCTCCCACCCCAGAACCGTGCACAAAAAATATCTTCAACAGGTGGATATGGATGAATTAAGGTGCAAAATGAGAACCATTAAATACATACTTGCAAGCCATTTCTCTTAAAAGGTACTAGAGCTAAGATCCTTAAAGACTTGCATCCACCATTATTGCAGATGACTATTCAGATGTTGTGGGCAGACATATTGTTTTATAAAGGTATAAGAATGGACTCTGATGATGGCTTGGGAATGTATTGGTCCAATATCCACTTCTCTCTCTCTTCCAGGGTCAGAAATCTTGGATAGAGAAAACCTTTTGCAAACGGGAATGTATCTTTGTAATTCCTAGCATGAAAGACTCTAACAGGTAAATTGAAATCCACGATTAAGACATTATCCAAACCAGTGCTTGTCTGCCACTATTCTCATGTTTGTAAGAGGCAGAAAGAGGAGTCCAGAAGGGTGGCCAGAATCCATTCCCCATGGGAGTCACTAACAAGGGAGTCACTGGGGCTCCTTGTTACTCCATTAACATGCAAATGGCTTCAGAAAAGAGTTTGTGTCCACCACCCACCCTAATGCGAACTCTCATAGCCAACTGGGCCCACATCATTCCTCTTAGTCTCAGCAAGATCAAGGAGTTGAGGGCTTTCAACAGGTTTCCAGGATATTTTCCAGGCCTCTTCAATAGAGTTTCATAATGTATTTAGATGAAAAGGAATTTCCATCACAGGAAAGATCTGAGCGGTTGAATGAACTAGCTATAACTTTATTAAAGGATTTGGCTTGTACACAAAACATCCAACAATTTTATTCACCTACATTAAAATGCATCTGTTATAAGCTGAACAGAGGCCTTGTAAAGTCATGTAAGTAGAGATTAATTTAACTAAAATGTCTCATCTCTAAGGGCAAAAGCTATGAGGCTGAGTCTGGGGGAAGGGGAACAATTTATCCATACATTCGTCCAATATGAAATTCATGCAGGTAGAATAATGACACAGAAGTACACACTCTTCAAGATCACCTGCTTCAAATTTGTTTCACACATGCAATCACAGTCCCTCCACATCCCCAAGCTGCCCCTTGCCCCACACCACCCTGCAGATTCTCCTCCCTGCTTAAACCCCAGTGATTGCCCCCCGAGGTAAGAAATGCCATTATGAAACAATGCCAACGGTCACAAAAGTCTCCCCTTTGTTGCATCTACATGTCCCTTCTTATTTCAATGGCACATAGGCCATCCTGGGAACTCTCTGTGCCAGCACTGCAGTCCTCCATGAAGCCAGATGCCCAGGCAATAGAGGGCAAAAAGTGCTTCTGGGCTCACATACAAGCCTCCTTGATGCACTCCATGCAGTCCCCAGCATGGATTAAAAAAAAAAAAAAACTAGAATGAAAAAACCAACCGTTTAAACCCTTGGAAATGATCCCAAAGACAAACAGCAAGTAAAGGAATATCTTTAGAGAAAGCCAGCAAAAATTCAGTAAGAAAGGCTAGAGTCTGTGGGATTTGAACCAAGAGTTTCCTCCCTCCCTCTGCCCAGCTCAGCAAGATAGAGACTCTACTCCAGAGTGCTGCAGCCAAGAACACAGAGCTCCCTCTCCACCAGCTCCCAGTCAGGGGGCTTTCTTCCTGGGAGGAGCAGGATTTCAGCATTTCTCATCCTGTCCCTTACCACCTGTTGCTGAGGCTAAGTCCTGAATGAATGCAGTTGAGAGATAGAGGCTCCCTTCTTCCACCCGTGCCCCACTCATGTAAGCAGCAACCACAGAAAGTGAGAGTGGTTATAATGGATTCAGACAAAACATACTTTAAAGCAAGAAAATGTAACTAGAGATATTAAGAACATTTTATAATGATAAATGGGACAATCGATCAGGAAGTTACAACAAATATAAACATATATGTACCTAAAACAGCACCAAAATGCATGAAGCAAAACTGACATAAACAAAGGGAGAAGTAGACAATTCAACATGACAGTTGGAGACTTCAATACCCCACTTTCAATAATGCATAGATCACCTAAACAGAAGACCAACAAGGGAATAGAAAGCTTGAACAACATCATAAACCAATTAGGCTTAACAGATAACTATAGAGCACACCACCCAGTAACAATAGAAAACACATTCTTCTCAAGTGCATATGGAACATTCTCCAGCATAGACCATGTGTTAGTCCATTAAAAAGCCTCAAAATATCTAAAAGGATAGAAATAATACAAACTGTCCTCCAACCACAATGTAATAAAATTAGAAATAAGAAACCAATAGGAGGAAAAAAATTGGAAACTCATAAATATGTGAAAATTAATACACTACCAGATAACCACTAGGTTAAAGAAAATGTCAGAAGGTTAATTAGAAAATACTTTTAGGTAAATGGAAATGAAGACATAACAAACCAAAACTTAGGGGATGCAGGTAAAGTAGTACGGACAGGGAAATTTATACCTGTAAATACCTATATTAAGAAAGATATTTAATAAGTAACATAACTTTCTACCTTAAGACACTGGAAAAAGAAGAGTAAACTAAACCTAAAGCAAGTAGAGGGAAGGAGATAATGATTAAAGTGGAATTAATGGAAAAGAGAATAGAAAAGTAGAGAAATTCAATGAAATTAAAAGCTCTTCTTTAAAAACCTCAACAAAATTCACATATCTTTAGCTAGAGTCATAAAAGAAGAGAAAGATAAGACTCAAATGACTAGACTCAGAAATGAAAGAGGGGACATTACTACCAACCTTATAGAAATGAGTATGAAAGAATACTATGACTTATATGCAAACAAATTAGATAACTTAGATGAAATGGGAAAATTCTGAGAAATATACAATCTGCCAAAACTGACTCAAGAAAAAATGTACAATCTGAACAGATCTATAAGGAGTAAAGAGATAGGATTAGTAATAAAAAAACTGTCCAAAGAAAAGCCCAGGCCCACATGGCTTTTTCGATGAATTCTAAAAAACATTTAAGGAAGAGTTAATACCAATTCTTCACAAACTCTTCAAGAAAATAGCAGAGAAGGGAACATTTCCCAACTCATTTAATGAGGCCAGTACTACCCAGATACCAAACTAGACAAAGATATCACAAGATAGAAAACTATAGATCAATATCTATTATGAACATGGGTGCAGAAATTCTGAACAAAATACTATCAAACCAAATCCAGCAACATATAAAAATAATGATACACCATGACCAAGCAGGGTTTATCCCAGGAATGTAAAGTTGGTTTACATTAGAAAAATAAATAATGTAATATAGCATATCAATATAGTAGAAACAAAAATCACATGATCTTTTCAATAGGCACAGCAAAAGACTTGGATAAAACTCAACACTCTTTATAAAAAATCACTCGGAAAACCAGGAATAGAAGGGAACTTCCTCAACCCGATAAAGAACAGCTATAAAGAATCCACAGTTAACATCAGACTTAATGGTGAAAGATTGCTTTCCTCCTAAGATTAGGAACAAGATAAGGATGTCCTCTCTCGCTACTTCTATTCAACATTTTAATGGAAGTACAGGCCAAAGCAATTAGGTAAGAGAAATAAAGAAAGAAAAAATATTGAGATTGGAAAGAGAGAAGTAAAACTCTCTATTTGCAGATGACATAATCTTATACATAGAAAAATCCTAAGGAATCCACCAAAAAATATTAGAACTAATAAATGAGTTCAGCAAGATTGTGGCATATAAGATCAATACACAAAAATCAAATGTATTTCTATACACTTGCAATGAACTATATGGAAATGAAACTGGCAACATAATTTATCTATAATTGCATCAAAAAGAATAATAGGAGGACTCACATTTTCTGATTTCAAAACTTAATACAAAGCTACAGTAATAAAAGGACAACGATACTGGCATAGGATAGACATATAGACAAATGGAACAGAATTGACAGTCCAGAAATAAACCCATACACCTATGGCAAATTGATTTTTGGCAAGGGTGAAAAGTACTTTCAATGGCGAAATAGTAGTCGTCTCTTCAGCAAATGGTACTGGAATAACTGGATAGCCACATGCAAAAGAATAGTCTTGGACCCTTACCTCATGCTATCTATAAAAGTTAAAATGGACCAAACACCTAAATGTCAAAGCTAAAACTATAAAACTCTTAGAAGAAAATGTAAGGGTAAATCATGACCTGGGATTTGGCAAATGATTCTGAGATATTACACCAAAAACATGGACAACAAAAACAACAAAAAAATTGTCTTTACCAAAATTAAACACTGTGCTTCAAGGGACGCTATCAAGAAAGTGGAAAGACAACCCACAGAATGGGAGAAAATATTTGTGAATTATGTCTCTGATAAGGGACTTGTATCCAGAATACGGAAAGAGATCCAATAATTAAAAAAAAATAAATAACCCAAGTTTTTTAAATGGGCAAAGGAAATGAATAGACATCTTTCCAAAGAAGATACACAAATAGTCAATAAGCACATGAAAAATGCTCAATGTCCTTATTCTTCAGGGAAATGCAAATCAAAACCATGATGATAAACTGCTTCACACTCAGAAGGAAGACTAGAATGAAAATGTAAGATAGTGTGTGGGAGAGGATATGGAGAAATCAGAACCCTCAGACACTGCTGGTGGAAATGTACCATGATACAGCCACCTTGGAGAACAGTTTGGTGGTTCTTCAGAAGATTAAACATAGAGTAACCGTATGACCCAGCAATCCCATGCCTAGTGTATACCCAAGAAAAATGAAAACATTCATCCACTCAAAAACTTGTTACATAAATATTCATAGCAGCATTATTCATAACAGCTGAAGAGTGCGAATAGCCCAAATGTCCATTAAATGATAAATAGATAAACAAAATGTTCATCCATTCATACGAGAATATTATTAAGCCATAAAAGGGAGTGAAGTACCAACACATGCTACAATATGGATGAACCTTGAAAACATGCTAAGAAGCTGATCTCCAAAGACCAGATATTACAGGACTGCATTCATATGAAGTGTCTAGAACATGGAAATCCACAGAGATAAAAAGTAGACTTGAGGTTGCTTATGGCTTGGGGAGTGGTGCACAGGTAGATAGATGGTGGTGAGAAGGAAGATAACTTAAAATATGCCATGCCAAGTTTCTTTTTGAGGTGATGAAAATGTTCGAAAATTAACTGTGATGATGGTTGCACATATCTGTCAATACTAAAAACCATTTAATCTCTCTCTCTCTCTCTCTCTCTCTCTCTCTCTATATATATATATATATATATATATATATATATATATATGTTTTTTTTTTTTTTTTGAGACGGAGTCTCACTCTGTCAACCACGCTGGAGTGCAGTGCCACGATCCCGGCTCATTGCAACCTCTGCCTCCGGGGTTCAAACGATTCTCCTGCCTCAGCCTCCCAAGTAGCTGGAATTACAGACGTGTGCCACCACACTCAGCTAATTTTTGTGTTTATGGTGGAGACGGGGTTTCACAATATTGACCAGGCTGGTCTCGGACTCCTGACCTCAAGTGATCCACATGCCACGGCCTCTCAAAGTGTTGGGATTACAGGCGTGAGCCACTGCTCCTGGCCTGAATCACATACTTGAAATGGGTTGATTATGTATTACATGAATTATATCTCAATAAAAGGAAAAAAGAGAGAGAGAAAGAGGGAGGGAGTGAGGGAGGGAAGATGGAAGGCCATCAGAAGGAGGGTGGGAGGGAGAGAATGGGGAAGCGAGGAGGGAAAAGAAAAAGGAAAACAAAAGGAAAGACAAGGCAGGGAGGAAGCCCCAAGGCTGGCCCCATGGGAGCACAGAAAGCCTTCTGGCAAGGGCCCTGCACATGTGCATTACACACGTGCACGCATTCGCACATCTAGCCCAGTAAAGACATCCTCTCTAGTCCTCAAGCCAACTCCATCCCCAGCTCTCCCACCCCATTTGCTAGGGTGCACGGCTGCCCACACAGGCTCCTGCTGGGTCCAGGAACAGACCTCCCTCCATGCCTTCCCTGGATTCCATCTCCACCAAGGCATCACTCCAGGCTACTGCAGTTCTTCCTAACAAACTTTTCAAGTTTTTGGTGGGTCCAGTCCACTCAAAACAGTGGCAGCCAAAAATGATGGAGTAACAGATGAAATCCTAGGCACACTAGGAAAAGAAGCTGGCACAAAGCCAGGGAACATGTTCAGAGAAGACTAGAAAGCCAGAGTTCAGGGAGGGCGTGAGAGGTTGGCTGGGTTTTGGGAGAGATGCTGTAGAGCTAGAAGATCCCTGATGCTGGGGCGGGTTATGGCCCAATGGGCCATCTGTCCAAGGCAGAAAAAGACATATTGGTCACTTTTGAAATAGCCTTTTAGCATTACTTGAGTGGAGAAATGTTTTACTAAGGAACAGAACAATTCAACAATATGGAAAAATTTGGCTGACACCTAAGTAAGTAATTTTAGAACTTTGGGAGGCCAAGGCAGGCGGATTGCTTGAGCCCAGGAGTTCGAGACCAGCCTGGGTAACATGGCAAAATGCTGTCTCTACTAAAAATATAAAAACTAGCTGAGCATGGTAGTGTGTGCCTGTGGTCCCAGTTACTAGGGAGGCTGAGGTGAGAGGATCACCTGAGCTTGGGGGAGGTCTGGGCTGCAGTGAGCTATGATAGCGCCACTACACTCCAACCTGAATGACAAGAGAAAGAAAAATCTGGAAGGTCAACTCTATGTTCGGAGGGCATGTCTATACTTTGTCACAGAATGTTTAGTACTTGATGTTTATACTGATGTTATCAAGACATCAAAAAGTTGAAATATTTTCCGAAAGAGCAACCATCCAATGTGTCTAAAATCGACTGGCATATAAAGAGATGTGCACTGATTATCTGGAAAAGGCCATCAGATGGGGCATTTCTGTCCCTAATAACGCTGGCTTACTGAAGTGTTAGTAGGCTCCTGTTTGGGCCCAACTCACCTGTTGAGGTTAATTCATTTTTGCTAATGAAGGGGAAAGGGGGAGATTGTTGTAGAAAGACCCTGCTTTGCCTTTGTTTTCAGGTGTTGCTGTGGCCAGTTCACCAACCAGCATATCCCCCCTCTGCCAAGTGCAACACCCAGCAAAAATGAAGAGGAAAGCAAACAGGTGGAGACTCAGCCTGAGAAATGGTCTGTTGCCAAGCACACCCAGAGCTACCCAACAGATTCCTATGGAGTTCTTGAATTCCAGGGTGGCGGATATTCCAATAAAGCCATGGTGAGAAAGGCATTCAGACATGGTGCCACTAGGATCACAGCTTTCATTGGCGGCCAGTCTCCCAGCCCCAAACTGCAGATACCTGGTCTTCTTCATGGCTGTGGCTCAATCTTCCTAGATATTTCATTGAAAAACCAAGAGATATATCTGTGCACATGGCTTTTAGCCATGAGGCTTGGAAACTGGACACCACTGTAAAGAACATCTAGTGTCCCGTAAATCCATACCAAAGCTCTGAATCCACAAACCAGGCTCTGGCCCAACCCTGCAAACACACTCCATTGCTCCATCTTCAGTAAAGGAAGACAAATTCATTTTTCTAATAACTGTGGACCTGCAGCCCCCTTAGATGTGTTGAGAGTCTTTGGAAATATTTTCCTCTGAGGTCTGTCCACAGCTTCCCTGGGCCTGCGCTCAGCTGGCCCGAGAAGGACCAAGGTCCCTCACATTTGCATGTAAACAGGGAGTGCCCTCTGCCCTTCCAGTGAGCCCTGCCAGCGTGGGGGAGGCTTCAGCTCTGTGATCCGTTCCAGCTCACTCTGAATTACACTCCTACATGCCCAGTCACAGACTTTTTGCAATTTCATTTTATTTCACTGGCCCAACATCATTGTTAAAATAAAATTTAGCTGTGTTCCAAATGCTGCAATATACAGTCTTCTGAAATGGCACCCTACATATTAGCCCAGACACAAAGAAGCAGTTTATAGGAGACAAGGCATCTGAGCATTATTAGCCTCCTCCTCACTTTGAAGAGGTCAAGTTCATGGGTGGGCCCATGATCGCCTGACCCATTTACTCAACAACATCCTCATCCAACTTCTTGGGCCACTGTTCTAGCTAAGCCAGCTTTGGAACCTATTCCTCCAACATTAGGATTGCCAGATAAAATACAGGACACCCAGTTATATTTGAACTTCAGACATACATTGGATAAATTTTCAGTACAAGTATGTCCCAAATATTGCATGATTTATTGCATTTAATAAAAATGTTGTACTGAAACATTTTTCATTGTTCCTCTAAAATTCAAATTTAACTGGGTGTCTTGGTCTGTTTGGCTGCTATAACAAATTGCCTTAGGCTGGGGAATTTATAAACAACAGAAATTTATTGCTCACATTTCTAGAGTCTGGGAGGCCCAAGATCAAGGTGCCAGCAGATTTGGTGCCTGGCGAGGGCCCATCCTCTGCTTCATAGATAGCACCTTCTTGCTGTGTCCTCACATGGCAGAAGCAGAGAACAAGCTCTCTGAGTCCTCTTTTTTTTTTTTTTTTTTTTTTTTTGAGTTGGAGTTTCGATCTTGTTGCCCAGGCTGGAATGCAATGGCTCAATCTTGGCTCACTGCAACCTCCGCCTCCCAGGTTCAAGTGATCCTCCTGCCTCAGCTTCTGAAGTAGCTGAGATTACAGGTATGCGCTACCACACCTGGCTAATTTTGTATTTTTTTTAGTAGAGACGGGGTTTCAACATGTTGGTCAGGCTGGTCTCGAACTCCTGACCTCAAGTGATCCACCTGCCTCGGCTTCCCAAAGTGCTGGGATTACAGGCATGAGCCACCACGCCCAGCCCTGAGTCCTCTTTTATAAGGACACTAGTCCCACTCACGAGGGATCCATGCTCATGACGTAATCACCTTCTAACATCCCACCTCTTAACACTATTGCATTGGGAATCAGGTTTCCACGTGAATTTTAGGGGAATACAAACATTCAGACCATGGTACCAGGCATCTTTTATTTGTATTTGCTAAACCTGACAATCCTCTCCAAAGTTCCCTTCAGTCACTTGGCCACAGACTCACACAGAGGGCTCCAGGGCCCTGAGGAAGAGACAAGCCAGGCAGTTCTTGCTTGGACATGAGCAATAGCCTCACTCCCCTTTGACACGAGAAGCAAAACCAAGAACAGAGGCTGAGTGCCACACACTCTTTCACAGTATATCCGTGTATCCTATGACACCAAGCCAGACTCACTGCTCCATCTCATGGTGAAAGATTGGCAGCTGGAACTCCCCAAGCTCTTAATATCTGTGCATGGAGGCCTCCAGAACTTTGAGATGCAGCCCAAGCTGAAACAAGTCTTTGGGAAAGGCCTGATCAAGGCTGCTATGACCACCGGGGCCTGGATCTTCACCGGGGGTGTCAGCACAGGTAAGAGCAGGCCCTTTCCCTCCCGATAATCAATGTACCACCCAGAACTCACTGTGGTCCCCAAAGAGCTTCCTAATAACTAAGGACAACAAAACATATTGCATCCTGATCCTATTTATGACTAAAGTGAAGTCTTTATTCCCTAGCTTGTGTTTTTTACTTTGATATGACTCTTAAAAAAAAACAGCAAATATAGTAATGATTGTCATAATGGTCAACATCTCTGGGTCACCCATGACATGCAATATTCCTTGAACTGAGCCCTGTACAAGCATCATCTTCATTAGACCTCTCGACAATCCTTTTCCTGTTATAGGACAGGAAACTGAGGCACAAAGACATTAAGGAACATACCAGGCAGTATGGCTCTCAATTTTCACTGAAGGCAGCCAAGGAATGCCAAAAAGACTCCAGTTATTTCCAGCTTTAGGCCTTAGACATCTGTAAAGGAAATCCCTACACAGTTGCTTTGGTTTCTGTTTTTGTTTTCCCGTTTCTAGAGTTAATGCAAGATTGCTCGTTATCATGAGCTCAGACTTTCAGTGTACTTTGTTTTAATGATAAAGATGAGTGTGTCTCACCCCTGATCTGTAGGGAATGTAGGGACTCAGGGCAAGTGTCCCTAAATTTCATGAATGATGGTGTGCTGGGAAGTAAAAGAGCCTAAAATATGACCAATGGCTGCTCACAGGTGTTATCAGCCACGTAGGGGATGCCTTGAAAGACCACTCCTCCAAGTCCAGAGGCCGGGTTTGTGCTATAGGAATTGCTCCATGGGGCATCGTGGAGAATAAGGAAGACCTGGTTGGAAAGGATGTAAGTGTTTTCTCTGCAAATGTTGGCAGTTTTTTAAAATTAATGATTGATTTTGAGGTAACCGTTGATTCAGATGCAGTTGTAAGAATAATAAGAGAGCTCCCTTGCAGCCTTTCCCATTCCTCCAATGGTAACATCTTGCAAAACCATAATGCAAGATCACAACCCGGATACTGTCATTGATAAGGTCAAGGTGCAGAATGTTTCCATCAACACGAGGATCCCTCCTGTTGCCCTTTCATATACATATACCTCACTCCTTCCTACCCCCACCTCTTCCTTAACCCCTGGAAACAACTAATCTGCACCACCCCGCATTTCAAGAAGGTTCTGTAAATGGAATCATACAGTAATGTAACCTTTGGGGATTGGCTTTTTTTTCACTCCACATAGTTCTCTGAACACGCGTCCAGGTTGCCATATGTATTGGTCTTCATTCCTTTTTACTGCTGGCTGACATCCCATGATATGGAGGCACCAGTTTCTTTAACCATTTGTCTGTTGAGGAACAGTTTGGCTGTTACAAGTAAAGTAGCCATAAACATTCCAGTGCAGGATTTGAGGTTAACATAGGTTTTCATTTCTCTGTGATAAATGCCAGGGGTGCAATTGCTAGGTTGTCATTATCTAAAACAATTAACTTTCTTTCTATTTTAATGTAACAATTGGCAAAAATAAAACCTTCAAAAGGCAGGGTAGAGATGTGAGAATAAGTTTTAGTGCAGTCACTCCACACATATGTATTGTGCTTGCTTCCCTTGTTGGTCTTAACATCCAAGTCCTGCAGGTCTGATTTGCGCTGTGCACTTTGTCAGGTAACAAGAGTGTACCAGACCATGTCCAACCCTCTAAGTAAGCTCTCTGTGCTCAACAACTCCCACACCCACTTCATCCTGGCTGACAATGGCACCCTGGGCAAGTATGGCGCCGAGGTGAAGCTGCGAAGGCTGCTGGAAAAGCACATCTCCCTGCAGAAGATCAACACAAGTAAGTGCTGGCAAAGGCACGCAGTCCTCCTGGGCTGATGCCATCACAGTGGAAACAAGGCTGAGAAGGAGATTGATTGCCCAAGGGGATTAGAAGATTAACCTTGCTTCTTGTTAGGTCAACAGAAAATGACTCACCTAGATGTCTTACCTTAGCCACCTACCAAATCACATTCACTGGGCTACATGGGGATGCTTTGCCCCAGGTTCACAAGTTAGCACGAAATAACCCTCAGTGCTCGCCATGGTGATGGCCTTGCCCACCCTGTTGCCCAGTGGTTCTTGTTCCCTGTAATTAGTTGTTATTTTTTAAGTGTTTTAACAGGAAAACAATTTCTCAAAGATTTAGTAGGATTCTTTCTATTTGCTGATAAGTATTATGTGATTATTAAATATCTCTGTAATGCTGGGCCTTTCATGTAGACTAAGATGGCCAGGTGGGGACATATCTGGAGAGGGCTGCAGGAGCCATCTGCTCCTGAAGGGGCATCATCCTTGCTGGTCCTGAGGGGGAGCTGTCACTGTCAGACGAAAGCTGAGGTCGAACTAGAGAGAAAGACGCAAACCTCAACCAGAAGAAACAATGATAACAACTGGTTAGAATTACAATAACTGGTATAATCTCTTGGAGCATGTTTATACTCCAGTAATTCTTAACGTCAAACAATTGTTAAATGATCTGAAAGAGCAGTTTGTTTTTCCCATTACTGGCAAGATTTTTGTGGGAGACCATCTAGTCCTGGCGAATGGTCATTGGGAATCATCATGTATGGGACTGTGATGCTGCAGAGTGGGTAGAATGGGGATGGCCTACTAGGAAAAGTTGTAGATTTCCGAGAATCAGATCTCGAAGAATACATTGGTCGATGACTGAATGTTTTTTGTTCTCACATCTCTAATTTTTCTGGACTTGTAAGTTTTTACAACACCCCATTTCACCTGGCCATGTGACTTGTGGGCTTCCCTTTGTCATCCTTCGCCTAGGGCTCTGAGCAGGGCAGGGACAGCAAAGGGGTGCTCAGTTGTCACTTCCCACAGCACGGAGCTTCGAGGACTCCAGCCTAAGCCAAGAAGAACCTGTTCTACTCTGTTGCTCGAAAAGAAGGTGATTTGGCCACCATATTCCTAAAGATTGAAAATATCAATCCTTGCTTGGGTTGGAAATCTCAAAGGCGGAGTCCAGGATATCTTAGTTCATTTTTCCAATATCTCCTGGTCAGGGCTTTGCACAAAGCAGACCCTCAATGCATGTCTGCTGAAATGAACTTAGCTGTAATTACTCTGGTGGACACAGCAGAGTTATTCAACATATGTAAGAGTCCCTGACTGTAGAAACACCTCATGGAAGCAAATTAGAAACTCTGAAATGGCTCATTTGAAATTCTCCAATCTTCTCTTAACCAATGCTGGCAGATTTTTATCTGAAGCCCTTCAGAGCTGAGACCAACGATACTTCCACTTGCCTTTAGTTAATATCGATCAACTAATTCCCATCACAACTAATGGACAGCTGGTGAAATAGGCTCAGAGTGTGATCTGTCATGGCCAGTGTGGCATAAAATTAGGAAGTAGGCAAATGTGCCTCCACTCCCATTTCCTTCCCATTCCAGAATCCCAACTTCCTGGAATCTTCCTGCCACCTCTTGCTTCCCAGAGCCATGCCTGCAGGTTCTGCCACCAAAAGTTAGTTGGTACCCACTGTGTTCTTGAAGAGTCCTATTAACTGATAGAGACAGAGGGAGGACTCTGGGAACAGGTCATTAACTGATGGGCCACTAGTGGTCCAAGTGGCTGCGTCCAAGATCTGCACTTTATTCCAGCCACTGAAGACAGAAACGTCAACAAGAACAGTGTACCTCATTTGTATGCTACTTAACGTTTACAAAATTATTTGCTAGCCAAACACATATTCTGATATTTTTACAACTGCAGGAGTTAAAGGAAGCACTGTGATTGTTCACCTTTTACAAATGGCTGTCTAAGGCTCTTGGTGATTTGGTGATTGGCCCAGTGTCATAAGGGAGAAGCCAGGAATTGAACTGCAATTTCCCTGGCTGGTCCAGATCCCCTTTCATCATCTTATTCTTCAGGGACAGCCATCAGGGTGGGAATTTCAGACCATAGGCTAGGACAGCCAGGGGGATATTTTTCCAGCCAGGAATACCTTCCAATATTTCTCAGTGGTCACCTTGAAGTAGCCCCAACATCAGGTGGGTGGGTTATTCAGGAGTTTAACCATATGTGAGTCAGAAAGTTTCAGACTTTGAGGTCCTGGTTTTCCCAATGAGGCCATAATATGTGACAGAATGCAAGAATGATAACTGGGCTGGGCACAGTGGCTTACACCTGTAATCCTAGCACTTTGGGAGGCCAAGGCAGGTGGATCACTTGAGCCCAGGTGTTTGAGACCAGCCTGGGCAACATGGCAAGACTTCATCTCTACCAAAAATTAGCCAGGTGTGGTGGCATGTGCCCATAGTCCCAGCTACTCAGGAGGCTGAGGTGGGAGGATTGCCTGAGCTGAGAGGGAGGTTGAGGCTGCAGTGAGCCATGATCATGCCACTGCACTCCAGCTTGGGGGACAGAGTGTGATTCTGTCTCAAAAAAGAAAAAAGAAAAGAAAAGAAAAAGAAAATTGTTATCACATGCCTGAATTCCTTCCAGCCAGATAGAACATCCCCCAAGTCGTAATGTTTTTACTCTTCCCCATACTTCAGGAGTTAAAACGACTGGGTGGACAGTGCAGGGCACAGGTGGTATGGGCGAATGTGGTTTGTGTTGCAGGACTGGGGCAGGGCGTGCCCCTCGTGGGTCTCGTGGTGGAGGGGGGCCCTAACGTGGTGTCCATCGTCTTGGAATACCTGCAAGAAGAGCCTCCCATCCCTGTGGTGATTTGTGATGGCAGCGGACGTGCCTCGGACATCCTGTCCTTTGCGCACAAGTACTGTGAAGAAGGCGGGTAGGATTTCTGACGCGCGAGGAAGGGCGGGTTCGTAACTCCCTCTTTGTCGGGCCAAGGAGAAAATCTAAAGTGGTCTGCTTAGACATTCCAAACGTGTTTAAATCAGGAAGATTTGCTAGATCTCCTCTCCCATTTCCTCAGGTCAGCATCCAGGGGAACCATCAGAGGCAGGGTGTTCCTGATGGAATTCTCTCTCCCTCATTTCCAACTTCATTTGCCCTTAGAAAGTTTGCAACAAAGCTGGAATTTAGGACAAGTGAGAATACGATGTTTGACTATGGTTACTTTTTGTCTCCTGTGTCAGGATATCCTCCCACAGCAAAGTCTCAAATCAAAGACAGAGATATGTCTGACTCATTCATATATAGATTTAACTTGCCTTGTTTTGTTCTCTTGCATTTTCTTTGAACAGAATAATAAATGAGTCCCTCAGGGAGCAGCTTCTAGTTACCATTCAGAAAACATTTAATTATAATAAGGCACAATCACATCAGCTGTTTGCAATTATAATGGAGTGCATGAAGAAGAAAGAACTCGTAAGTGTCTTGAATTTATTTCCAAACAAGCTCTGTGGAGAGAATTATGTTTCCTTTTCTAATTCCGCCCATGTGTGCATGACAGGGTTATTCATATTTTAGTCCGGCCTTTTCTGAGAGACAGTACAAATGCATACCAAATTGGTGGCTGTGTCCACATGACAGAAGCTGAACGAGCCCACACAGGGGAGGGCCCCTGGTGCTTTCAAACTTTAGCAAGTGGGGCATGACACCACACAACACCCTCTGAGGCTCATAATATTACTCAGATTGATAGTCTTGGGGAAAAGGGCCACATACCACCCTGTCAGGCATGTTTACAAAGTTCTGTTATTTTATTTCCCACTCCTTCCCTCTTCCGTTCCATTTACAAGGAATAGGTACTCTTGTCGTGCACATAAGATGGCCTCTTCAAAATTCTAATTCCTACAAATATCTCCTGTCTGATTAGATACGACTTTGCATCTCCGATGGCGACTGAGATTTCGGAGTGTAGCTCCCTCCTCTCGAGGGTGCCAGAAGGGATGGGGAAAATAATAAAGTCAGTATGCAGGCAGGCACCCCACGGCAATGCCATAACTTCTGGAAATCAGCCGGGCACAGTGGCTCACACCTGTAATCCCAGCACTTTGGGGGGCTGAGACAGGCAGATCACCTGAGGTCAGGAGTTTGAGACCGGCCTGGCCAACATGGTGAAACCCCATCTCTACTAAAAATACCAAAACAATTAGCCAGGCATGGTGGCGTGCACCTGTAATCCCAGCCACTTGGGAGGCTGAGATAGGAGAATCGCTTGAACCTGGGAGGTGGAGTTTGCAGTGACCCAAGATAGCGCCATTGCACTCCAGCCTGGGCGACAAGAGCGAAACTCCATCTCAAAAAAAAAACAAAAAGAAAAAAGAAAAAGAAAAGAAAAAAAAGAAATCAACAGCACTTGCTTTGAAACTGTTTAGTGCTCAGGATCATTTTATTACGTGTCAGTCTCTGTGGTCATTTTGTAACAACACCCCATATCTCCTTCTTGTTTTCAACTTGGCTTTAATTCAGTCTTTTCACATTTTCAGGTCACTGTGTTCAGAATGGGTTCTGAGGGCCAGCAGGACATCGAGATGGCAATTTTAACTGCCCTGCTGAAAGGTGAGCTCTCAGGAAATGGTGACTCCTGTCCCTCTGATGTTGGCCTAGCCGGCAATCCTTCCCTCCCGGCCTCCCATGGACTATGTCTGCTGGTGCTAGACCCTGAGCCAGCCAGGCCACTTGAGCAGTCTCAGCATGAAGCCACGGCAGAATGACAAGGCTCGCTGTTTCTGTGGGGCAGAGGTCTGTGGGTGCTCCTGGACCATCATGGGCTGAGGTCAGAACCGTTTCTATTTGTAACTGGTTCATTGAGGGCTTCAGCTCCTAGAGTGTAAACATCAGATGGGTTCCTTTGCAATCACTGCATTCCGCAGTGTTCTGTCCAATTTCCCCGTCTTGGTTCTAATGACAGGCTTCAGGCCAGCGTTCATGGCCGGGCGGGGAGGGTCTGCTCTGGGATGCACACTTCCTCCCTGCCTCTCAGTTAGCCTGGTGCCATGAGGGGGCAGGGAGGACAGAGAGAGGGGAAGGGTCACTGTCAGGCTGGCTGCCTGGCAGTCCCAGGGTTCCAGCCTTCCTGGAGATCATCTCCAGGGTCCCTGAGTCACTGGGTTCCTGTTCTGTCCCTCCCAAGGAGACCATGCACAGCTGGCATGGGAAGAGGCTGCCTCCACCTTCCTCCAGGGAAGCTCTTTCAGCTCGGAGCCTTTGTGGTCATTCAGGGCAAGAGCAAAGCCAGCAATGCTTAGTTCTAGGCCAGCAGCCCAAGGGAAGCCTGTGCTCACCACCCAGCACCTGCCAAACCCTGGCGGTCCAGGCGTGGAGTGAAAAATCATTCCGGTTTCTTGCCTTTCCAGGAACAAACGTATCTGCTCCAGATCAGCTGAGCTTGGCACTGGCTTGGAACCGCGTGGACATAGCACGAAGCCAGATCTTTGTCTTTGGGCCCCACTGGCCGGTGAAACTGTTTTTTTTCGATTCATATCATTGATCTTGACTTTGTACAAGTGACCTATTAGTATGTTCTCCCTTGTGACATGGAATTCAGGAAATTATGTGGGGTTTCTGATGATATGATATGTAATCTATTAGGCTCATTAGAAGATGTCACTGTTTAACTTCAAAGAACCAACAAGAAGTAATTCCACATTCAAACCAGTACTCCTGAAGAAATTAATCACCAAATATTTTATCGTTGCTGATGAAAGTGGGTTTTTACCTTTTTAAAGAAAAAGAAGAAGAAATAAAATAGCTTATTAAAATTTAATGCAATGCTTCCATCCAGGGCAATGATTTTTCAAACTATGTTCCATGAAACCCTGGAGGCCTAGAGAACTCTGTGTGTGTGTGTGTTTATGTGTGTGTGTCTATGTGTGTGTCTGTATGTGTGTATAGGGTGTCTGTGTGCATGTGATATGTGGTGTGCCTGTATGTGGTATGATTTTGTGTAGGTGAGTAATGTGTGTGGCCATGGGTGGTATAGTGTGTATGTGGGTGTCATTGGGAGGGTATTGTGTGTGTGTGATATGGGATGAGCAGTGTGTGTGGAGTGTTGAGGAGTACTAATGTGTGTGTGTGACATGGGGATGAGCGTGTGTGTGTGTGAACACACATAAGTCTGCATGATAAAGGACTCCAAGCCTCCTACTTCTTCTTCAGTCAAAGCAGCTTCTTTGATCCATTTTATAGATTAGGAGTCAGGATAAATTTGTGTTTGCAAAAAGGGCTCTGCTGCTTATGAAAGGTAGTAGGAATATCTAGAGAGTTTATGTTGGTTTTAAAAACCACATTTCTTGGCCAGATGTGGTGGCTCACACCTGTAATTCCAGCACTTTGGGAGGCCGATTTGGGAGGATTGCTTGAGGCCAGGAGTTCAAGACCAACCTGGTCAACATAGTGAGACACCATCTCTACAAAAAATAAAAAAAATTAGCCAGGCATGGGAGTGCATGCCTATAGTCCCAGCTACTTTGGAGGCTGAGGCAGGAGGATTGCTTGAGCCTAGGAATCTGAGGTTACAGTTAGCTGTGACTGCACCACTACACTACAGCCTGGGTGAGAGAATGAGATCCCATCTCTAAAACATAAAACAAAAAACAATGCAAAACCATTTCTCAAAACATCCCTGGCATATTGCTGCACAAATGCATTTTACTTAACTGCCTCTGTGTTTAGGTCTCCCAAAGCATTTAATTGCCTCCCAAAGCATTTAACTGCCTCTGTGTTTAGGTCTCCTGGAAGTTGCTTCCACACATTGCCATAACACGTTTTATCACTCTTTATTGATTGATCATGTGTAGACGGATCCATCAATTCTCCACTTGGTAATAGAAGGAGGTGGATTGCTCACTCTGCTTCCACTGCCCCTGTTCCTCCTGGATTTGATAGTTGCCTGTTTAATTCTATTTTTTCTTTTTTTGAAATGGAGTCTCACTCTGTTGCCCAGGCTAGAGTGCAGTGGTGTTATCTCAGCTCACTACAGCCTCTGCATCCCGGATTCAAGCGATTCTCCTGCCTCAGCCTCCCAAGTAGCTGGGACTACAGGCACCCACCACACCCAGCTAAATTTTTTTTGCATTTTTAGTGGACACAGGGTTTCACCATGTCGGCCAGGCTGGTCTCAAACTCCTGACCTCAAGTGACCCACCCGCCTTGGCCTCCCAAAGTGCTGGGATTACAGGCATGAGTCACTGCACCCAGCCCTGCTTAATTCTTATATTGGTCACCTTTATGACGGTAAAGAGTACGTGGAACCACCTACTTGTTCTGTCCGCTTCAGACTCCCATTTTGTTAAATGAGGAAATTCACTCCATACTCCTCCTTCCTCTCCTGACAAGTTTCATCTTCCTAATTCAATCAGCCCCACTTTTACAAGGTGCTTGACATGATGAACATGTACATATCCTTCTTTAATCATTGAGGTCCTGCTTACATCTTACTCTTTAATCATCATTCAGTTTTTGTACTTAGTCTCTATGTTGATTCTAAAAAAATGGAGAAACCAGCAGCTTTGACATTGTTGTGATTACATGGAGATTGTTCACTGCTGAACCGCAAAGTAGGATTGAAGTCAAGGAGAAGGGAAGGTAGTCCTGGGTCATTTATCTGGCTCACACAAAGGAAAATATGACAGGCATCAAGGTTTCCATCATTCACCAACTATTTAAAATTAGGTGACACTTTAATTTCCTTCATATTTGGACCATGACTTATTTGAATAGATATTTGCTTTTCTCCACATTTCTAATTGATTCTCTTTTTTTCTTCCAAACATTTGCCTTGATGTCATTGCTGTATCTATTCTTTTTTTTTTTTAAGTATTTTTATTGTATCTTTAGTTTGGTTCCAAACAAATAGATGTAAAGTTTGGTACCTGCCTATGTACACTTGCCACTGCTAATGTTGAGGCTTATACTAGTCCGTTTTCACACTGCTATAAAGAATAGCAGTCTTCTGAGACTGTGTAATTTGTAAAGGAGGTTTAATTGACTCACATCTCCAAATGGCTGGGGAGACCCCAGGACACTTACAATCATGGCGGAGGACAAAGGAGAAGCAAAGGCACATCTTACACGGCAGCCCATGAGAGAGAGAAAAGAGCACAAGGGGCTGCCAAACATTTTTAAAACCATCAATTCTCATAAGAACTCTTTCACTATCATGAGAACAGCGTGGGGGAAACTGCCCTCATGATCCAATCACTTCACATCAGGCCCCACTCTTGACACCTGGGGATTACAACTGGAGATGAGATTTGGGTGGGACACAGAGCCAAACCATATCAAGGCTCTTGTCAGCAACGTGGATATATCAAGCATGGCTGCAGCAAAGGCTACCCTGTGGGGAGCTAGGGCAAAATTATTGCACTCTTTCCAAGATGAAGCCATACAGATATTACCTTAAAAATGCCATTTTGTACTTTTATTTGCATATACATAGTTTATATTTAATATATACTTTGTACTTTAAGTTCAGGGGTACAAGTGCAGGTTTGTTATGTAGGTAAACTTGTGTCATGGGGGTTTGTTGTACAGATTATTTCACCACCCAGTTATTAAGCCTAGTACCTGCTAGTTGTTTTTCCTGACCCTCTCCCTCCTCCCACTCTCCTCCCTCCAAAAGGCCCCAGTGTCTGTTATTCCCCTCTATGTGTCCATGTGTTCTCATCATTTAGCTCCCACTTATGAGAATATGCAGCATTTGGTTTTCTGTTTCTGCCTTAGTTTGCTAAGGATAATGGCCTCCATCTCCATCCATGTCCCTGCGAAGGACATAATCTTGTTCTTTTTTATGGCTGCAGCCATATCTATTCTCTTAATTGTTACTGTCCCATTTCTTCTTGAAGAATCTTTCAAAGCCCCATGAGTTCCTACCCCCATCTTCCCTGGATGCTCTCAATGCCTACTGTACAGTTGTCTACATCAGACATCCCTTCGTTGCACTCTGAGACTGGCCATTGCCTCCTAGACCCCATGTCTTCCTCCCTTTCAGATTCCTTTTTCATTTTGCTGGAGTACATCTTCAAGTAACTTTTACATAAAAGCATGTGGGAGAATTACTGTCTGAGTCTGTGTTGTGTTTCTGTAACAGAATACCACAGATGGGGTAACTGATAAAGAAAGGAGATTTATTTCTTACAGTTCTAGAAACTGGAAAGTCCAAGATCAAGGGGCTGGTATCTTGTCAGGGCCTTCTTGCTACATCATCCCATGGTGGGAGGTGAAAGGGTAAGAGAGCGAGAGACAGCGAGAGAGGGCTGAACTCTTAAAACAAATCTCTCAAGATCATGAACCCTCTCCCTCTATAAAAGCATTAATCCATTCATGAGAGCAGAATTTCATAACCTAAACAATTTTAAAGGTCCCATCTCTCAGCACTGTTGCACTGGGGATTCAGTTTCCAACACAAGAACTTTGGGGGACACTTTCAAACCACAGCAATTATCATTCTGTGTCTTTACATGTCTGAAAAAAGTCTGCCTCACATGAGGCTCAAGATTGTCCTATGATTTTCATTCAATTATAGATGAACCATTGTTTTCTCTCTGCTCTTTGCTTTTTCAGTGCTTGAAAATTTCACAAGGATGTATCTTCTATTTCAAGCAAATGAAAATAGAAGTGTATAGAGAATACAAACTCAAGCAGCCATATCTTCACACATGTAGACATTTAATTCTTCTGGCTTTCAAAGGTCCCTTTATGCTGAAGACCTGAATCAGCTCTGTGAAATTTTCTTCTATCTCTTCTTTGAGTATTTCTTTCTTTATTATCTCTTTCCCTTCATCTGGATTTTCTATTAGTCAAGCAACTGCTGGTCCCCTTCTCCCAGACTGACCGTCCATTTTCGGTTTTTTATTTCTCTATCATTTTGCTGTATGTTTTTGGAAATCTCAACTTTTTCTTTAGCTTTTATACAATTTTTAAAGGTTTAGGCACTCATGCTTTTTATATTTAAGAAAGTGTTTTTGTTCCTTAACAATTTTATTTTCTTATTAGCCTATTTTCATCTCACAGATGCAATATCTAAGGATATGAATTAGATTTTTTGAAGTTATCTTCTGTTCCCTAGATTATCTCTATTTTCTCCCTGGTCAGCTGTTCTTTTTGTTCATTTTGGGTTTTTCTGTTATGCTGTTGATTTTCTCAAATGCTCTAGATCCTTGGCTGTCCATCACACTACAGAATGAGGGATAGAACTGCTTAATTGGTATGGAAACCCATTTTGCCAACAGGTTTTTCTCCTCCCTGGGAGGACTGCCCAGGAATTCCCTGCTTAGGAAGGAGAGTATCGCCTGAACCTCCTGCTTTGCTGAGTGCCGACTGGAGAGGGCTGATGGGCTCTGGGCCTCCCTATTCTTTAGCAGACATCCTCCCAGTTTTTACTGGGAGTGAAGCCCAGGAATGCAGTTGCTTGCTCTGCACCCACCACAGTGGCAGCCTGGAGACCGGGAGGGGATGTGTGGCCTCCTGCTCTGTAGACCATCTTCCGGTCACCATGCCTTCTGCCCACCACATGCCCTCTTCTTTGTATCTTGGAAAATCTGGTCTCACCTCAAGAGCAACCTCCACATTACACATTTTGGGCTTTGGCTTCCTCTCCATAGTTTTAACTGGTCCTTCAATGCTTCCAGAAATTTGTTAAAAACTCTCTGGCCCGCCTCTTCTCCCTGAAATAGATTTTTCTTTTTCATACTCCTCTGCTGTCATTTAAATAGTATCTGGGGAGGGAGGGAAGACAGGAAACACATGCTCAGGCTGTAACCTGGAGCCAAAAGTCCTTCTCTGTCTCCCTACAGTGGGATATAAGGTCTCCAAAATCTTCTTTTAATAGTTGAAGCACTCAAGAAAGGATGTGCCTGTGAATCTATAGTCTATCTAGAATTCTTCATATAGTAGAAAACTTGTGGTAGGGAGGACATAAGAATTCCAACACAGTAAATCAATCTTAGGTCTGATTTGCTATATATTACTAGACAAAATTCTTCTATCTATATTTTCTGTTATTGAATGCAAAAAATAAAAGCTGCATGAGAGTATGATGTGGTTATCAGAAGCTAGGATGTGAGGGATTGGGAGATTTTGGTTTAAAAGTACAAAGTCTCAGTTAAGAAGAATAAATTCTGGAGACCTATTGTACAACATAGTGACTATAATTAATAATAATGTATAGTGCACTTGAAAATTGCTAAAAGAGTAGATTTTAAATGTTCTCATCACAAAAATGATAAGTATGTGAGGTGATGGATATGTTAATTAGCTTCATCGTTCCACAATGTATACATATATTTAAGCATCATGTATACCATAAATATATACAATTTGTCATTTGCTAATTAAAATAATTAATTAAAGTAAAAGCTTTGCAAAAAAAATTCTTCTTAAAACATGCTTTTAAACATAACGAAGAGGCCAGGCACAGTGGCTCACTCCTGTAATTCCAGCACTTTGGAAGGCTGAGGCGGGTGGATCACCTGAGGTCAGGAGTTTGAGACAAGCCTGGCCAACATGGTGAAACCCCGTCTCTACTAAAAATACAAAAATTACCCGGGTGTGATGTTGCATGCCTGTAATCCCAGCTACTTAGGAGGCTGAGGCAGGAGAATTGCTTGAACCTGGGAGCCGGAGGTTGCAGTGAGCTGAGATCATGCCACTGCACTCCAGCCTGGGTGACAGAACAAAACTCCGTCTCAAAAAACAAACAAATAAACAAACAAACAAAAAACATAATGAAGAGAGAGAAAAAGAGAGACGTTTGATATATACAGGTAACAAAAGGCAATTTATTTATTTATATTGAATCATAAAAACTTTGGACTAACAATTTTTGAAGGAAAATCATCACCAACATTCATCTCAAGAGCTTTTTTATCTTGCAAAATGGACACTCTATGCCCATCAAACAATAATTCCCCATCCTGCCCTCTCCTGTGACTGGCAACCACCATTCTACTTTCTGTTGCCATGAATATGACTACTGTTAGTACCTCCTATAAGTGGAGTCATGTAATATTTGTCCTTTTGTGACTGGCTTATTTCACTCAGAACAATGTCTCAAGGTTCATCCGTGTTGTAGCATTTGTCAGAATTTCCTTCCTTTTAAGGCTGAATAATATTCCATTATATGGATAGACCACATTTTGCTTATCCAAGCATCCATCAGTGGACACTTGGGTTGCTCCCATGTTTTAGAATAATGCTGCTATGAATGTAGGTGTACAAATACTTCTTTGAGACTTGCTTTCAGTTCTTTTGGGTATGCCAAGAAGTGAAACCATTGATCACACGGTAATCCTATTTTTAATTTTTTGAAGAATCACCAAACTCCTCCCACAGCAGTTGCACCATTTTACATTTCCACCCACAGTGCACAGGGTTCCAGTTTGTCCTCATTTTCACAAACATTTGTCATTTTCTGTTGTTTAGATAATAGCCATCTTGGCTGGGCACAGTGGCTTACATGCCTGTAATCCCAGCACTTTGGGAGGCCAAGGCAGGTGGATCACCTGAGGTCAGGAATTGGAGACCAGCCTGGCCAACATGGCGAAACCCCGTCTCTACTAAAAATACAGAAAAAAAAAAAAAAATGAGCCGGGAGTGGTGGCACACATCTGTAGTCCCAGCTACTGAGGAGGCTGAGGTAGGAGAATCACTTGAACCTGGGAGGCGGAGGTTGCAGTGAGCCAACATCGTGCCACTGCACTCCAGCCTGGGCAACAAGAGCAAAACTCCATCTCAAATAAAAGGAAAAAAAAAGATAATAGCCATCTTAATGGGTGTGAGATAATATCTCAGATGGTTTTGATTTGTATTTCCCTAATGATTAGTGATATTGAGCGTTTTTGTGTGTGTTTATTGGCCATTTGTGTATCTGCTTTGTAGAAATGTCTATTCAAGTCTCTTGCCTATTTTTGAATCAGGTTGGGTTTTCTTGTTGTTGAATTTTAGGAGTTCTCTATATATTCTGGCTATGAACCCCTTATCATATACATGATGTACAAATATATTCTCCTATTCTGTGGCTACCTTTACTCTGTTAATGGTATTTTTTGCTGCACAAAACTTTTAAATTTTCATAAAGTCCATCGGATTTGTTATTAATAATTTTTCCGTTTGTGCCTGTGCCTTTGGTGTCATATTCAAGAATTGAATTCCCAAATCCAATATAGTGATATTTTTGCCCTATGTTTTCTTCTAAGCATTTTAGTTTAATTAATTAATTAGTTTTTGAGATTGAGTTTCACTCTTGTCACCCAGGCTGGAGTGCAACGGCACGATCTCAGCTCACTGCAACCTCTTCCTCCTGGGTTCAAGGAATTCTCCTGCCTCAGCCTCCTAAGTAGCTGGGATTACAGGCACCCACCACCATGTCCAGCTAATTATTGTATTTTTAGTAGAGATGGGATTTTACCATGTTGGCCAGGCTGGTCTCAAATTCCTGGCCTCAGGTGATCCATCTGCCTCGGCCTCCCAACGTGCTGGGATTACAGACGTGAACTACCGTGCCCAGCAGCATTTTATATTAGTAGTTTTCGATTTTATGTTCAGGTATTTGATTCATTTTGAGTTAATATTTGTATATGGTGTAAGGTAAGGGTCCAACTCCAGTCTTTTGCATGTGGATATCCAGTTTTCCCAGCACCATTTGTTGGATGCGGTGTCACTCTGTCACTCAGGACCATAACGGTTTTATCTGCATGAGGAGTCAGCCAAGACACTTTTTCATCCATATTTGTATGTTGACCAGGAACTATATAAATGCACACCTCCCCTGACATAAGCTCTGCCTCAGCCCTACTTAAGGGTTTTAAGCAGGAGAGTTACTTGCTTCCATTTTTATATTTAAAGGTCACTCTGGAGTTACTGTGGAAAATGCACTGGGTGGGTGCCATGGCAGGTGTGCAGAGTCCTATTAATAGGCCTTTGAAATAATTCAGGCCTTGGACTAGAGCAGAGGCAAAGAAGAAGGCAAGAATCAGAATTAAGCAAAATTTAGCATTAAACATGGCTGCACATAGGGGTAGATGAATCATTGAGGGCACTGGAGGGACTGAGATGTCACAATGCTCCCCAGTTCTCTGGTTTGCACAACTTGCAAGCTGTGGTAACATTTCCCTGAGATAAGGGACCCTGGAAGAGGACTGGGTCGGAGGGTAGGTCCTGAGAGTGGTTTGGGACATAAGGAGCTGCATGTCTTTGAGACATGCAAGCAGGATGCTGAGCAGGCAACAGGAGCTCTGGGGAGAGAGGTGGGCCGCAGCCAGAAAGGAGAAGTTGTATGCCAATCAGTGGTGACTGGTGGTGTGGGGGTCAATGAGGTCGTCAAGGAAGAGAGTAGAGTGGAAAGGTAGAAGGCTGAGGACAGAGCCCAGAGGAACCTTGACATTTAAAGCTGCACTGAGAAGTAGTGGCCAGACAGGGAAGAGGAAAGCTGGGAGCTTGTGATGCCCAAGAAGCCAAGGGAAGAGACTCTAGGAGGAAGCAGGCAGTGGAGTCAGATGTGCTGAGAACCCAGCATGAAATGCCCATGAGGCAGGCACCAGCACAGTTCTCAGCAACTAAACCCACAGCCCAGGACAGATGGAAGAAGCAGCAGGGTGCGTGCAGGAGAGATAGGAAGAGAGGAAATGGAGGCTCCTCAGGTAGGCAATCCACCAGGAGCGTTTGGTAAGAGGAGCGGGTGGGTCTGGCAAGAGAGGACGCCAGCTGGAGGGTCCGGTTGTTTAGGTGCTGGCTCTGTGTCTGCACCAGGACACACTCCCACATTCTCCACCAGACCAGGAGACAAGGCCACGGGGCCAGGCCTACTTCTGCTGTCCCTCCTGTTCTCTGGAGTAGAGCACACACTCCCCTTGATGAATGAGTCTGTCACCGCATTGCATGCATTTCAGTGACATGCGGAGAGCTTCTTTACCCGCCGATAAGCTCCAGTTTACGTTTACATCCAGGCAGGCATCCTCAGTTCTATCCATTGTCTTGTACCCCCTTCACAATCACTTTTTCCCATCATTAAACAACTATGGACACATGTCTTTGGTGCCTTTGAACTCTCCTTTCAGCATCCTTTCCTCCATGCAAAAGCACACATGGATCAAAATGTCAGCCACTTTAAGTATGCAAAGTCGCTGCATCAAGTCAAGTGTGTGTTTGTGCACACGAGTAACAGTGGTTCCCAGTATCAGAGCCTTCTTCAGACAGCCAGGCCTGCGACGACTGAGTATGTAGGTGTATGGGATGGAGTCCGTGTGCACCTGTACATATGTGTGGGCATATGTGTGCACTGTGTGGGTGTGCACATGTACATTGTGTGCATGTGTGGTGTGCATGTGTGCACATACAGAGGTGGGAGGGTCAATGAGCTGGTCTGGGGACAAGAAAGAGCCTTAGTACCATTTCCCAACTCTGATTGCTGTGGACTGCAGCCCCTGGGAAGCCTGGCACCCCCGACGGACAGCAAAGCCACGGAGAAGGAGAAGAAGCCACCCATGGCCACCACCAAGGGAGGAAGAGGAAAAGGGAAAGGCAAGAAGAAAGGGAAAGTGAAAGAGGAAGTGGAGGAAGAAACTGACCCCCGGAAGATAGAGCTGCTGAACTGGGTATGTGGAAGGTCACAGAGATCACGAGCTTGGCATCACCCTTCCCCAGGGGAAGGGATGGTTCTTGTCCTTGCTTCAGTCCCACCCAGGGCCCTGATCCCAGGAGGGACGGGTAAAGGCTTGACTGGGTAGTGTCAGCATTTCAAACTACAACAGCACATTCGCTGCAATGAGCCTGTCGGTTGTCCAAAACACCAAACGTTCCTGCTTTGGGGGGAATGATGCCACCCACAGAGGGGCCCTGAGTCATCCTGTTCAGCAATGGTTCTGTACCTGGCAGACATGCCAATGCTTGATGCATGAATATACAGCAGACAAATCAGTTGTCACCAAATAAATGCAATTCATGAAAAAGCCCTTTTTTGACAGACAGAGCCCATGATTGGGTGTGTGGGGTAACAGCAGTTTAGGTGGGGAGGCTGGAGCCACACATCGCATGGCAGTTCTTGGTCTTGCTGCCACCAGGACACAGGCAAGACAGGGGACCAGGCCTCTGTGGTGACGTGTGCCTGCCCTTATCACAGTCACTCACCCACACGGCACCCTGGTCATGCTGCCTGCCCATGCAGCTCCTCCTGGCACAACTTCTCAGTCAAGGAAACAAATGGTGGAGACTGGGCAGGCCAATGCCAGGAGGGCTGAGATTTTGAATCCTCTTCAATCTATTTTTAAAAGGAAACAATAATTTACAGACATGGATGGAACATGTAGAGGCCAAACTGAGAAGAAAGGAGAGGGGAGATGGGGAGTGTTTACCCAAGATAAAGAGCAAAGAGTACCATGCTGGAGTGCTCTGGAATCTGGCGTTCGGAATACCCTTTCCTCTGTGTTTCCAGTCGCCCCCCTCCCCTGTGTCTCTGAGAGGCCACTCACAGGCTCCCGGCCCTTGGTCCCTGCAGGTGAATGCTTTGGAGCAAGCGATGCTAGATGCTTTAGTCTTAGATCGTGTCGACTTTGTGAAGCTCCTGATTGAAAACGGAGTGAACATGCAACACTTTCTGACCATTCCGAGGCTGGAGGAGCTTTATAACACAGTGAGTGCTCTAGAAAAAGGGAAGGAAGCGGGAGGCAGCCACCTAAATGTGTTTGTCACTGGTGCATATTGTGCATAAATGTGCTCATCTGACCTCCTTCAGCTGGGAGGTCCGTACTTAATGGCAGGCGGCTACTTCTCACCTGCTGCTGGCCACAGCCTGTGTTCATATTCTCACCACCTCCTGCCATGCCTCGCCAGTCACTCCTTTCTCAGGCAGTATTAACTCTTGTCCCGCATTTAAGGGTGGTGTGTGAGTACTTGTTGCTACAAAGAGGGAATCTAGCTCCCCAAGCCATTAGCAGAGTGAAATGTCACCAAGGGTGAGAAGTCAATTGTTCCTTGGGACCCTCACATTTGATGAGGCTTTGGGGTAAAACATAGAGCTAAGTTTCACACCCAGGAGCTCTGCTGGAAGGGTTTGAATGAAATTCCCTTGGCTTATATTATTACAATATAAGTTTTGAGAATTTACATTTCCTTCCCTATTGTAAGATTTTAAGTAGCAGAAATGATCCTCAGCAGCTGCTTGCTAAAACTTGGTGAATTTTTTTTTGTTTGTTCTGAGACAGAGTCTCTCTTGTTGCCCAGGCTGGGGTGCAGTGACATGATCTCAGCTCACTGCAGCCTCAACCTCCTAGGCTCAAGCCATCCTCCGATCCCAGCCTCCTGAGTATCTGGGACTACAGGTGCACACCACCACACCCAGCTAATTTTTAAAAATTTTGTAGAGACAGGGTTTCGACATGTTGCCCAGGTTGGTCTCAAACTCCTAGCCTCAAGTGATCCACCTCCCTTGGCCTCCCAAAGTGCTGGGATAATAGGCTCAAATATACTAATTTGAGCCACTGATTCTGGCCAACTTGATGAATTATTAACACTATATTGTGCACCTTAAGATACTCTTTTAAAAAAATGCAACAGAAAGTATTTCACAACTTTTGAAATGTGTTGGATACTTTCTAACCATGACCAGCTCTGTTTTGTAAAAGAAAAAGGCTGGTGTGGGTTACACTCCAGCTCTCACAATTCATTAATTATATAGAGTAGGGCAGGATTTTGCTCGAAGAGTTCAAGAAAAAAACTTATTTATTTATTTATTTATTTATTCATTCTTAGACGAGGTCTCACTTTATCACCTAGGCTGGAGTATAGTGGTGCAATCTTAGCTCACTGCAGCTGCCTCCCCGGTTCAAGTGATCCTCCAACCTCAGCCTCCCTAGTAGCTAGGATTACAGGTGCCCACCACCACGCCCAGCTAATTTTTGTATTTTTAGTAGAGATGGGGTTTCACCATGTTGGCCAGGCTGGCCTCAAACTACTGACCTCAAGTGATCTGCCTGCCTTGGCCTCCCAAAGTGCTGGGACTACAGGCGTGAGCCACCGCGCCTGGCCAAGAAAAACATATTTAACACACATGAATGCTTCTCTTTCAGAGACTGGGTCCACCAAACACACTTCATCTGCTGGTGAGGGATGTGAAAAAGGTCAGTCTACTGTTTTACAATTCTTACCTGTTGGCATCTTTCACAAAATCATTTCTTAAGAGCAAGTTTTAAATTTTCAAAATGTATTATTATTCCAGGCACAGGAGATAATGAATTCCTTCTTTCGTAAAGAGTCTATTTAAAACTAAGAAAGCAAAGGATAATCTTTTTTAAGTTGCATGTTCATCCAAATCCATGATAGGGACACTGTCAGTGACAGCCGGATTATAGGTTGACGCCAGCGCCAGGCCAGGGCGGCCACTGGGTGGGGTTGGGGAAGGGGGTGGCCTGGCTGCTGACCTGAGCCCCGCTGTCTGTCCATGCAGCCTCTCGTTCTGTCCCTCCTTTGAGATCTCTCACCCACTGCCTGTGGCTCTTTCCAGAAGCACCGGCAGGAGGTTCCTCAAGTCATTCTGTGTCCTGTTGATTGCAGCTGCTGTTCTTGGCCCTTTCTGCCACCTTGTTATCAAGGGATAGATGCTTTCCCCAGCCTGAATATTGTTTAATCCCCCACCCACCCACCTGTTACATGAACTCCCAAGTGGGGGCCAGGACAGCCACTTACCCCCTAGACGTGTGATGAAGTCCACACTGCGAACGCATTCTCACAGGGCCTGAGACCAGACTTCTTTTACAGAGCAACCTTCCGCCTGATTACCACATCAGCCTCATAGACATCGGGCTCGTGCTGGAGTACCTCATGGGAGGAGCCTACCGCTGCAACTACACTCGGAAAAACTTTCGGACCCTTTACAACAACTTGTTTGGACCAAAGAGGGTAGAACTCAGTGCCTGTGTAGTGTTCTGTGGTTCGCGAGTACCATGTGGTTCCTCGCTTGCTTTTCAACAACTTGGCCGGTTCAGAGCCAAGCCCTTCGCCCTGTCCCCAGCACAGCTGTCCTGCCTCCTACAGTGCTCTCAGGCCAGAGCCACGGCATTCTCCAGCTCCCCTGAGCACGGGCCGCCCCGCCCATCCATTGCATTTGCCCTCCTTTTCTATCCACAGCAGACTTCCTCCTGGGCTCCGGGGCTACTGTCTGCCTGCTCCAGCCTATTCTACTATCCCACCACTGTACCTGCCATAATCTTCCAAAGCAAGGGACATGCCTGCATTCCCTGCTTCAAGCCTCCCAGAGCTCCTCACTGCCTGGAGAATCGTATCCAAACTCATTATCACAGCAGCCAAGGCCCTCCACCAGCTGGCCCTCACCCACATGGGAGACCACATACCTGCACCAAAATCAAATCCTGTGATCAAATCAAAGACGTGTACCTGCCACGTCTTTCCCCACTATCAGTGCCTTTCCCACCCTTATCAAAAGTCCAACTCAAATGTCTGATCTTTCATGATGCCCTCCTCTCACACCCACCTTACAGCCCCACAGCTCTCTACATGTCTATTAGGGAACTTCTCGGTTTCTACCTGGAATAAGGGCCACGCGTCTGCTGAGCTTTCTTCTCAATTAACTTCTGCTGACAGAAGAAGAGTTTCTATATTAAAGCACTTCTTTTCCTTGGATATTATCATTAATTGTTAATGATACAAAGTGCTTTTTAATCCATTCGTATGTCCACTATCAACAATACTGCTAATGTACTACTAACATTAGTTATCTAAGTAAATTGATTTTTTTTCTTCCTCTTTCACCATGCAGCCTAAAGCTCTTAAACTTCTGGGAATGGAAGTAAGTAGAACTTGTTTTCAACAGTTTTATAATATCCTGGTCAAATATACATAGCCCTTTTAAGTTCTGTATTTGCGAATATACGATACTACTCACCAAAATTTACCTAGATGTCTTAGTCAAATTATATAAAAGGACCATATATACATTTTCTTTAATGGGGATAAAAGCTGCACAATCCATTTCTAGAACTAACAAAACCACAGTTTCAAAAGCAAAGATTAAGCAAACAAAAAAACTAGAGAGGAACACCACTTACGTATGCAAAAACCATAAGTAAAAAACCAAAAATAACACCAAAAAGAATTCAATAGACTATTTTCATAGTCCTAAATCAAAGTAGAGTCCTCCAAGAATGCAAATACAATGCAGTGTTAGTCTTTAATATATTGCATCATATCTATGACCATCTCTCAGCAGGTGCTAATGAAGAATTTGAAACACATGTAAAACATATGCCTTACTTTGTTAAAAAATATATAGTTTTCTCAAAATAGAATGATAAAATACTTTCTTGGAATGATTAAAATACACGTATATCTTAGAGCAAGGGAAACGTATGATGAGCAGTGCATCCCTGAAGTCATGTCCATGAGAATCAAGAACAAGACAAGCATGCCCAATATCATTGGCGTCATCTACTGTTTTATAATTCTTACCTATTGGCATCTTTCACTAGTCCCCAAAAGTGTTCTGGAAATTGAACCACAAGGAAAAATAAATGCTAAAAAAAGAATACCCAAGAAAGGGAGAAATTATTATCAGCAAAAAAATTTGGGGGGAGTTAGAAAATCCAGGAAAATCAACTAAAGTTCCCTCACAATAGGACAAAAGTACCAGAAATTACCTTTACTAGCAACCGTAAGAACAATGTCCCAGACCTAAAAATATTTAAATGAATGGAAGAAATGCCATATTGTGGAATATTAGGATTGACTCTTGGAAACATTCTTTTTAAATAAATTTATGAGCTAAACAGCATCCCGATTCTTCATGGATTCAGTGTAGACGGCTTTCATTCTGTGTTGACAATTAAGACTGTCCTTTAACACGGTGCTCCTGGAAGGGTTATGAGCTTTCTGTGATCTCCTGTTCTCTCAAACTCTCCAGGTCAGGGTTTATTTATTCCATGAAGGTTTGGTGGACTCACCTGTAAAATTTCCGGGTCCAGTCCTATTTCTTAGAAGTGTGCATTTCATAATACTACTTCATAATAGCCATTATAAATATAAGTACATTTCAGGCTTTTTATTTTCTAGAGTCAACTTTGGTCATTTATAGTTTCCTAAAATGACTTATTTCATCTAGACTTTCAAGTTCCCTGGAATAAACTTTTACATAGTATTCTAGTTTTTTTCAGTCTCCTCAGTATCTTCAGTTGTGTCTCATTTCTTGTGCCAATTTTTTTTTTTTTTTTTTTTTTGAGTAGGAGTCTCACTCTGTCACCCAGGCTGGAGTGCAATGGTGCAATCTCGGCTCACTGCAACCTTAGCCTCCCAGGTTCAAGCAATTCTCCTGTCTCAGCCTCCCAAGTAGCTGGGACTGCAGGTGCATGCCACCATACCAGGCTAATTTTTGCATTTTTAGTAGAGATGGGGCTTCACCATATTGGTCAGGCTGGTCTCAAACTTCTGATCTCAGATTCTCAGGTGATCCACCCATCTTGGCCTCCCAAAGTGCTGGAATTACAGGCACGAGCCACCACGCCCAGCCTCTTGTGCCATTTTTAAACAAAATTTATATCTCCTATTTTCTTAAACTTTCTTTCCTACATATTTTACTGGTATTTTTGCTTTATCAAGCAACTTCCTTTTTCTGTTTCTATTTTATTAATGTCTGCTTTTATTTGTATTTGTTTCTTCCATATACTTTCCCTACTGTTATTGCATTGTTCGTGCTAACTCAGTTTGAAAGGAAAATTCACTCATTTTCCATCTTCACTGTATTCCTATAAATGCATTAAAGGTATAAATTGTTCTGAGCATTGTTTCATGGTATTCCACAGGTTTGGATAAGTAGAACCTTCATTGTCGTTTTTTCTAAGGCATTTATTATTTCCTTTTCAATCCAAGAGTTATTTAGAAGTGTATTTCAAATTTCCCAGATACAGACTTTTGTTGTTGTCATACTACTGTTATTGATTTCAAAGTTTATTCCTTGTATAGAAATATCCTGTAATTTTTTTTCAAATTCATTGCTAAGTAAGGTGTGTTACTTACTCAACTATGGTAATATGTCAATTTTTCCTTACACTCCCAGTTCAGATCCTTTGTTATTTTATTGGTTTTTTTCCCTTTTCCTCATTGATTTGTGACAGGCCTTTGCATTTTAGGAAAATTAACTCTTTGTTTCTCATATTCTCTCTCTGGCAGTTTTTAAAGAGAATTTACATGCAATTAATATTTTAATAATATTAGATGTTATTGAAAGGTAGGCTTAAAAGGACTTCTGTTTTATAACATTTCATTAGTCATTAGTTAATTTTTATTTTATCTTATATATTCTTGAAAATCTATGTTTATCTAAACATTTCTACGATGTTCATTTTTAACCTGTGTAGATGAACCTTTCCCATATCACTGCGACTGTAGCTTCACTGTGACAAAATTAGAAAATTAGAACAAAGATATTTAAATTGGAGTCAAGATACTATATTTTCCATTAAAATGTTATCACAGCTCATTATGATATTATAAAAATTGGGTCAGTCGTGGCCGGGCGTGGTGGCTCATGGCTACAATCCCAGCACTTTGGGAGGCCGAGGCGGGAGGACCACGAGGTCAGGAGATCGAGACCATCCTGGCTAACACGGTGAAACCCCGTCTCTACTAAACATACAAAAAATTAGCCGGGCGTGGTGGCGGGCACCTGTAGTCCCAGCTACTCCAGAGGTGAGGCAGGAGAATGGCATGAACCCGGGAGGCAGAGCTTGCAGTGAGCCGAGATGGTGCCACTGCACTCCAGCCTGGGCGACACAGTGAGACTCCGTCTCAAAAACAAAACAAAACAAAACAAATTGGGTCAGTAGTGAACAACCTGAGATAGGAATTGGAGAGCCAGGATACCTCCTATAACTCCCCATGCTCCAGACCACTCCAACTCTGTGAATGTGGCTGAGTTATTCAGACTGAGCCACAGCTTCCTAATCTGAGGGAATGGAAGGAATTCACAACCTCTCAGAGTCCTTGTAAGAATAAAAGAAGATAACTGATGGGAACGCTGTTTGCAAAAGAACAAACATCTGTTTCTGTTATTCCATTGAATACTAAAGTATTAGCCTGGAGTAGTCTGAGACCCACATATTTCATGCCAATTTTCCCAATCACGATCTGCCTTTCTTATGAATCCTGATCCATTCACAGAACAGTTCTCATAACCCCTTTAGGAAATGGGAAAGATTGGCCTTCCTTTTTGCACCATATGGGGAAAAGGACAGTGCTCACTAAAAGAGGAATGTTTGCTTTCTTAAAACACTGGAGGGAAACCTAAAACATTTTCTCTAGCCCCTTTTGCATGTTTCCTGTTAATTTCTGGTTCAGCTACGTCTGGCAAACGAGTGTTATTTTTGCTACATTTGAAGACCTCCCTGAGGAAATAAACTGTAGACCTTCCCTCTTCCATGATGTTATTTGTGTTTAGTTTTGGGGGAGGTTTTGCTTGTTTGTTTTAGTTTTGCAGCGTCGCCTCAGTTAAAGGCTTCTAAGTAAAACTGCTGACCCAGGGGTGCAAGTTATCCAAACAGTATGCCTTCTCAGTTCATTTGGTTTTAGATAGTTTACTTATCATAATAAACGTGTGCATCTTTTCAAAAGAATTCATATGCGGAGTGGAAATGTAAGATGTACTTCAGAAGTCTCTTTATTACCTCTGACAGAAAGGGTTCCCTTTCTCCAGGAGTTCTGGAACTCTTTGTTGCATACTTTTATGGCAAAACCATGAAATCCATGTTTCTCCCCTCAGGATGATGAGCCTCCAGCTAAAGGGAAGAAAAAGAAAAAGAAGAAAAAGGAGGAAGAGATCGACATTGATGTGGACGACCCTGCCGTGAGTCGGTTCCAGTATCCCTTCCACGAGCTGATGGTGTGGGCAGTGCTGATGAAACGCCAGAAAATGGCAGTGTTCCTCTGGCAGCGAGGGGAAGAGAGCATGGCCAAGGCCCTGGTGGCCTGCAAGCTCTACAAGGCCATGGCCCACGAGTCCTCCGAGAGTGATCTGGTGGATGACATCTCCCAGGACTTGGATAACAATTCCAAGTTAGTGTCTAGCGGGGATTTAAAGGCCAGGAGAGATGACCATCCTGAGTACTTGTCTCTGCAGGGAGGGGTGGCCAATGTACTTCTCACTTAAGGACAATGGTGGTTAAAGCTTGTTCACAAATCACTTCGTCTGTCATGTCAGCATTTTTCTTTCTGTCTCTCAGAGGTGTTTTTGGACTGTCGTTGTTTTTGTGTACTGCCTTCTCTTTGCATCAAAATTGAAACACAATTTTTTTCCTTTCCTTGAAACACAATTTTAATGCAAAGATGGTGAAATTAATTTCCATAGGGAAACACACACTAACAAGGAATACAACATTAATGAGCCTGTGCCCTGGACTGTGACCTGGACTGTGACCTTCACAGGTGTTTCTGATTTTGCTCCATGCTTAGGTGGGACAGGATGGCTAGAGGGGGCTGGAGTTGGGCGTGCTTCCCCTGGGTCAGTCAGGCTCTGATCAAACCAGCAGGTGAGGCTCTGGTAAAATTGGTTCTCCTGGCCGGGCACGGTGGCTCATGCCTGTAATCCCAGCACTTTGGGAGGCCGAGGTGGGCGGATCACAAGGTCAGGAGATCGAGACCATCCTGGCTAACATGGTGAAACCCCGTCTCTACTAAAATATATTTTAGCCCGGCGTAGTGGCGGGCGCCTGTAGTCCCAGCTACTCGGGAGGCTGAGGCAGGAGAAAGGCGTGGACCCAGGAAGTGGAGCTTGCAGTGAGCCGAGATTGCCCCACTGCACTCCAGCCTGGGTGATAGAGTGAGACTCCATCTCAAAAAAAAAAAAAGTTGAAGGAACTTGGAACGTTTATGGTTATTGCCAAATATTTGAATCTGGATCATGTGGGGAAGGCAGTAAACTTTATGCTCAAAATTCAGCTTGTGCCACCTTCTCCATGCCCCCCAACTTCTATCACTGTCCCCATCAGTCATTAGACGCCCTCTGGCCTGGGCCCTATGACAACTATGCCTCATCCCTGTCATAGCACTGAGAATGTTGGCTTCTCTGTAATCACTGTGATGGTGAAGTGTTACACGGGCAGAGAAAGGCATACATCCGAAATGTCCAGCTGGTGACAGTCCACAGGTGGGACATGCCGGCACCACCAGCACCCAGATCAACTAAGAACCTAGCCGGCACCCACCAGCCCTCCTGTGACTCCTTTCAGTGTCCACCTCCCGCCACCACCACCACCAGCAGCCCCGCTACTGTGGCCTCCAACTCCACAGGTGCTGCATTTGAAGTCACTTTTGCTGTCTTTTCTATCTGCCTCCCTGATCTGTGCACAACTTGAGGGAAGGGACTTTGTCTTCTCGTCTCTATGTCCCTGGGGTCTGAGGGGCAGATGTGGTCTCAACCTACAGCTCCATTTGCAGCAGTAGCAGTCAGCCCACCTCCTGACTGAGCTCCCAGCCACTGTCCCTGGCCTTCCCCCTTTGGGGACACATCCCTGGAGCTTCTTGCTTGCAGAGAACCTCAGAGCCCCTCCAGTGAAGGATACTGTGTCCCGTGGCTCCATAAGTCCTTGGTGGATATGCCTGTCTAAGAAACAGCTTGCGGCCACTGTGGCTTCACCCTGGTCCCTTCTCTTTCCCCCCAGAGACTTCGGCCAGCTTGCTTTGGAGTTATTAGACCAGTCCTATAAGCATGACGAGCAGATCGCTATGAAACTCCTGACCTACGAGCTGAAAAACTGGAGCAACTCGACCTGCCTCAAACTGGCCGTGGCAGCCAAACACCGGGACTTCATTGCTCACACCTGCAGCCAGATGCTGCTGACCGATATGTGGATGGGAAGACTGCGGATGCGGAAGAACCCCGGCCTGAAGGTGCGTGCAACGTGCTGCGAGGCGGGCCAGGGTGACAGTGACAAGTGACTCTCTGCCAGGCTGAACTGAGCACTTTCTGTGGCTTATTTCATTTATTCCTTCTAGCAACCCCCTGAGGGAGACGCCATGACAATCATTGTCTTATAGATGAGGAATCTGAAGCTTTGAGATGAAGTGACATGCCTAGGATCTTAGCTGGTCAGCATGGGATCAGAACCTACACTCAGGTGCTCTAACTCCAGAGCCCCACCTGACCAGCCCACCAGGCTGCACAAACCCCTGCCACAGTCAGAGTCTCCTAATGGAGCCCCCCATAACTCAGTATGCACACGCACCCTGGTTGGGTCGTCTACCCACCATTAAAGGAGGGACTGGAACTCTGTTTCTAGATTCCCTTATAACTCTGAAATTGTGTATTATTTTAACTAGTGATGTTTTCATGACATGGGAGAAAATTACAAGAAAATAGGAAGCTACGAAAGGGTTTGAAAAAGATATAGTGGGGGAAAAATTATATTGCAATCAAACCCTAGCTCTTGGGTTTACTGCTGTTAACTACTAGGTTATCTTGAGAAGAGATTCTAATCTGCAGATAACCTAGCAATCTAATGGCAGTATTATATCTATTTTAGAGCTCTCCATGAGGATAAAGAAAAGACTATACGAGTTACACTGTGTAGTATGGTTCTGGCAAATAGAGGGCACTTTGTTTCTTAGAAATGTGAATGTTATGCTTAACTGTCTAATTCTATATAATATGCTAAGCTGATGTTATACATAACTTAGGATATTAATAAACAGTTTTCAGAATTCCAAGAATAAAGAGCTCTTTAAGGTTTTCAGGAAACTAAAGTAGATCGCCTACATGGGGATGAACATCAAATTGGCATCAGACTTTTCATCAACAACACTGAAACCCAGAAGGCAGCACTGGAGTAAGGCCTTCACGGTTCTGAAGGGAAGGCATTTGGAGCCTGGAATATTTTCTACCCAGGCCAACTATTCAAAAAGCATGAGAAAAGAATATCTGTTTAAGACAGGCAAAGACTCAAACTATACACCTTCAACCTCCCATGCAGAAGAATTAGTTTAGCAGGTAGTCCAAGCAAAAAAAAAAAAAAAAAAAGGGGAAGCATGTTTTCTATCTATGAGCCTGGGCATCCGGGCATCCTTTTGTTGTCTAGGCCGAGCCCATGTTAGTCCTTCTTTTCTGAGTCACATTAGCCTTGCAACTCTTAGTTCACATAATCTCATTTATATCAAAGTTATTTCTATATAAAATACTTTTGGCCTACTTCACTAGAGGTATTATATTTTATTTATATTATTCTATTTTAATTTAAAGATTTGCCTTCCTCGAAATTTCATGTAAGGACTTTTATTTTATTTTATTTTATTTTATTTTTGAGACAGGGTCTTGCTCTGTCACCCAGGCTGGAGTGCAGTGGCGCGATCTCGCCTCACTGCAAGCTCCGCCTCCTGGGTTCAAGTGATTCTTGTGCCTCAGCCTCCCAAGTAGCTGGTATTACAGACGTGCACCACCATGCCCAGTTAATTTTTGTATTTTAGTAGAGATGGGGTTTCACCATGTTGGCCAGGCTGGTCTCAAACTCCTGGCCTCATATGAGCCACCAACCTTGGCCTCCCAAAAGTGCTGGGATTACAGGTGTGAGCTACCATGCCAGCCAAGACTTTTCTTTTTAAAGTTAGGATCACCAACAGTGCTGTTTGCCATTCATCTAAAAAATTTAGTGTATGTTCTTAAATTGTTTTACTGCCTGCAATTCTACTAATTTACCAAGCACATGTCACAGAACGTCAGACCAGGGATAACATTCCAGGGCTCCTAGGTTATTGAATAATGTTGAAGGTCATAATTTAAAAATTTTAACTATGCTGGGACATTTTTCTAGAATTGCCACAGCTTAAAAAATCAATTTATGTTCCGTAGGTTATCATGGGGATTCTTCTACCCCCCACCATCTTGTTTTTGGAATTTCGCACATATGATGATTTCTCGTATCAAACATCCAAGGAAAATGAGGATGGCAAAGAAAAAGAAGAGGAAAATACGGTCAGTGACACACTTGACCCTAAGCATATCAGTGTAATCTTGTTTTCAAAATTGTTGAGATTTCTTGTACCACAGATTGAGAAATCTCACTGGTTAAAGGTATTTTTGGAATTGTGTTTTTCTAATGGTGCCTGTGTGCCGGAGTGCCTTGCATTTCCCATTTAGCCACCTGCCTGTCATGTGCTGTGCTCTGTTTTCCAGGATGCAAATGCAGATGCTGGCTCAAGAAAGGGGGATGAGGAGAACGAGCACAAAAAACAGAGAAGTATTCCCATCGGAACAAAGATCTGTGAATTCTATAACGCGCCCATTGTCAAGTTCTGGTTTTACACAGTGAGGCCTCCTCCTGAACATTTGACATTCAGTATATTTTGAATGCTTTGATATGTTGGAATCAAGAAAAACTTCAAGGGCTTAAAAAAGTATCTAAAAATTCACTGAATTAAAATGAATTATGAGAACAAAACTGGGACTAATTGAGATCTCTGGCTAACATTGGATCTCGATATCCTGTCACATATTGATATATGGCCATCCTAGTCCCAAATACACCATCTCATAAGGCAAAATAGTCACATGCTATTTGCTTAAGATGAATTCTTCTGATGCCTTTAGCAATACAAACTTAAGGAACTATAATTTTATTTTTAAATGAACAGAGATGACTAGTGATTTAAAGAGCAAATTCACAGATTCCATTTTTCATGAAATTGGTGGGGTCATTACAAGGGCATGGCTAAATCCAGATGGTAAACTCTTGGAATAGGGAAACAAATCAAGGCGTCTCATTCTGAAGTGCTCACCAAACTGACCCGCTTGGCTGGCAAGCCATCCTCCAGCCCTCTCTGAGGCCCTGGGTCTACACAGCTCCCAGAGTGTGGCTCTCTACTAACAAGAACAGGAGAGGAGGCAGGAGGGCAGATCAGAGCGCCTCTGGGGGAAATGGCCGAGCTGCAGGCGGTCCCAGTGGGGGTGGCCAGGCACACTGTGGCTTGTGCAACCACGTCAGTCGGGAGGAGAGAGACTTCTCATGAAATCCCAAGCATCAAGCCACAGCCCCCGCCAGGCAGGCCTCGGTGCTGTGGTTGCACTGGTGATGAGGTGAGAGCAGGGTATGGGACATGAGGAGCTGGGTCCCTGGCCGTGGTCTGGGCGATGAATGAGGGTGGGCTGGGGGCAGAGCAAAGCTCTGTGTGGGGGCCCACCTCAAGGGTCAGCTGAGGGCCTGGACACCCAACCTTGTGGCAGCCAAGATTGATGATACAGTCGAAGTCACTGCTGCCCATCGATTCTGGTTAGAACCATCTGAGGGCCTGGGGTGCACCCAGCCTGCAGGAGAGCCCAGCCATAGAGGCTGCTGCCGGAGATGGGGCCAGGAAGCCATCGAGGCCTCTCAGCCTTGGGTCTCACCCCAGACCCTCTGGATCGGGTGGAGGGTGGAGTCATCACACATTGTGCAGCTTCGCAGGGATTAGGATGCAGCCCAAAGTCTGAGAACATGGCTCTAATCTTTCTTCAAAGAGTGGATAGTGGATCTTGGGGTGGGGCCTGCCTCTCTCCTGGTAAAGCTTATAGGCTTGGGAGGCAGGATCTTGAAAAAAAAGAAAAAAAAACCAAACTGCCCAGTTACAAATACTCAGTTTTTAGCACCCCTCCCCCAAGCCTTCCACAGGGGCCTGTGCCAGTGAGGGACCCAGAAGCTTAAGTTTCCTTGGCATCATGGTGAATCACTGGGGACAGGTGATCTACTTCAGACGTCCTCCCCCAACCCCTTAACTCCCCGCTTTTGCCTCACCCACTGCCACCTCCAGCTCTGCCTCTTTCCCTGCCACAGAGATAGGGGCCCTGCTGTGGCCACAGCAAATCCTGGACATGCCACCAGTAACTGAGGGGACTCTAGGGTCAGCTCGCATATCTGGGTGGGCAACTCATCCACATGTCCTCTCATCTAACTTCCCAGTTGTGGAAAGAATCAGGAAGGAAATTTCTGAGGCAGGGAGGAGTAAGTAACATTTTCCAGTTTCCAGGAATGTAGAAGACACTCCAGCAAACTATTAAAAGTTTCCCGTTATCATAATGTTTGCAACTTCATAGTTTCCCCATGAGGATGACAGCACCAACCAATATGTCTCCATGTAGAAAATGAAAAGTCAGGGCCCATATCGTGCTGAAGTATAAAATGCCTCCCGTCCTGCCTCCAGGTCTTCTGTCTGCACTGGTGAGGTGCAGTGAAGGTTTCCTCTCAATGAGTCAGTCCAGTTGGAAACAAAGATTCTTTTAGATGTGTCAACCTGAAAGAAAACAGCGTTTCAAAATTTGATTGCTATGTGATTCCCCCAAACACGGCTAACAGCTTGTCTTTCTTTCAGATATCATACTTGGGCTACCTGCTGCTGTTTAACTACGTCATCCTGGTGCGGATGGATGGCTGGCCGTCCCTCCAGGAGTGGATCGTCATCTCCTACATCGTGAGCCTGGCGTTAGAGAAGATACGAGAGGTGGCTACTCCAAAGGCCTCCCCCAGCCCACTAACCGCTGACTGCAAATGCAGATATGGCTCCTTACTGAAAAAACGTTTCATGCAAATTATGCATGTTGGGCCAGGCGTGGTGGCTCATGCCTGTAATCCCAGCACTCTGGGAGGCTGAGGCGGATGGATCACTTGAGGTCAGGAATTTGAAACCAGCCTGGCCAACAGGGTGAATGAAACACTGCCTCTACTAAAAATAAAAAAAATTAGCCAGTCGTGGTGGTGCACGCCTGTAATGCCAGCTACTAGGGAGGCTGAGGTGTGAGGATCACTTGAGATAGCAGTAATTCGAAACCAGCCTGGCCAACATGGTGAAACCCCGTCTCAACTAAAAATACAAAAATTAGCCGGTCGTGTGGCAGTTGCCTGTAATTTCGGCTACTCAGGAGGCTGAGGTGGAAGGATCACTTGAACCCTGGAGGCAGAGGTTGCAATGAGCCGAGATCGCGCCACTGCACTCCAGCCTGAGTGACAGAGTGAGAGTCCATCTCGAAAACAAAAACAAAAAAACAAATTACACATGCTGTGGGACTTTTTTTGGAGGTATCACAATCCCAAGTTTATTCCATTTCTTTATTTAAGATGTATACATCTTGAATGAACTTGAACTTGCAAATCAAAACACAAGGCAAAATAAAGATATTTAATAATGAAAACAGGTTTGAATGCATAGGAAAGCATCAGCAAATGCTGCCAGCGACCTGAGATAAACCAATTACCGCAACTGGGCACAAATTTTGGCTTAGTTATTTGGGATCAGAGGGAGAAAGAGAGATACAAGAGACACTTGCACAGTGTGGTCCAAAGCCCAAAGTTACAGGAAAAATGCCATCTCTTTTATCTCTGGACTCTTGTGCAGGAGATTTATGAAGGGAGGGCTCCCAGTCAGGAGGAAAAGGAGCTAAGTGAGGTGTGGCTTCAGGTGGACCCTGTCCTTGGCCTAATCCTGTAGGGGGCTCTGAGTGGACTGGACACTGTGGAGTCTGTCTCACCTTTGGGCCCCACCTCAATTTGTCATTGGTACCCACCAGAGACATGGCTCCAAGCATCTAAGAGCAAGCCTCCCAGAAGGGGGCAGGTGTGGGCCTAACAGCAGCACCTGCAGCAGATGGGGTGGGCAAGCCCACCTGGGGAAAAGCTCCAGGGGATATGGGAGGGGCCTAGAGCGTTTGCTGCAAACAGAGGGAACAGGATTTTCAACTCAGTATTGCAAAAGAACAGATACCATCTCACATATGACTCGTTATCCCAGAGAGCTCGAGTGAAAATGTAACTCCCAGTAAGCAATCTCTGCAGACAGCAGAGGAAAGATAGGCCGGATACTTCCCTTTCCAATATCATTCAGAAGTTTTAATTCACTAAATTTGCTTATAAAGAGAAAGCATGTATCCAAGCAAAAAAGCAACTTGAGCTGAAAAAGCCCACAGCATCATTTCATATCCTTTCTCCAACTGATATACAACCAATACTATTATTTTGCAGTAATTGTTGACCCTTTCACTGAACTGAAAAACATTATTAACCTAGTCCAGATAGAGGGAATCTGATGGCATCGGTCTAATTAGAGCCTGAAAAACCAAAAGAGCACTGAATCCAAAATTATACTTGCCACCTTCTACTACTGTTCCTTTTCTAGCTGGGCCTCATTCAAATTCTGCAGGTGCTGCAACTGGTATTTCCTGAGCGGCCTGCTTTACCATCGCTGTGCCGTCCTGGCCTTGCTGAGGGTCCACCATACACCGAGACACTGTTCTTTATTCCAGAAACCTGCCCCCAGTTATAGGAGAGAGAGGGTGGCCATCGGCTAGTGTGCATGGGTTGTTAAACTAGTGAATCCCTTCTGTGTGGGCTGACAGATAGCCACTGCCCCATCCTACCACAGAGATCCCCAAGACCTCTGCAACTGAAGGGGTACCACCTGGCATGGCAACCCTCCATCCCAGTGTGGTACCACAGACAGCTGTGCCATTGGGAAGGCTCTGCGCACGCCTGTGCATGCTGCTTGCTAAATATCTTCCATTTTACTCTGTGGAAGTCTCCCCTTAAGCAGCAGTGATTTTGAAAGGATAATATCTCAAGTAGGGGAAAACCTGGTCTAACTTTCCCCTAATTTCTCATGTCTAAGTTGCAAAGGAATTTTGCCAAATCAAAACATTTCCTAGTGGTATTCTGCCATCTCCACTGGGTGGACTGCCCCTCTGTGGGGCCACGTGGGGCTCATCTATGCTCTAGAGTTTTCATCCTGTGTGACTCTGGAATGTGGAGTAACAGGCACGTGTCCAGATAATTAAAAAAGAAATCAAAATGCAGCTGCTTTAATTACAGCCAGAAGGACATAATTTAGAAGGCATTTCCTGAGTTTGTAAAACCCTGAATCTAAGAATAGGGAGGATTCCGTGGAATTTCCCTTTCTAGATATCTCTCCCTGCCTGAGAAGAAGAGTGTTTAAACGTTTTGAGTAGGAAAGGGGCCAGATGACCTGGAATGTTCCATCAGTCTTATTGTTCCAAGATTCTAAGACAAGACTTCTAATACGGCATCTCAGTTTATTGTTCTTTGGGGTTTGTTTTCAGATCCTCATGTCAGAACCAGGCAAACTCAGCCAGAAAATCAAAGTTTGGCTTCAGGAGTACTGGAACATCACAGATCTCGTGGCCATTTCCACATTCATGATTGGAGCAATTCTTCGCCTACAGAACCAGCCCTACATGGGCTATGGCCGGGTGATCTACTGTGTGGATATCATCTTCTGGTACATCCGTGTCCTGGACATCTTTGGTGTCAACAAGTATCTGGGGCCATACGTGATGATGATTGGAAAGATGGTTAGTAGTGGCATCCTGTGGGTATCCAGAGAGACTTTGGCTGTAGTTAGGACATAAGAACAGGCCTTGGGCATGGCTTCCTTCAATTTCATTTGGTTTTTCTTTTGCAGTTGGCTTTTTAAAGGAAATATTCTTTGCTTTAAGATACACAGTTCTCCTACATGTTGATAACTTAATAAAATCCAATAGAAAAACATGAGTTGAGGGCCTACTGTGTATATATACATAACATATATACATATATAGTGTATATACATTCACTGTATATATGTGTGTATACATACACACGTACACATGTATATCTCTCTCAATATATATCAGGTACTCAATATATACTGTCTCCCTTCTTCCATACCATATCTCAACTGTAGGGTGACTAATTACGTTTGTTTTTTATTCCTTCTGATTTATTATTAATGAGTCTATTTTGACAGCAATATAAAAGAAAATAGCCTCGTTTTTTTGTAAGAGCTTACTTCACTTTCCCAGGACATAAGAGAACATCAATTTTTGATGCAATAGGAATTCAGTAGCAAAATAGATGTCTCAAAATATTTACTTCTTGATGGCTGGAAACATATTTTCAGCATTCTTTAGTACAGGGACATGGATTTGATGTTCTATGAGACTACATCCACTTCAGAATGTATATATATATGGCCAAAAAAAAAAAAAAAAAAAACCCCGCCTGATTTATAACCTCCTAACATGTGGTAGAAGCCGGAGACAAAGGGAGCCCAGGGCCAATCCCCAACCTGTACTCCAGATGATCTTCAGCTCATTTACTCTGGCCTGGAGTGAACACAGGAAGTCCATGTGATTAGACCATGATGACTTATACTCCAGAACAGGCCAGAGAATATGAAACTGAAAATGAACCAGCAGGTCATCCTTACATTACCTAAAAGAGCTTCAGTGTTAGGACTGGTACAAGAAGAAAGCAAGCCTCCTACATTTAGGAAGGACTCTTTATAGGGCAAGTGGTTTTGAGCTAAGGGAAGTATGCTTTAGTAAATTCCAGCAAGGGCCTCCATCTTCAGGGATGTTCAAAATTAGGAATTATACCAGTTTAGTATCCACAGTAACCAGGGCATTGCTCAGCACTTGTGTAGTGAATGAATAAATGTTGGTCTATACTCTCAATTCATTATCGTTTTATTTCCTTAGGTATCTGCTCCTCTTCCTCCTTAGCATCCCTTACAAACTCCCATCTTTTCTTCTAATTCTTCCCTTTCTCCATTTGCAGTTGTAGTTACTAAGGGACATGTGTTTATGGGCAACAACAGAGAAGAAGCAAGAAGGATGAAGAGCAGATGAAGATAGCAATGTTCTAGAAGACATTCTAGGCATAAAGCATTGCATGGAGTAGGAAAAAGCCTTCCCAGGGATGGGAAGAAAGGAAGGGAAAGAGGCTTTCTTCGTCCTAATTAAGCACTCGTGAAGTGCTTAATTGGAGACAGCAATATAATGAGCCAGGGTGAACTTGGCCCACAAGCCAAGACAGTGAGAGACAAATGTTCTCCTTACTCAGATGATCGACATGCTGTACTTTGTGGTCATCATGCTGGTCGTGCTCATGAGTTTCGGAGTAGCCCGTCAAGCCATTCTGCATCCAGAGGAGAAGCCCTCTTGGAAACTGGCCCGAAACATCTTCTACATGCCCTACTGGATGATCTATGGAGAGGTGTTTGCAGACCAGATAGACCGTAAGAGTAGAATTCATAGTAAGATTCTCTTCCCTGCTTCTGAGGCAGATGATCAGTTCCAAATTAATGGAAGAACATGTATTAATTTGGAAATAAAAAATATTTGTCACTCCACCATAGGCATCAAATTATTTTACAAAGAAATAAGAACAAATTATGGAACATGGATTTTCAGACATCAGTCATTTCTTTTATTCTAAAAATAATTCACTAGAATTCCCTTGAGCTGGACCTGATGGACATCGTGTCACATGAATGCAGTTCTAATGCCAATAGCCTAGTTTTTCTTCAACCCAGTATCTCCCCACCCCAGGATAAGGCTGATAGTGTTTTCCAGTAGAATGAACTAGTGAACAGAGCAGAGTAACTGATACTTCCCACCATCCTCTTCTTAAAGCCATCAGAGCCCATTTTCCACATAGCTACCCATTTCATACCCATTTCATCTTCACTACTAGAGTGCTATTTTGTATTATCAAAAATAATCTGGATGTTAGTAGAGGAAATGGGCTATGATCCTGCACAGATTTCTGGGGAATGTAGGCCCAGCTCCTCTGCAGGCTGAGCTGGTGTCTTCTGGATTGAAGGAATGTAAAGCTCAAATGTTCTTGTACACTATTTACCAGGACAGTTGAATAAATGTTCCACCAGTGAAGGAGGCACTTTTAGTCCCATTTCCATTTCAGGACCAACATTTTCATTTGCATGTTGTGATTTATCATAAAGCATCAGCTATAATAGCATGTCTGCTGCTTCCAGAGCTCTGCTATTTGGGAATAGAAAGTTTTTATCATCTTCCTCTCATATGGAATGTAGGGCTGTCAGTGTATATCTACTGCCTCTAGGTTAGACAATAACCAGCTCATGCAGTAGCTTCTTTCTAACTTTTATAATGTCATTCTGACCATATCATTATTGCAAGTATCACAAAGTCAACTATTGAAGTGTGTTAGTAGCTTGGTAAGCCAGAACATAAAAATCTAATTTGATTTCAAAAGAATATTAGTTTAGGTAGATATACATACACGTTAAAAGTTCCTGAATTCCAGGCATAAACTGTAGTATTTTTATTGTTGAGCTCTTTTTTTTTTAAATTAAATTGGGTTATGAGAGAAGGTAAAGAGGTAAACTTTAGGCTGTGCTATTCTCAGTAACATAATTAAATGTAGGTTTTTGATTCTTGATCTATTAACTAATAATTTTGTAGTTATTTGTGCTTATGAGGTGTTTGTGTTGGAATATAGGGAGCGCGTGATTGGTTAACCTGATCATCTGCCAGTAACATCATGTCTTTTTCACAGTATTTTTAACTAGTGAGCTTTTGCTCTCGCTTATGACACAGGGTAAAATAAATATCCATGATATATATTTTCTAGAATGATTAATGTATGTAATTCTTCTAAACAGATCACTGTTTCTAAGTGTGAATCAATATTTCCCAAGCTTAAAATATTTGCATTTCTTCACAGCAAAACAGTTATGTTGTTAAACCACTTGTTTTACTTTTCTCTCAACCATCATCTTATTTTCTTTCCTCCCCTCCTGTCAAAACAAAACAAAACAAAAATCCTGCTTTCCAATCGTCATGTAGTCTACGCCATGGAAATTAATCGTAAGTTTACATGGAATTGATTATTCTAGTCTATGGAATGTGTTTTTCAATTACCTTTTCCTTAGCTGATTACTAGTAGTCTTAAACTGTTTTCAAATACTTCTCTTGTTTTTTGGTGCCAGTACTTTTTAAGCTGTCAGTAAAAAGTAAAGAGAACCACAAATTCACTGTTGGGATCACCCTATTTTTTTAGGGGAGAAATAGACCCCCTATGATAAAAAGTTGCATTTCAAATGAGCAGAGGGAGAAAAGATTATTTTTCAAACATGGCACCAAAACAGTTGATTAAACAATTTGGGAAGTAGAGGAAATCCCTAACCCATACAACATAACAAAAATATTTTCAAATTTAATGTATCAGTGAAACCAAGAAAACAACCAGAAGACAACATAAGCTGATGTTAAATAATTAGAAGCCACAATGACTTTCAAATGGATAACGATAAAGGGAAAAAACATAAAGATACATTTGTCTGCTTAAAAATGAAGACTTTTATATTTGAAAGCCACAATAAAGAAATGGGAAAATGTTTAGAAATATGACAAATAATGACTATCTCTGAGCGCAGATATGAGTTTCTGACTTTTTTCTTTGTGTGAGTTGTTTTTTTTTTGAGACAACTGGGAGTCTCGCTCAGTCACCCAGGCTGGAGTACAGTGGCTCGATCTCGGCTCACTGCAAGCTCTGCCTCCCGGGTTCACGCCATTCTCCTGCCTCAGACTCCCGAGTAGCTGGGGCTACAGAGTTTATTTTTTCCCATGGAAAAAATATTGCTTATGAAATAAGAAAGAATCATATTAAAAAAGAAATAGGTATTGAAAAACATATGTAAGAGATATTTATCCTTTTCATTATATGTAAAAAGCAAAGACAAAACTATTTTTTTCTTTCAGCTCCTTGTGGTGAGAACCTATATGATGAGGAGGGCAAGCGGCTTCCTCCCTGTATCCCCGGCGCCTGGCTCACTCCAGCACTCATGGCGTGCTATCTACTGGTCGCCAACATCCTGCTGGTGAACCTGCTGATTGCTGTGTTCAAGTACGTGTCACAGCCGATGACCACATGCTTATTATTTATTACTGTACAGATTTTCCATTTAATCTCAGAACGCTCCCAAGATACCAATATATTTGCAGATAATTTCATTAGGGTTTTTAAGTAGATCCAATTTTTGCAGTCTCTTTGTTCAAACTTAATCAGTCTTAATGTATTCATAAATCAAGAGTTGACACTTAAATACATTTAAATTTAATCTTGGTTAGTATTTTAACACTTTAGCATGTATTTTAATCTAATGAAAATATTTTCTTAGATGAAAGTCTCCTGGGGTACAGAATATTTGATTAAGTCATGCTTTTTATTCATCAGCAGAGGTGGAAAAGGCAATATGAGTTTCATAAGCTGTTACAATTACTGTAATACTAGTAAAGCATTTTTTTCTGATCATTTATAGAATACAAGATAAAATGGCCTAAGAAAAAAATGGCTTAAAGGGTTAAATCGAGTTTCTTATAAAACCTGCCTATTTGGCATGTTGTGTTGAGTATGTTGACCATGCTCAATAAATATTGAAAAAAATGATTTTAGCTTCTAAGATGAAAAATATAGAGGGAAAAATCCTTCACAGAAATATGCAATCTTAGAATTGAACAGGGCATTGGAGAAAACCTGGTCCAAACTTCTGGCTTGAGAGATGAGAAAACTAAGGTCAGGGAAGGTAACTGGTTTTCCTAAGGTCCCAGTATTGGTAGACAATGAAATCATGCACTTACTGCTTCCTGTTGGAAGCTAAAATAAGACAAAGATTGTACCTACCCCATGTCCAAAATAACGAACCTTCAATCAAATAAGTTCAATAACTAATTAATTCAGTTGAAAAAAAAGTAGTCATCTACTTGTTAGACAGAATTGAAAGTTTAAACATGTGAAAGCATTTAGTTAAATGGCTTATACCGCTACACATAGGAAATTAAATTTCCTGAGTATATGAGTAGATTGTGGTGTGGTTTTTCAAGAAAGCAGTACATAGCAATTTATTACACTTAGCTATTTATGAATACAATGTCCTTAAGCACAGATAATCCACATTGATGGATAAACCAAAAGATTGGATAATCAAGGAATCAGTACTAAAGGGCACTAAAAGGCCATCTCATTGAGTATTTTCACTTAAATGTGAGTAACTTTGACTGCTCTGGGAAATCACTATAAAAAGTAATATAACTAACTGTAAAAATGTCTTCTTTTTAAAGCAATACCTTCTTTGAAGTAAAATCAATATCCAACCAGGTGTGGAAGTTCCAGCGATATCAGCTGATTATGACATTTCATGACAGGCCAGTCCTGCCCCCACCGATGATCATTTTAAGCCACATCTACATCATCATTATGCGTCTCAGCGGCCGCTGCAGGAAAAAGAGAGAAGGGGACCAAGAGGAACGGGATCGTGGATTGAGTATGTGCAGGGCTCTTCATTTCTAAGTTGGGCTGATTTCAAAATAGTGTTCAAATTGGACATCCTCACAGAAATCTCACTCAACTACTTGCTCGTGTGAAAAGCACCACACTCAGTCCAACTGCTGTTCTTTTCAAAAGGCTTCTCATTTTGTACCCATTTTATTCTAGTTTCGTTAATTTGTTAGTAATTAATATTAGGAAAGCCAGCTCATAGAGACCAGAAGTTGAGCTAATTCTCTAAAATAACTCTACTCTGTAAATTTCTATATAAATTCAATGCTCCTTTCAAAACGTCTTAATTTGTTGCATCTAAAGAAAATGAGAAAATAATGCTATACGTTTGACTCTATTCATAAAAATAAGTGCAAAAAGTTTTCCAGGAAATATTACTTGGCTTTACTTTCCCAGTAAATGTAATTTTGTTTTTTATGTTTAAAAGCGGGCCGTTTGGCTCCAACTGATAGAGGGTTGGGGCGTATGACAACCCCTTTTTAGATAAAAATCAATTGGAGTAGTGGCGAACTGCCTTAGGAGTGGCGGAGAAGAGAGCTTAATTAAAGTGGGGCTGTGAAATTCTCATTGACGCCACGAAACTGATTCTTCTTGTTTTTCACGTGGCCGACACTTCTCCCTTCACACAGAGCTCTTCCTTAGCGACGAGGAGCTAAAGAGGCTGCATGAGTTCGAGGAGCAGTGCGTGCAGGAGCACTTCCGGGAGAAGGAGGATGAGCAGCAGTCGTCCAGCGACGAGCGCATCCGGGTCACTTCTGAAAGGTACGTGTAGCGTCCCCACCGCGGGCCCGTGAGCCAAGGGTTTGCTGACTCGGGCGCCCCACTCTATGGGGGATGCCAGAGTTCATTTAAACATGCACTCCGAGTTCTCCTGTTTTATTTAAACTTTAGGTTTTAACGTGGTTCCCACGAAATAGTGAGAAAGTTACTAGGTAATAACTGTGCATTGGATATAGAAGGGAATGACATTTATTTATCCTGGGCCGAAAGAAAACCTAACAGTTGACTACCTTCACCCCCTACCCCAAAGTGGGGGTGTTTCCGCAAGGTTAATGGAAGCTACAGAAAGCCATCCTTCTCCCAGCTCTTGTTCCTAACTTCCCTTTGCGAGCATGGTCCTCCCCAGGGGACTGCCCTCCTCATCCGGCCTAGCTGCTTGCTGCACCTTGGCAACACCTTTCCCAGCCTCACAGGGCAGAGGAAAAGGCTCCCTCCTGGGGCTCCCCTGAGAGTGGGAACTGGGAGGGGTGGGGTGCAGGGTGGGGGGTGAGGTGTCTGGCCCCATGAGGGTGGGATCCGCTAAACTAGGGCAGGGTGTGTCTTTCAGACACCTTCACATCCGCAGTACCCAGCAAGGTCAGCCTAATCTCCGCGGTGATGCTTAATAAATGCAGAGTGAATGAATGCAGGATGTGTGAACCAGTGAATGAGTAAATGAAGTCAGGTCGCGAGGTACAGAAATGGTGACATTTTCCAAACTTCGTAGTATTGCTCTACCCTAAGCTAGGAAAGAGCAACTGGCAAAGGGTAGACAGGAGCAATGGACCTTCACTGTCTGCACTTTTTATCACGTAAGTTTTGAGAGCCTTTATCATTTACTAAAAGCATTTTCAGCCTGCTAAAGATCTTGGTGACTGATAACACGCTGTTCCAAAGGGTTTCACTAACAACGTGGCCAGAAGGATGAGCTCAGAGGAGCCATGCCTAGCTCTGCTTTCTATCCTTGAGTACACAGAATTAAAGTTTCCTAACAGACACATTGAGAGCCATAAAAACAGGGTGGGACTTCAAAAAGATATTGCAGCTGACAGTTCCCAAACAATTACAACAGAATTCACAGATGCACCTTAGGTCTCCCTGGTGCATGTTGAGGCCAGTGAACTCTGCCCCAGCCCACAGGAGGGGAGATGGCAACTGTGGGTCCCTGGCCTCGGTTCCCTCCTAGACCCAGTCACCTTGTGACCCAACCAAATCCAACCAGCTAAACTCTAGGGTTACCTGCACCACCTTTCTTCCTTACCAAGGTGAATTTTTAATAAAACTTTGAAATGTTTCTTTGATGCTTTAACAGTAATTGCTAAACTTTCAAGGTATAAAAATTATTTCTTCATGAGAAAGTTAAGGTACCCCATGTAATCCAATTTCCACTTTTTAGTTAGACATTAACTTGAACGTAATTTTAACCAGTCATTTACAATGGAGATTGTGTTTTGTTTTGCTCTGCCTCCCCCTCTCCCTTCCCCGGCATTCCTTGGATTTTTACCATTCTTGGACCAAAGCTGCAAGAGTGTGGTTATCAGGTCACTACCAAATTGCATTTTTCTCTGGGGGCTCTGTGCACACGTAATAGGGATGAAAGTGTGTAGGGCAGAGAAAACATGCTGCTTCCTGTTTCCCTCGGCTGAGATCCCAGGAGCGATGGGAGCACATTCTTGCCCCTCCATTTCCCTTGGCCTTGTCAGGCTGACTCACAGGTGAATGCCCAAGACAGAAAGAGGAGAAGGCTTGAGGAGAAGGGAGTTTTCCTTCCCTCTTAGCCAAGCCAGCTGAGAAGCAAGGGATAAGGTGGGAGGATGGAAATAAAAGTAGCTATTTGGGCACCTGTGACTACTTTAAAAATCACACTTGAAGTACTCAAGCATTTCTGCCATTTCTTTAATATTCTTTCTATATAAAATTAGTTTTATTTTCTGCATCACCATTTCCCATTTGATGATTTTCCTGCTCTTCTCTCGGTCGTGTCTTCGCCAGCACTATTCAGTCTGTAGGGTCTGGTTAGGAGCATGTCAGCCCCTGCCTTGTCTCCCTGTTGTCTTGGTAGCTTTCAGAGCTGAGCTACCAATTCTCATGACTCAGTTTTACAGGCGTGTTCACACAGGATGGGTACCCATTAATCATTCTCCTCCACGCAGGGTGCTTTTAGTGCTTCTGTGCAGAAACCAAATTCATGGTTCTCTCCTAATGTTTGGAAATTTACCTATAAAATGCTAACAATTTAACCATTTATTTTTTCTCAAAAAGTTCCAACATTTTGTAAGATCCAACATTCAGTCCTGCAATGAGATTTGCAATACGATTCAGCATTGATTGACACAACACTGGGTCAGTCCTACCAACCACGCCCACTTAGATGTCATAGGGGCCCTGCTCTCAGGGTTCTCCTCCCAAACTTGCACTCCAGTCTCTGTGAATGGCATCGCCATTAAGCTCAGTTAGCAAACTGGCAAATCATTGTGGCACCTCCCTCTTCTTCACTAACAATCATCAAGTTCTGTTTACTTCCCCTCGTGAATACATCCTGATCCACTTATTTTTTTCATCCCTACCCCAACGCACCTAGTACAGGCTTCCATCATTTTCCACTTCCATTCCTGTAGCTGCCCCTACCTGAGCTCTCCATATTTGTTTCTGCTGTTTCAATCCATGTTGCACTGTCAGCTCTCATGGGGTCCTGTTCCCTCCTGCACTGGCTTTCCTGAAAAACCCTCTGTGGCCCCCACTGTCCTCAGGCCTGCAAGGCCCTGCCCTCTCTCTGGCTTTGCCATGCACTATCTTCTCCTTCATGCTCTGTATTCCATTTCTCTTTCATTTCCTCAAAGCACTGCTTCCTTCCTGCCACAGGGGCTCTGCATGGGCTGTGCCCTCTGTCTGATGCACCTCACCCTCCTTCCCTGCTCCTCTTCCTTGGATCTCTGCCCAAATGCCAATTCCTTATGGAAAACTTCACCACCTCACACCTTAGACTAGGTCAGGACCCTCAGGCCTTAAGCTGCATGAAGGCAGGGCCATGTCTGGGTTTGGTCCACCATGATATACCTAGAGCCTGCACATATCCACATAGTAGGAGCCAGACTTTTGTTTCTGTTTTTGTTTTTGTTTTTGTTTTTGAGACAAGGTCTCGCTCTGTGCCCAGTGCAGTGGCACAATCAGGTCTCACCACAGCCTCAACCTCCTGGACTCAAGCGAGCCTTCTGCATCAGCCTCTGAAGTAGCTGGGAATACATGTATGTGCCACCACGCCCAGCTAATTTTTTTTATTTTTTATTTTAGTAGAGAGGAAGTCTCACTGTGTTGCCCAGGCAGGTCTCAAACTCCTGGCCTCAGCAATCCTGCCTCAGCCTCGAGATTTTTTTGAACGAATGGATGACTTAAAAGCTTTTCTCCTGATTCGAATATAAATTTCTATCCCATCCTTAATGAGTTCCCTCATGGAATATCAAAAAGGAAACCAGCTATGCTCCCTCCAGGTTCAAGACACTGGTTTTACTATAAGGAAGTAGGAGCAGACTCAAGAGCCAAAGGATTGTGCCACAGGAAGGATAACAAGTGTTGGTGTTGGCACCATCTTTTTGCTCAAAGGGATAACATCAAAGAGCCATGAGGGCTGGTGGGATAAGAACATTTTATAAACAACTCCTTTTTTATTATTATTTGTAGAAACAGGGTCTCACTATGTTGCCCAGGCTGATCTCAAACTCCTGGGCTCAAGCTATCCTCCTGCCTCAGCCTTCCAAAATGCTGGGATTACAGGCATGGGCCACCATGTCTGGTCAACTTCTGGCAGCATGGCCAAAGTAGACCTCGTCAACCCATGTGTTCTGTCCTCATTGCTCCAGGAGAATATTTGGCAACATGAGTCCTTATCATTGGGAGATTTGAGGCTATCTGTGTCTTCTGCACATCCACTACGGAGCACACTGTTCTCTTTGTGGTTCAGCATCCCTTATCACAGGTTCACAGGTTCAAGAGCAATTGGGCTAGAAAGAATCTTTCCTGACAAAATTTTGTCAGAGACCCAACTTCCTTTTCTCAATGAGAATTATGTTATCCAGTGTGTTTTCCTTTTTTCCATGGCTTCAAGGAAGCTTAACACCAAACTTAATATTAAATTATCAAATATATTACTATAGGATTTTGAAATATGTGGGGTACGTTGCCTCTTCTCTGCTTTTTTTATATCGTCTACCTCCATTTACATACATTTTATTAATGTCTGACATTTCACAATATGCAGGATATAACTCATAAATTATACATTTTAAGTGTAGTTGGCCTTGTGCTTAAGAAGCTATGGGTCTTAGATGAGCTAAACCTATAATAGCATTTTCTGATTCCCCCAAAACTTTCTGGATTAAGTGGTTTCTTGTCAGATTTGTGGATATGGATTAAAGTGTTTTGTCTTTTTTTTTTTTTTTTTTAATTCTAGAGACAGGGTACTGCTTTGTTGCCCAGGCTGGAGTACAGTGGGATGATCATAGCTCACTACAGCCTCCAGTTCCTGGGCTCAAGTGAGTCTACTGCCTCAGCTTCCTGAGTAGCTGAGGCTACAGGCGTGCACCACCACACCCAGCTAATTTTTGCATATTTTGTAGATACAGGATCTCACTATGTTGCCCAGGCTGGTCTGGAACTCCTGGCCTCAAGCGGTCCTCCCGCCTTAGCCTCCCAAAGTGCTGGGATTACAGGCATGAGACATCATGCCCCATCCTGGATTGCCTGCAGGCTTGATGGGAAATCAGCAATTTGTGGCTTTGAAATCTTTTTATTTGGCATCCTCTTCCCATGTGACCAGAAAGAGAAATGGCTGGTAATGGAGACCTACCTAGAAGAAACAAGATAGTAACTAGAGGAACTGAAAGAGAGATCAGTCTTAGGAAGGAGGTGGGGGATTCTTTGCATGTAGAGAAGGTTGTAGAACGGCAAATGCGCAGTGATGGGGAAGACATTTGGGGATGATCCTGTCTGAATACCTTAATCTTCTAAATTCATAGGGTTCAAGGTTGCTTGGATAATAGGAAGGAGATGGCTTAAATGTTGAAATTTTGATGTGCCAGTGGATGACACCCTTGTTCCTGATCTGACTTTGAAAGCCAATTCAGAGACAGATGCAGACTTCAGGAGGATAGAGAAAAAAAAATCAGTTTTATTAGTAATAAAAGTTGTACTGGAGGGTGTGGCTTCGTTCTTGCCTACTACTCACCCAGAATTAGGAATACCCACTTAGCCACAGGCAGCACCAGCCACCACAGGCCTCGCTTCCCACAGGCAGAGTTTAGCCTGCGCGCTAAGCCTACCAGAAGACCAAGACAGAGAGACAAGCATGCAGTATCCTGGTCCCCAATCTCCAACCAAATGAGCCGTCCTCCTCCAAAATAAATAAAGGCCTGGAATGAGGTCAGAGCATTACTAATGAAAAGTCCACATACATAGAAAGAAAAACTAGGCATGGGCAAAGTGTACCTCTCCAACAATCAACATCACTGACTTAAAGCCAGTAGGAAGGATTCAAGTCAAGTGAGTTCACTTTTAGGGGGAATATGGCAGGAAAGGAGATAACCAGGATTGCTTGGCAGGAATAACAAAGATGCAAGTTAAATTAGATAACATGGCTTTGTACTGGGCCAGGTCAGTGTGGTTCCCATGACCTTCATCGGTGACACCGTACAGCCGAAAGGCAGGGATACAGAAAGACAACTGTACATACGGCATGGATGCTGAAGGAGGCCATGCGCCCAAAAACCAGTCTGTGGAGAGACCTCAAAGATGCTAGTGTTTGCAAATGGCAGCATAAACATACGACATTGCCTCCAGGCACCAAATATCCTTGCTTAGTCCTGGAGTCCTGGTAGCAATAGGTTGGGGGTTAGGGATTGGCACTAACGTGTTGCAAGTAAGGGAGAAAGAACATAGGTTATTAATGAGGGCTTCACTTCGTGGCCAACCACAGAATCTGGCCTGAATAGAAAACAGAACATAACCAGAAAAGGCTAATGATTAGATGACTTGAATTCTATAAACCCAGGAAGTCTGGGGTATGTTTAAATGAGGCAGCATACAGCTAGAATCCCAGAAAGCTTAATGTTCTTTTAGTAACTATTCAGTATACTGTTTATTACAGAGAATGAAAAAGCCAGAAGAAAGACATGAGTCTTGGCCGGGAGCAGTGGCTCACACCTGTAATCCTAGCACTTTGGGAGGCCGAGGTGGGCGGATCACTTGAGGTCAGGAGTTCAAGACCAACCTGGTCAACATGGTGCAACCCCTTTTCTACTAAAAATGCAAAAATTAGCCAGGTGTGGCAGCGAAAGGCCTGTAATCCCAGCACTTTGGGAGGCCAAGGTGGATCACTTGAGGTCAGGCGTTCAAGACCAACCTGGTCAACATGGTGAAACCCCGTTTCTACTAAAAATACAAAAATTAGCCAGGCATGGTGGCGAAAGCCTGTAATCCCAGCACTTTGGGAGGCCGAGGTGGGCAGATCACTTGAGGTCAGGAGTTCAAGACCAACCTGACCAATATGGTGAAATCCTGTCTCTACTAAAAATACAAAAATTAGCTGGGAGTGGTGGTAAGCATCTGTAATCCCAGCCACTCGGGAGGCTGAGGCAGGAGAATCTCTTGAACCCGAGAGGCGAAGGTTGCACTGAGCCGAGATAGTGCCACTGATTGCACTCCAGCCTGCGTGACAGAGACTCCCTCTCAAAAACAAACAAAAAAAAGAAAGACGTGAGTCTTGTTCTTTTATGATTAGTCTTCATTTAGTCTTTCACACATAAAAACTCTGTAAGTAAGCACAACAAGGTTCTATCCTGGTGTTCTTCCTATAACTACTAAATGTAAAAGGCAGCCCTGTATGAAGAAGTGGATGGAAATTAAAATAGCTGGATGTAAAATTTAGAGTGGATAAGACAACTTTATGATCAGTAGTTCTGGAATTAAATTATAGGGTAGGAATAGTTTTAGAACTCAAGTATAGAATACCATGGGATCTTGAAACAGGGGTTTCTTCAAGTATGAACTGGACCTAGCTCCACTAACATCATGTCTTTATGTTAACATTTAACTCTATCATTAAGGAAATGTTCCCATATAATTTATGAGATTCCTTGCAGGTGAAGGGCAACTGTTTCCCATGAAAAGATAACTGCATATAAAACAAGTTTTAGGCTGGGCACAGTGGCTCACGCCTGTAATCTCAGCACTTTGGGAGGCCAAGGTGGGCTGATTGCTTGGGGCCAGGAGTTCGAGATCAGCTTGGCCAACATGGCAAAACTCCATCTCTACTAAAATTACAAAATTAGCCGGGTGTAGTGGCACATGCCAGTAATCCCAGCTACTGAGGCACGAGAATCACTTGAACCGGAGAGGCGGAGTTTGCAGTGAGCCAAGATTGCACCCCTGCACTCCAGCCTGGGCAACAGAGTGAGACTCTGTCTCAAAAATTTAAAAAGGCCAGGTGTGGTGGTTCATCCCTGTAATCCAGCACTTTGGGTGCTGAGGCAGGTGGATCACCTGAGGTCAGGAGTTAGAGAGCAGCCTGACCAACATGGTGAAACCCCGTCTCTACTAAATACAAAAAATTAGCTGGGCATGGTGGCGCATGCCTGTAATCCCAGCTACTTGGGAGGCTGAGGCAGGAGAATTGTTTGAACCCAGGAGGCATAGGTTGCAGTGAACCGAGACTGCACCATTGCACTCCAGCCTGGGCAACAAAAGTGAAAGTCTGTCTCAAAAATAAAATGAAAAATAAAATAAATTTAAAATTTAAAAGGCCAAGTGTGGTGGCTCACGCCTGTAATCCCAGCACTTTGGGAGGCCGAGGCGGGCAGATCACCTGAGGTCAGGGGTTCGAGACCAGCCTGACCAACATGGTGAAACCCCATCTGTACTAAAAATTCAAAAATTGCCAGGCGTGGTGGCACATGCCTGAAATCCCAGCTGTTTGGGAGGCTGAGGCAGGAGAGTTGCTTGAACTCGAGAGGCAGAGGTTGCAGTGAGCCGAGGTCGCACCACTGCACTCCAGCCTGGGCGATAGAGCGAAACTCCATCTCAAAAATAAAATAAAATAATAAATAAATAAACAAATAAATAAAATTAAATAAAACAGGTTTTAACAACTGGCTTACTACAGAACTCCAGATGTTTCAGTCCTTCCTAGGAAAGACACACAGGGACTCTTACCACAAGGACATGAGTTTGGACCTTATGTTTAATAGACAAGAGTCTATGCAAAGTCCAATAAAGTTATGCCATACATAGGTATTCTCTTGGAAGTTAATGCAAAAGTTCCACAAATTCAGGTATTGCCATACCTATTATTTGAATGAAACAGAACACATTATGTACAACCCCTTAACAAAAAGTATGTTTTCATTTAACCACCTTCAGGCTTAGTGGCATCATGTTCAAAATCAAATATCCTTAATAATAGATATACCCCAATATAGAGAAGATTTGCAATGATATTCACACAGCCATGTCCTTTGACACTTGTGTAGCATTTACAGTTCACAGAGCACACAGTTTCATTTAATTCATTTAATTTAGTTGCTGTCATGCTGCAACTGTTGTTAATGTTTGATAAATCACTCCCCAGGGACAGAAGTACAATAAAGAGGGGCTGGTGGAGTAGCTTCATCCCGAATGCCAATGTGGATGGGCACATCTCAAAGGGAACACTGACACTGGCCATATGTTAATCAGAAACAGCTTTTGTTTTTTCTCAAAACCAAATTAAACAAAAAGAGTCATGACATGTAATATCAGTTGTTAATCTGGTACAATCTTTTACTCTATTTTATTTATGTATTTTGAGACAGAGTCTTGCTCTGTCGCTCAGGCTGGAGTGCAGTGGCGTGATCTCGGCTCACTGCAACCTCCGCCTCCCGGGTTCAAGCAACCTTTGTCCTGCCTCAGCCTCCCGAGTAGCTGGGACTACAGACGCACGCCACCATGTCCGGCTAATTTTTGTAGTTTTAGTAGAGACGGGGGTTTCACCATGTTGGTCAGGCTGGTCTCGAACTCCTGACCTCAGGTGATCTGCCCACCTTGGCCTCCCAAAGTGCTAGGATTACAGGCGTGAACCACCACAACCGGCCGACTTTCTTAATTTAAAAAACAAGTTTTTTTTTTGTGTGTGTGTGTGTGTGTGTGTGTGTACGCCAGGTTTTGAGACTGATTAGGGCATTCAGGTGTATCCTTTTAACAGAAAAGCCCAAAGATTTAATCTGTGAGTCAAAAGATGAATATGGGCGTGGAGGATCACAGCTATTATTAATCATGACTGATTAAGCACATGCGGTTCTGGGCTCCTCGTGACTTTAGTAGCAGTACACATGATGCAGTTAAGGACAGAGCAAATATTGTAATAAATCAAGTGCAGCTTAAATTTCTATTCAAAGTCAGGAGAATGATTAATTGGGGCCCAGACAGTTTATAGATTTCATTTGTTTATAGTTTCCTTTGATACAAAAGGATGGAGAGTGGCCCTCAGGAATTGCTCTTAGGCCTGCCAGTTAAGAAATCATGTATTTGGTGGTTAGAAAAATGGCCTCATTAATGACCTTTTCAAAAGTATTCATAAGTGGAATTTTTTTCTGTGAAGTCAGTGCTACCATAATGTGAAAAATAAAAACCTAGTGGAGCTATTTATAGCATCTACAAGTAAATCCAAACCCAGAAATAGTTACAGAAGCCACAAACTTCAATTAGAGGGAAAGGAAGATAATCAACCTGATCAGAAATCAGTGTCACCATGTGTAAGAAAGCACACTTTGCATCACAAAAGTACCACTATTCAAAGAAATCATTTATTAGTGCTGAATACTTGTTATACTAAAAACATAGTTATAAGTTATTTCACTATGTGATTTGAAATATTTGAGGGTATTGGCATATTTTGTAAAGTGAATATTATTTTGAAAAATTTCGCAAACCCTATAATAAATAACACAGCCATGATAATCTAATTAAATCATGCCTAAAGCCAGGATAGTAACGTACGTTTACATGCAATGGCTGAGGTCCCTGACATCACCAAGACAGCTTTCATTTATCTAGTTCTTCCACAAACATCAGAGGTAGCTGAAAGCTCTAGGACAGGTTTTCTCACAGCTGGGGTCATCAAATGCCTTGGCATTTGGGGTTCTCAAGTTCTAAGATTATTTTATTTTTTAATTTTGATGATGACGGCATGTTTGCAAAGGGTCCTTGAGGAAATGTGGGGATGAAGAACAAGATGAGACAGGATGGGAAGATGAGGGCAGATTCTCAAGAGCTTTGAATGTATATGAGTAACAGAAATCTCTATAGGGTGTTAAGATTAAGGGCTGCCATGGATGGAAGGAAAGAGTTAAAGCTACATTTTCATAGCACTTTACATAGTATGAGGAAGTGTCAATGTCCAAATTGTAGAATAGGGTTGCCAATGGAGATTATAAGGTTTTCCTTTAATACACTCTTTGGTTTGTTCATTGCATTCAACACTGCAATGAAATTGTGTTTTTATCTTAAGTGTGATGGGAAGCTGCTATTGTTTTAAAGCAAAGATTGACGTGCTTGTGTTTCTGTGCTATCTTTTTGGAGTGAGAAGACATTGGAGGCAAAGAGGCTGTTCCTTATAACTAACATTTTTTGCTTTATCAGCTTGGGGTACAACATGAGGTCATATATCTTTTTTCTTTTTCTCTTCTTTTCTTTTTTTTTTTTTTAAGACGGAGTCTCGCTCTGTCACCCAGGCTGGAGGGCAATGGCATGATCTCGGCTCACTGCAGCCTCCGCCTCCCAGGTTCAAGCAATTCTCCTGCCTCAGCCCCCAAGTGGCTGGGATTACAGGCGCATGCCACCGTGCCCAGCTAATTTATTATTTTTATTTTTTAGTAGAGATGGGGTTTTGCCACGTTGTTCAGACTGGTCTGGAACTCCTGACCTCAGGTGATCCACCTGCCTCTGCCTCCCAAATGCTGGGATTACAGGCGTGAGCCACCGTGCCCAGCCAAGGTTATATATCTTTTAATATTAAATGAAATTATTCTTTGACCTCATCTCATCTGCTTATAATCTCATCTGTTTATTCCAAGAGTACCTTTTTCCCTTTCTATTGTCCCATAGCCCCACCCCCACCCCCTGCCTCAAGTCAGGTGCAGGAAATCCAGTGGTCTGGTGAAGTCCCTACCCACTGCATCAAAATTCAAGAGGGTGAAGTCAATCGTTGCTCTTTGCTTTGATTTGAGCCCCAGCTTTCTGGTTGGAGGATAGAAAACGGAAACTCTGAGGAACTGGAGATATCAGGGAGATAGTGAGAGGGGGAACTTGGAAAAGTAATGCCATAAAGTTATGAACTCCAGAGCTCACCTGCAGACTGTGTCTGTCAGGGGTGGAGGAGTCTGCTCCTTATTCACATACCAAAGGCATTGAATGGGGTGACATGAACAAAAGCAGGTAGAGTAAGGAACTCTGGAATTCTGCCCCACCATAAAAGCAACAACAAAGTTGGCAAAAACTGTCAGAGTCTATATCTTGTGGCACTCTGGAAATTAAGCAATGGCTTATTAAGCAACCTAGGGCATTCTTATTTAAACAAAATGGCTGGATCTTGATAAGAAAAGTGAGCTTTGTGACATTTTAACTTAGCCCTGTCCTATCCTCTGCTCTCCAGTTGAGTAGTCACCTTGAAAACAACAACCTGCATTCCTAGTACCAGTAGGAGCAGAAAGAATCTCATATGCAAAGAATTATAATTACTTGTTTTGTAATTACAGGGCAGCTCCTTGAAAGCCTAGCTGAAAGGTTCGTCTGTATTTCACCTGAGTTGGAACAGGCCCAGTACTAAAGCTTCTAGTTAGAAGGGGTGGAGGAAGGGTTGTCAAAAACATTTACAGGCAAAGGGTTTAGTGCTTGCTCCCTGAGGTGACGGATGACAGCTGGGGCAAACAATAGACTAACCAAAAAACTAGGGAGAAAAACTGATGTCCATAAGAGCTTTGAAAAGCTCTAACACATTCCTGGGAATTTAGAAAGCTATGTGCATGCATAGGGCTGTGTGTATACTCAGGAAGACCTGAGAAGGCTATAAGCTCATTTCTGGCTGACTTGATCTTGAGGCTCTGTGCAAGCAGGAAGTGAAAGCTAAAGCAAAGATGTAAACTGCCTGAGTGTTGAAGATGTGCCCCTATATACACATACAGCTTCTCAGAAAAGACTAGAAGATTTTGTTGTTTTTGTTCCACACATTTAAGGAAATCTCTAAGTATTAACTGACCACTAAGCTAATAAAATACAAACTTCAGTGGCCACACAACATAAAGAATATAGACTTTACAATATTATTTCAGAAAAATCACTAAGCAAACAACAACTACAAAAATCACTAAACAAACAACAAACAACAACTACACTAAACAAACAACAACTACACTAAGCAATAACAACAAGCCTGAGAGGGGAGAGAATCTGATTTCTAGAATTGCCACATTATAATACTCAACATGTCCACTTTTAAATAAAAATGACAAAACATGCAAAGAAATAAGAAACTATGGTCCACACACAGGAAAAAGGACAATCTTAAAAACCATCCCTTAGGAATCCTGGATATTAGATGTTTTAGCAAAGAGTTTAACTCAACTATTTTAGCTATTTTAAATATATTTAAAGACCTAAAGGAAATCATCTCTAAAGAACTAAAGGAAAGTATGAGAAGGATTTTTCACCAAATAAGGGACTATCAATAAAGAGGTGGAAATTATATCAAGTAGTAGACGAGGTCTCAAAAAAAAAGAGGTAGAAATTATATATATTTTTAAAAAAATAGGTCAGGCACAGTGACTCATGCCTGTAATCCCAGAGCTTTGGGAGACCAAGGAGGGAGGATTGCTTGAAGCCAGGAGTTCAAGACCAGCCTGGGCAACAGAGCAAGACACCATCTACATAAAATCATTTTTAAAACTGGACAGGCATGGTGGTGCATATCATGGCAACTGGCAGAGCATGGTGGTGCCGGTAGTCCTAGCTACTTGGGAGGCTGAGGTGGGAGGATTGCTTGAGCCCAGGAATTCAAGGCTGCAGTGAGCTGTGATCTTGCCACTGCATTCCAGCCTGGACAATAGAGCAAGACAGTGTCAAAAAAAAAAAAGAAAAAAAAAAAGAAAAAGAAAGAAATGAAGGAAGGGAAGGAAATTCTGACATTGGAAAGTACAATAACTGAAATGAAAAATTCACTCTAGAGGCCCAATAGCACATTTGAGCAGGTAGATTAAAGAATCAGCAAACTGGAAGATAAATCAGTTAAAAATTACCCAGTCTAAGGAACAGGGGGAGGAAATGAAGAGAAATTGAACAGTCTGAAACCTGTAGAACACCATCCAGCAGAACAACATAGGCATCATGAGAGTTATAGAAAGAGAGAAGGGAAACTGGCAGAAACAATATTTAAAGAAATAATGGCCAAAATTTTACAAATTTAATGAAAGATACGAATCTACATATCCAAGAAGCTCAATGAACTCCAAGTAGGATAAACTCAAGGAGATCCATACCAATTAACGTTATAGTCAAACTGTTAAAAGCCAAAGGAAAAGAATCTTGAAAGCAGCAAGAGAGAAGCAACTCATCACATGGAAAGGATGCTTAATTAGATTAAAAAAGCTGACCTCTCATCAGAAGCCAGGAAGACCAGAAGACCTTGGGATGACATAGTCAATGTGCTGAAAGCAAAACAATGTCCACTAAAAATTATATATGCAGCAAAACTATCCTTTAAAAATGAAGGATAAATTAAGATATTCCCAGATAACCAAGAACTGAGAGAATTCATTACTAGCAAACCTACTATGAGGGATACTAAAGATAGTTTTTCAGGCAGAAATGAAAAGACATAAGACAATAACCTAAGATCCACATGAAGAAATAAAGAGGACCAGTAAATTTAACTACATAGGTAAATATAAAAGGCATTATAAATGTATTTTTTGTTTGTAACTACTTTTTATTTTCTACATGATTTACAAGACAACCACATAAAGCAATCATTACAAATCTATGTTGATGGGTACACAATGTACAAAGTTGTAACTTGTGATAATAACAGAATAACATGGGGGGAGGATGGAGCTTTATAAGAGTAAACTTTGTGTATATTATTGAAAATAATTGGTGTTAGGCCAGATGCAAGGGCTCACACCTCTAATCCCAGCACTTTGGGAGGCGAAGGCAGGTGGATCACCTGAGGTCGAGAGTTCAAGACCAGCCTGGCCAACATAGTGAAACCCCATCTCTATTGAAAATACAAAAATTAGCCTGTGTGGTGGCACATGCCTGTAATCCCAGCTACTCAGGAGGCTGAGGCACGAGAATCACTTGAACCTAGGAGGCAGAGGTTGCAGTGAGCTGAGATCTTGCCACTGCTCTTCAGCCTGGGCAACAGAGTGACACTCCATCTCAAAAAAAAAAAAAAAAGTAATTGGCATTAAATTAAAGTAGACTGTTATAAATTAAGATGTTACTGATAATCCCCAGGGCAAGCACTAAGAAAATAACTGAAAAACATATGATAAAAGAAAGAACAAGAGCCAGGTGTGGTAGTGCATGCCTGTAGTCCCAGCCACTCAAGAGGTTAAGGCAGGAAGATCACTTAAGCCCAGGGGTTCAAGGCCAGCCTAGGAAACATAGCAGGGCCCCATATCTTAAAAAAGAAAAGAAATACTAAGTGAATTAAAATGATACACTAGAAAATACCTATTTAACACAGAAGAAAGCAGTAATGATGGAGTTGAGGGACAAAAAAAAAGACATAACATATAGAAAATAAATAGCAGTATGGCAGAGGTAAGTTCTTCCTTACCAGTAATTATATTAAATGTAAATAGATAAAGCTCTCTAAGACAGAGACTAGCACAATGAATATTTAAAATATGGTGTAATTACATGCTATCTGCAGAGACTCACTTCAGATTCAAAGATTTTTAAAGTTTTAAAGTAAAAGGATGGATAAAGACATTTCATGCAAACAGTAATAAAAAAATAGTTGGAGTGGCTACACCTATCAGGTAAAATAGACTCTAAGACAAATATTGTTACTAGAGACAAAGAAGGACATGATAGACATGATATAATGATTAAAAAGGTAACTATATCAAAAAGATATAACAATTATAAACATATATGCACCCAATAGCAGAGCCTCATAAGATATGAAGCAAAAACTGACAGAATTGAAGGGAGAAGCAGATAGTTCTCAAATAATAGTTGTAGGCTCTAATATTCAACTTTCACTAATATTAGAACTAGACAGAAGTTCATTAAGAAAATAGAAGCCTTAGCCAATACTATATGCCAACTCAAGGTAACAGACATCAGTAGAACACTCAATGACAGCAAAATATATATTCATTTTATAAGCATATGGAACATTTTCCAAGATACATCATCTGTTAGGCCATAAAACAAGTCTCAATAAGTTTTAAAAAGATTTAAGTTAAACAAAGTGTATTCTCAGGCCACAACAAAATAAAATGATAAATTAATAACAAATGAAAATTTGGAAAATTTACAAATATGTGACAATTAAACAATACACTCTTAAATAATCAATAGATCAAAGAAGAAATCACAAGAGAAATTAGAAAATACTTCAAGGCGAACAAAATGAAAACACAATATACCAAAATTTATGGGATACAGTAAAAGCAGTATTCAGAAGGATATTTATAACTATAAAGACCCACATGTAAAAAGAAGAAAGATCTCAAAGACAGTAAGAACTGAAGTAATGACCAGACTGCTACCAAGGTCCCAGACTGACTACTGGGCTGCACGCACATAGGTCAGATCTCAATAGCACTACAAAGACTTTGAAAACTGAACTGGCATTGGAATCACAGTCCACAGAAAGCATGTCAGAACTTGCAGCCTGAAACTAACCAGGTTGATCACCTGCTAAAACAAAACAAATCAACATTCTCCATGAAAATTAAACAAGATTCAGAGTCATGTGGTATAATATTCAAAATGTCAGGCTACAATCCAAAATCATTTGGAGTATGCAGAATATAGAAAATCTCAACTCACCTGGGGAAAAAAGACAATCAGTAAATGTCAATGTCAAGATAACACAGATGTTGAAATTATCTGACAAAGGCTTTAAAGCAGCTATTAGGAAAATGCTTTAACAAAATTGCAAAGGCTCTGGAAACTAATAGAAAACTAGAAAGTCTCAGAGAAAGAATAGAAGATATTAAGAAAATTCAAAGAAAATTTTACCAAAAAATAAAGTAAGTGCAATGAAAAATTCATTGGATAGGCTCAATAGCAAAACAGGGATTACAGAGGAGAGAGTAAACTTGAAGATATTACAACAGAAAATTACTCAATTTGAACAAGAGAGTAAATGGGCTAAAGAAAAAGCCCAAAGCCTCAGAGAAGTGTGGGGCAATAACAAAAGGTATAACATTTGTATTATAAGAGTCCCAGAAGAGAAAGAGCATGATGCAGAGAAACTACTTGAAGAAATCACTGAAAACCTCCCAAGTTTGATCAAAGACGTAAACCCACAGATTAAATAAATGTAGAGAATGCTAAATAGGACTAACTCAAATGAATCCATATCAAATGAAGGGCCACAAACTAAAGACAGAGGGAAAAAAATTGACAGCAAAGAAAAAAATTGACCAGAGAAAAATGATACATTACTTACTGGAGAACAGTGATTTGAATGATGGCAGATTTCTCATCAGAAACCTTGGAGGTCAGAAGGAAGTAGCACTATGTTTTTAATTTTAAATTTTATTTATTTTTTGAGCCGAGGTCTCCTGTGTTGCCCAGACTGAACTCAAACACCTGGGCTCAAGCAACCCTCCCACCACAACCTCCCGAGTAGCTGGGATTACAGGCACAGGTCACCATGGCCTGCATTATGTTTTTAAAGTGCTGAAAGAAAAAAATGATCAACCCAGAATTACATACTCAACAAAAACATTCTTCAAAAATGAAAGTGAAAAAAAAAATCAGACAAAGAATTCATTGCTAGCAGACCAATTCTAAAAGAATAACTATAGGAAATTCTTCAGACAGAAGGAAATGATACCAGAATTGAACTTGGAACATCAAAAATGAAAGAAGAGCATCAGAAATAATAAATATGTTGATAAACATAAAGATGAGTCTTCTCTTTCTGAGTTCTTTAAAGTATATTTGACAGTCAAAAGCAAAAATTGCCATACTGTCTGATGGCATTTTCAATATATGTGGATACAATATATGACAACTGCAGCACAAAGGGCTATGGGAAAGGGACCTGTATGGTAGTAATGTTCCTACATTCAAATTGAAGTGGTAAAATACTGATGCTATGTATACTGTGAAATGTTGCTATCTATTTGTAATCCCTAAAACAACCACTGTAAAATGTATAGTAAATGCTGTGGTCACTTCCCACCTCATTTCCTGAGGCCATCATCACCATGATACCAAAACCAGACAAAGACAATTGAAAAAAGAAAACTACAGACCAATATTCCTCATGAACATAGACACAAAAATTCACAACAAAATACTAGCAAATTGAGTCTAGCCACGATCAGGTAGTTTATCCCAGGAATAAAAGGCTAGGTCAATATTTGAAAACAATCAATGTAATCCACCATATTAATGATTTAAAGGAAAAAACCCTATATGTTTCTAGCAATTGGTGCAGAAAAAGCATTTGATGAAATTCAACATCATGATGATAAAAATACATTTTATAAAAGTCTCTCAGCAAACTAAGAACAGAAGAGAACCTCCTTAATCTGACAAATGGCATTTACATAAAATCTATAGCTAACATGGTGAAAGACAGACTGCTTTCTCCCTAAAACTGGGAACAAGGAAGGATGGCCACTCTCACCACTTCAACAGTGTACTGGAAGTCTTAGGCCATGCAATAAGGCAAGGAAAAAAAGTCTTCTGTCTTGGAGAGAAATACATAAATACATAAAACCATTCCTATTTATAGATGATTATCTATGTAGAAAATCACATAAAATCTTTAAAAAACAAAATGAAACAAATGAAAACGTCCTAGAATTAATAAGTGAATTTAACAAGGCTACAGAGTACAAAGTCAACAAAAATTAATCTTATTTCTATATACCATCAGTGTGTAATTGAACATTGGAATTTTTAAAATAATACCATTCTCACAGAGCTCCAACAAAAATGAAATACTTAGGTATAAATCTCGTAAAATACGTATGGGATCTATATGCAGAAAACTACAAAGTGCTGATGAAAGAAATCAAAGATCACTTAAATAAATGGGAGGATATACCATATTCATGTATTGGAAGACTCAACGTGGCACAGATGTCAGTTCTCCCCAAGTTTATCTGTAGATTTAACACAATACCAATCAAAATCCCAGCAGGATATTTTGTAGATATAGGTCAACTGTTGTTGTTGTTGTTGTTGTTGTTGTTGTTGTTGTTGTTGTTGCTGCGCTGCTGTTGTTATAGACGAAGTCTCCCTATGTTTCCCAGGCTGGTCTCAAACTCCTGAGCTCAAGCAATCCTCCTACCTCAGTCTCCCGAAGCACTGGGATTGTAGGCATGAGCCACTGTGCCCAGCTATGTCAACTTATTTTGAAAATTAAATGGAAAGGCCAAGGAACTAGACTATGTAAAACAATTTTGAAAAAGAAGAATAACATTAGAGGAATCACACTATCCAGTTTTAAGGCTTACTGTGAAGCTACAGTAATGAAGACAGTGTGGTCTTGGTGAAGGGTCCAACACATACATAAATGGAACAGAATAAAGAGTCCGGGAGTAGATCTACCCAAATAGAGATAATTGATTTCTTTCCCCAAAGGTGCAAAACTAATTCAACGACGAATGGATCATCTTTTCAACTAATGGTGTTAGGACAGTTTGACATTCTTATGCAAAAAATGATCTCAACACATACAAAAATTAACTAAAAATGGATCATAGATCTAAACATAAAACACAAAACTATAAAATGTTTGGAAGAAAACATAAGAGAAAATCTTCACAACTTGGGAATAGACAAAGGATTCTTCAATGCAACACCAAAAGCATAATCATGTCAATCATATATCTGACAAAAGACTTTTATACAAAATATCTAAAGAACTCTAAAACCCATAATATGGAAAAAATGGCCCAATAAAAAAATGAGCTAAGGATTAGACTAGACACACCAGAGAGGACATAAGGTTGTTAAATATGTACATAAAAAGATGCTCAACATCATTAGCTATCAGTGAAATGAAAATTAAAACCAGAATGAGATATATCTACACACCGAATACAAGAGCTAAAAATAAAAAAAATTAAAAATAACAATAGCCAAGAAGGATGCTGAGCAACTGGAATTTGCATACACTGCTAGTAGGAATAAAAAATTGTACAGCCACTCTGAAAAATGGTTGGGCAGTTGCTTATAAAGTTAAACATACATTTACCCTATGAATCAGCAATCTCGGCTATTTAACTCCTAGGTATTTATCCTACAGAAATGAAAACATGTTCACACAAAACCTGTACATGAATGTTTATAGCAGCTCTTTTCATACTTGCCAAATAATGGAAACAACCCAAATGTCCTTCAACAGGTGCTGTGGCACATCCATATTAGAAATATATCTTTGCCAGGCTTGGTGGCTCATGCCTGTAATCCCAGCACTTTGGGAGGCTAAGGCAGGTGGATCACCTGAGGTCAGGAGTTCGAGGCCAGCCTGGCCAACATGGCAAAACCCCGTCTCTACTAAAAATACAAAAATTAGTCAGGCATGGTGGCGGGCGCCTGTGATCCCAGCTACTTGGGAGGCTGAGGCAGGAGAATCGCTTGAACCTGGGAGACAGAGGTTGCAGTGAGCGGAAATTGCGCCACTGTACTCTAGTCTGGGCAACAGAGCAAGACTCCGTCTCAAAAAAAAAAGAAAAGAAAAGAAAAGAAATCTTTAAGAGAGCATCAACCTTAATTAAAGGGAAAGCCAAGTGAATTACTTGGATCTGGAATGCTTCTGTATTCTGTAATGTGCTGAAAAATATTTTTCACTCTGTGCTGAAAGGAAAGCTGGATTAAGACTTAGAAAGCTACACAAATAACTTCTTTGCTGATTAATCATATCTCACTATGAGCTCTATCATGCATGATGGATTCTCTTGTGTTTTTATGCCATTCAATGTGTAAATAGATGTGGGGCTCTTGTCAAATTGATTCCTAGATAGCCTTTCTCTGTCTGAAATGGAAACCACTCTTTGTGTGGGTGTCAAGGTTTGTGAAACATGTTTTAAATAATTATGGGAAGTCACCAACCATGGTTAACAAAGGAGATAGATCCTCATTTATTTGTCCTTTATGTTAATCATTTCAGATGTAAGTGAACTTAAACTCATTTTTATCTTTCTTCTTTCATACGTACTATAAAACTCAATGCAACTTCCCATCGTTTGGCATAGCTGTTTAAAATTTGCTGTATCCACGTTGTAGCTGTTCACAAGCTCCAAACAAGCAACTGACAATTTCTCTGAACCCAGGGCACATCATTAAGCATTGTTTCTTCCACAGCTTCAATGAAGGGAGCAGCAGTAGGGATGGGAGATTTGAGACACCAAAAAAGGAGCTTGGTAACTGATTCAATGCAGAGGGGAGGGGAGAGGAGAGAAGTGAGGGGAGGGAGTTAGTATAAGGGAGACCAAAGAATCCAATGACTTTGAGGTTTGTTTTTCATATATGAGTGGCTGAGAGTGCTGTTATCTGAATTAGGTAATAAAGGGGAAAATAGGTAAAACTATAAAAGATTTGAAAGGAAAGATATTCATCTTCATTTCACCAGTGTATTTATTTAGAAAAGTTTGCACAGCGGCAATATCTCTTACTGTATGTTTGTAAAGGAACTCAAGTTTGACTAGGGCAATGTGGGGTTTTTTTTGATACAAAAGGAATAATCAGGGTAATAGAACTGAACGGAGTAGGGAGCCTTTATTTATTTATTTATTTATTTATTTATTTATTTTTTGAGATGGAGTCTCGCTCTGTCATCCAGGCTGGAGTGCAGTGGTGCGATCTCGGCTCACTGCAACCTCCGCCTCCTGGGTGCAAGCAATTCTCGTGCCTCAGCCTCCCAAGTAGCTGGGATTACCGGCACACACCACTGTGCCCAGCTAAGTTTTGTGTTTTCAGTAGAGACAGGGTTTCACCATATTGGCCAGGCTGGTCTTGAACTCCTGGCCTCAGGTGATCCACCCGCCTTGGCCTCCCAAAGTGCTGGGATTACAGGTGTGAGCCACTGCGTGCGGCCAGGAGCCATTATTTTTAATGAAGAACACCAAGTCTTACTCAGAAGTAATGGAAAGTTAATAGTGAAAAATTCTTCTGTTGGTCTCTGAAATGCAAGAGGAGAGAGAACCCTTAGAACCTACAGTGCCTGTGATACAGAGGCTTTAAAAAAAGGAAGCCAGGACTTCTCATGCATGGTGAATTTGGTCCTCCCTGGTGGCAAACGTCCAGGAAGCCAGACCCTTCCTGCTCAAATGATGTGGTTTCCTATAGTACATATAAATAGTTCTCACCCCAAGAAAAGAGTTAAGAATAGAAGCCAAGGAACCACACATACAAACACAGACACATCAGAGCACAGTTGTCAATGTGGTCAACAGAAGAGTGGCATTAGCAAAAAAAAAACTCTGGGAGGTGGGGCAAGGTAGCCACAGAAGCAGCAGGGTGGGGGTGGAGTTCAGGAGATGCAGTCAAGCACAGAGCTGACTTAGCGATGCAAACAGTGGCAGGCAATCTGCTCAGAAGACAAAAGAGCGGGGTGGCTGACCACCGTGAAATGGATGGATAAGAGGAGAGCCAGCAGTACGAGTGAGGACATGTATAAGGATGTGCAGAGAAGGTAGCAAAGACCTTCGTAGGTCATACAGACTGCAATGCAAGCCAAGTCTCCCTATGTTTTTAAGAAAGCTGGGAGAAAATAAAAGAATAATGGAATCAGACCTAAGTGTTTGCCATCACACAGGGATGAACCAGCCAGAACACAGTAGCCAGGACTCCTAGCTCCATCCTGGGGACAAATTCAACTTTTAGAAAGCAATCCTCAATCCTGGGCATACCTTGCCTCTTAGAGTTAAATTCCTATTGAAATAATTCATACTGTATGTAGTAAAATATAAAACAAAGTCTGTACCAGTGGATTTTAGGCCAGGCAACATTATGGTTTCATAGGCTGTTGCCCGATCTTCTAAGAACTGAAAAAAAAAAAACTAATAGCAGGCATTTATAATCTCCCATGCTCTTTTTTGTGTGTAACCTTAAGGAAATACTAATTATTAAATATAAAGAATAATTTAAAGTTTTTGGTATTCTTCAGACAATTAAATCACCTACTATCCTTTAAGCAAACTATCTGATAATCTGAACTTAATTATTAACAGTTTATTTTCTGAATCCCTTGAACCTCAATAAGGATTTTAATTTTATTTATTTTGTTATAACCATTCACTGCTGACAGCCATAGTCAAAGCTCTAAAAACTAAGCACTAGTAGCTTCTGTTATTACTACAGGCAGCATGATGTACCAGCTAAGAGACAGGCACCGGAGTGAGTGCTGGAGCTAGGCTGCGTGTGCTCAAATTCCTGCTCCACTGCTTCCTACCTTTGGGGAAATTACTTATACGCTCCATGACTTAATTTCCTCACCTGTAAAATGGAGATGATAATAATAGACCTACTTCCAAGGACTGTTCTGAAGATTAAATAAGCCTAGGATTGAACCTCAGTAAGTACCTGTTAGTGAGAACATTATGCTCTTAGAACAATGACTGAGCAGTAAGTACTATATGCATTAACTATTTATTTCCATTATTTTCTGGTGGCTCCTCATGGTAATTCGAGTAGTCATGTTAGGGGATTGTGAAGCTTGTAAATATACTCAAACAGTTCCATATGTATTAAAATTCTGAAAAATCACATAGCAATGACATTATCTTTTGATTTTTAATATCCACTTAATCTCAGTTTAATAAATCTATCCCTTTATATTCACCAGAGTTGAAAATATGTCAATGAGGTTGGAAGAAATCAATGAAAGAGAAACTTTTATGAAAACTTCCCTGCAGACTGTTGACCTTCGACTTGCTCAGCTAGAAGAATTATCTAACAGAATGGTGAATGCTCTTGAAAATCTTGCGGGAATCGACAGGTCTGACCTGATCCAGGCACGGTCCCGGGCTTCTTCTGAATGTGAGGCAACGTATCTTCTCCGGCAAAGCAGCATCAATAGCGCTGATGGCTACAGCTTGTATCGATATCATTTTAACGGAGAAGAGTTATTATTTGAGGATACATCTCTCTCCACGTCACCAGGGACAGGAGTCAGGAAAAAAACCTGTTCCTTCCGTATAAAGGAAGAGAAGGACGTGAAAACGCACCTAGTCCCAGAATGTCAGAACAGTCTTCACCTTTCACTGGGCACAAGCACATCAGCAACCCCAGATGGCAGTCACCTTGCAGTAGATGACTTAAAGAACGCTGAAGAGTCAAAATTAGGTCCAGATATTGGGATTTCAAAGGAAGATGATGAAAGACAGACAGACTCTAAAAAAGAAGAAACTATTTCCCCAAGTTTAAATAAAACAGATGTGATACATGGACAGGACAAATCAGATGTTCAAAACACTCAGCTAACAGTGGAAACGACAAATATAGAAGGCACTATTTCCTATCCCCTGGAAGAAACCAAAATTACACGCTATTTCCCCGATGAAACGATCAATGCTTGTAAAACAATGAAGTCCAGAAGCTTCGTCTATTCCCGGGGAAGAAAGCTGGTCGGTGGGGTTAACCAGGATGTAGAGTACAGTTCAATCACGGACCAGCAATTGACGACGGAATGGCAATGCCAAGTTCAAAAGATCACGCGCTCTCATAGCACAGATATTCCTTACATTGTGTCGGAAGCTGCAGTGCAAGCTGAGCATAAAGAGCAGTTTGCAGATATGCAAGATGAACACCATGTCGCTGAAGCAATTCCTCGAATCCCTCGCTTGTCCCTAACCATTACTGACAGAAATGGGATGGAAAACTTACTGTCTGTGAAGCCAGATCAAACTTTGGGATTCCCATCTCTCAGGTCAAAAAGTTTACATGGACATCCTAGGAATGTGAAATCCATTCAGGGAAAGTTAGACAGATCTGGACATGCCAGTAGTGTAAGCAGCTTAGTAATTGTGTCTGGAATGACAGCAGAAGAAAAAAAGGTTAAGAAAGAGAAAGCTTCCACAGAAACTGAATGCTAGTCTGTTTTGTTTCTTTAATTTTTTTTTTTAACAGTCAGAACCACTAATGGGTGTCATCTTGGCCATCTAAACATCATCAATTTCTAAAAACATTTTCCTTAAAAAATTTTGGAAATTCAGACTTGATTTACAATTTAATGCACTAAAAGTAGTATTTTGTTAGCATATGTTAGTAGGCTTAGTTTTTTCAGTTGCAGTAGTATCAAATGAAAGTGATGATACTGTAACGAAGATAAATTGGCTAATCAGTATACAAGATTATACAATCTCTTTATTACTGAGGGCCACCAAATAGCCTAGGAAGTGCCCTCGAGCACTGAAGTCACCATTAGGTCACTTAAGAAGTAAGCAACTAGCTGGGCACAGTGGCTCATGCCTGTAATCCTAGCACTTTGGGAGGCCAAGGCAGAAAGATAGCTTGAGTCCAGGAGTTTGAGACCAGCCTGGGCAACATAGTGATACCCCATCTCTTAAAAAAAAAAAAAAAAGTAAGCAACTGTGTAAGAAAGAGAAACTAAAGAGAAAGCAAACATGAAAAAAGGGAGGGGTGGAAAGAAGAAAAATAAAATTGTGAGGCACAATAAGTGGGAAGGAGCCACAAATATGTTTTTATGGGGTCTTTGTTTTCTGTTTTAATGTTTTATTTTAAACTACACAATGGGAAAAAAAGTACACAATTATATCAAACATCATACTCTAATAATTTAGGGTGACCTAGAGTTTTGTTAATGTGCAAAAATAAAGTATCCAATATGCATTTTCTTCTTGTCATAGAGTCCTTAATAGCAAATACAAATTAGTTGTACCTGTCTATGCAATGCTTTGTACAAAGCTGTAGCTAAAACCTAAAGGATATATGTTCACAAGTCACAGAGACTGCTCTTAGCTGAGAATACCAGGTGTTGTGCTTCACCTCAAAGTTCAAACAAATACCCACAAGAGTAATAGGACCCCCATGCGAGGCTTCCAAGAGGGGCCTCTGTCTAGGAACCCTGAAGGCCACCCCACCATCACCACTCTTAACTATACAAAAAGAAACAGAGGTGGCAGAAAGGGGTCTTCTCCGGCTAGAGCAGAAGTTAGAGTTAGACTCTAGCCCCTCACCATCCCCCAAGAGAACCTCAGGGTACTCAGATCTCAGGAGGTCTCTGATGCACAGAGAGAGGGCCAGCCTCGAGTTACTGGCAGCTGATACATCATGAAGCAAAGTGCCTCATACCCAGAAAGGATCACTGGGTAGAGTAACCAGGAATTGGTGGTGGTAGGGTTGGGAGATGTGTCAGACAGAAATGGGTGATGATCACAAAAAATGAGACCGCCATCCCCATTCTCATCTGAGGTGTAGATTGTAGCACTGCCAGAAACTGGCAAAGGAGTACAGAAAGAGACAGAAAGACAGAAACACACAGAGGGAGACCCAGAAACAGATAGAGGAAGATTGTAGCCTGTTCTACAACAGAGGCTCATTGCAGTTATGCCAAAGGTAGTGATCAGAGGTGACAATACCAAAATGTGATTTTGCATCTTTTTCCTCAAAATACGACTGAGATTGTAATAGTCAGATTAGAACTCTTGAACTGGGCTGAATTTATCAAAAAAGACTGATATACCATTGCCTGGGTTGTGGGGTAGGGCTTTAATATTTCAAAAGTGATAACATTTATTTAACATAAACTATTACTTATTTGCATATTGCTATATTAAGACTATTTAATCTATCCTGCCACATGTGTTTATTTGACTCAATACTTAACCTATTACATTTTATCTCACTCCTAAGTCTTTCCTTTGAGTGTCAAAAAACTTTCGGCCTTTTACCATATCCTAGAAAAGAGATTTCTCAGAATAAGCTGGGGAATCTATAACACCTCAGCAGAGCTGGTCTGCAGAAGATAAAGCCTGTCTTTGGAATTCTCCCCATATCTTCATTACACAGTCTCCCTTTACCAAGGTCCATCCCACCGTGCCTCAGGTGTGGGACTCAAGTTCCATTTCCTTAAGTCTCACTAAGATCTGTGACTCCTGTCTTATGCCAAGGTGTCAGCTGATGTAGGATTTTCTAAGCATGTTTGTCTTACGGATCCAAATGGATGAATTCTAACAGTGTGATTTCAGAACCTGTGACTGGGCTGACTATTCTTGAGACCTTTCTTGTATACCTTAAATCATACCATATAGTTGATTAGTACTTTACCAACCCAGCACAACTCAAATATTGACAGTGTTCTATGTAGGACACAATGCCAGACCGCTTGGTATTACATTATTAATGATTACATTATTATTCCCAATGTCATTACAATTTTGTCTAAATATGGACAACCAAATATTGAGAACTAATACCCAATCTAATCAAATCTAGCAGTATTTAATACATTAAAATAAGAATACTGCATATGGTCAAATCATTTAATATAGAACTATCAGTAAATGAATAAGAATTACATTTCTGTGCTATGTAAAACATAGTAACATAAGAAGGCTTTTATTATTTTATCCCCAAAACTCTGGCATACTCATAAATGAGTTCTAATATATTATTTGGTATAAATTAAGCTTGTTTTGGACTTTGATCAATGGCAATCAAGACTTGAACTATCAAAGGACCTCATAATATGTGGCTCTCTCCTTTAAGGCTGTTTGACTGCTTACATTCTGAATACATATATATGCTTCATCATCATGAGGTTCCTATAGTCTTCCATAGTTTAGGTTTTAAAATCTAAAAATCAAACTGTCAATGTTGTCATATAGTTATTCAACACCAAAAATGCATTTTTGCTAAATATATATTAGAAATAAAGTGAAATGAAATCATCTTACTACCTCCTACACACAAAAAAAGACTTTTAAAGGTTTTATCTTAAGATAAAAATGCAGAAAATCACACAAAATAAATAACTGACTTAATTAATTATTGTAAGCTGAATATCCTTGTAACCACCACTCAGATTAATAGAGTTTTCCAGCTACTCCAAAAGTCTCAGAAGTCCCTATCTCAACCACCTCTGTTCCCTGAAAAGTAACTATATTTTTATAGTAATCCTTTCCTTGCTGTTCCAGTTACTATCACTGTATTATTAATACAAGTGACTCCAAAACTGGGTGGCTTAAAATACCCATTTGATTATGCTCATGGATTCCGTGGGTCAGAAATTCAGACAGGCGCAGCAGGAATGCCCCTGATTTGCAGTGTTTGCCGATTTCCATGGTGTAAGTACTCCTACCATGGCCAACTTCAAGCTACGGCATCACTGAATATGGAGTTAGGAAGACATACTGACAATTGGTTCTTGCAAGCCAGTACAGGCTGGCTATAGCACACTACTGTCTACTCCATGATATTTGGGGCCTCAGCTGGGAAGACTCACTGTCTAGAGGGAATTCAACAGCTGGAGGCTGGGATTATCTAGATATGTCTTTATTCACATGTCTGAAAATGGATAATGGCTCTCAACTGGGATCTCAATCTCAGTATAGAGCACATACACATGCCTCTCCAAGCAGCCTGGGCTTCCTCACAGCATGGCAGCCGCAGAGAAACTGGATTTCCTATATGATGGTTCAGGGCTCCAGACGTGAGTGTCCCATTGAGCAAGGAGGAAATATCCCTTTTTATGGCCAATCCTCAGAAGTCTTGCAGAGTCACTAAGGCCAGCTCGGATTCGAGGGTAGGGGTCATATAGAGGGGAATGTTTAAAAAATTTGCAGATATGTTTTTTGTTTTTTTTTTGAGACGGAGTCTCGTTTTGTCGCCCAGGCTGGAGTGCTGTGGCGCGATCTCCGCTGGCTGCAAGCTCCGCCTTCCGGGTTCACACCATTCTCCTGCCTCAGCCTCCCGAGTAGCTGGGACTACAGGCGCCCGCCACTGCGCCTGGCTAATTTTTTGTATTTTTAGTGGAGACGGGGTTTCATTTCACCGTGGTCTCGATCTCCTGACCTCGTGATCCACCCGCCTCGGCCTCCCAAAGTGCTGGGATTAGAGGCGTGAGCCACCGCGCCCGGCCTGCAGATATGTTTTAAAATCACTATACTTGTATTTCATTATAGTTGTATCACTTGAATGTTCCTTAGCACTATAGTTTAGCCTTACTCTTTTTTATTTGAAGGTCTTTTAAATCTCTTTTAATCTGGTATTACCTTTCTCTCTTTCTCTTCCTTAACAATTTCTTTGTTGAAGAACATGGGCCACTTGTCTTGCAAAGTTTCCCACAGTCTAAACTTTACTTATTGAACGCTCATAGGCAGTTTGACATATTCTGCTGTTTCTGCAGGTTGGCAAGAGGAGTCAGAGGCTTATTCAGGCTTAGGTCTGATCCCTTTGGCAAGACTCCTTAGATGGTGTAGCTTCTTTCTAAGACACAAGGAGGCACATGTGTCTACTTGTCTCTCTTTTTGTGATGTCAGCAACTGTTGATACTCAATGCCTAGATCACTTAATTTATAGAGGGTTGAAAATTGTAATACTCAAATTCTATTATTTATAAAGAGATTATTCTTTTCACCTACTACTTGATTACACAGTGGTATAGTTCATACTACACAGCAGAAATAATGACTGATTGATTTTTCCCAGTTGCCAGTTTTAAAAATAATGAATTGGTTCTCTACCATCCTCCAAAGGATGAAGGTGGTCTACAGGCCAGGCAGAGAGCCCTCACCAGAACCTTTACCTTGCTGGTATCTTGGTCTTACACTTCCCAGCCTCTGGAACTGTGAGAAAGAAATTTCTGTTCTTTAAGCCAGAGTCTGTGTACTTTGTTATAGCAGCATGAGCACACTAATACAACTAGACATCTGGAAAATGTGACATTTCAGTCAATAACAAATCTGGAAATCAGAGTTTTTCCAGGTGACTGATAGTTTAGTTTATTTAAACACCATTATGACTTCATGGATTTAAATATATGTGATGTATTTTAATCCATTGTAATTTTTTGGTTTTTGGGTTTTTCTTTTTTTTTTTTTTGAGCCACAGTCTCACTCTGTTGCCCAGGCTGGAGTGCAATGTCGTGATCTCAGCTCACTCCAACCTCTGCCTCCCAGGTTCGAGTGATTCTCTTGTCTCGGCCTCCAAAGTAGCTGGGATTACAGGCATGTGCCACCACGCCTGGCTAAATTTTTGTATTTTTAGTAGAGACGGGGTTTCTCCATTTTGGCCAGGCTGGTCTCGAACTCCTGACCTCAGATGATCCACCCACCTCGGCCTCCCAAAGTGCTGGGATTACAGGCTTGAGCGCTCGGCCATAATTATTATTCTCTCACATTTTCTTTCCATGAGTACCTTAAATATGTTACTCCATTTTCTTCTGGCATAATGCATTGCTGCCAAAACGTCTGGTAATATCTAATTTCCTTTCATCTGAAAGTCACTTGCTTTTTTTGTCTAAATATCCAAAGAAATTTTCATTGTTGTTTCTTCAAGGCCCAGTAGGTTTAGAAGAATGTGTCTTAGTGCTGGTAAGCCCAGATCAATGTTCTCAGGTGCAATGTGTTCTTTCAATATGCAGTTTCAAATATTTTCTTTTAATTTCAGGTAAGTTTTCTTAAACTACAGTTTGTAGTATTTGTTCTGTTTCCTTATCTCCTCCCTCTTTTTGTTTCCCCCAGGAACTCCTATTATCTATTTGTTAGTTCTCCTTTGCCTGTTTTCAATATCTAGACTTTCTTTCTAATCTGTTTAACTTCCTTCATTGATTTTTGATTTTTTAGAATTTTTCTCCTTTTCATCTTCTCTTAAAGAATAATCAATTGTGTTTATTCATCCTTGGGTTTCTTTTATTCTTAATTTCAGATTCTGATTTCTGATTCTATTTTGAATTTATTCATTTCATTTTGAATGTTTCTAGTTCTGATTTACATAGTTCTTTTCATGTTTCATATCATTTTCTTAGTATCTTTTGGCTCATTGTGAAATAGTGGATGTTAGTTTTTATCTGTTTTGTGGGCATCCTTTCTGGTATGCTTTTATTGTGGATATGAGTGCTATTCTGTTCTTATTGTCTTTCATTACAATAATTTTCTATGTGATTTGACTTCCATACTTTCATGTGATTATTTTTATGTGAAATTGGTTTTCTTGAACTTTTTGAAGGAGGCAGTTTTAAGGATAGTTTTTCTTTTTTCTTTTTTTTTTTTTCTTTTTTTTTTTTTTGTGGTGGAGTCTTGCTCTGTCGCCCAGGCTGGAGTGCAGTGGCACTATCTCGGCTCACTGTAAGCTCCGCCTCCCGGGTTCACGCCATTCTCCTGCCTCAGCCTCCCGAGTAGCTGGGACTACAGGCGCCCACCACCATGCCTGGCTAATTTTTTGTATTTTTAGTAGAGATGGGGATTCACCGTGTTAGCCAGGATGGTCTTGATCTCCTGACTTCGTGATCAGCCTGCCTCGGCCTCCCAAAGTGCTGGGATTACAGGCGTGAGCCACCGTGCCCAGCCTAGTTTTTCTAACTTCATAGAGAACTTCCGTTTTTACTGCTTAGTGTTGTGGGTTTCGTTCTTTTTTATTTGAAAAGTTGGCTTACTTTTGGAGATTTCCTAGTTTTCCATTTTTACCTAGAACTTCTTTTTCCTTTCTCTCTATTGTCTCTATTTAGCTCAATTTTGTTTCCATGCCCAACAGTTTGCCAGCAGTGTAGGTCTCTTTCCTGCAAGGAAGCCTAGTAGATTAGTTTCAAGAGTTCCTGCAGCTACATTACTCCAGCCCCTCCAGACTTTACCAGGAGGCTCGTGCATTCTCACGTTTTTAGAGAAGGCAAATACCCTTTCCTGTTTCTGCTGCTGTTCTCAACTTGACTGGCTGGACCTTCCAGGGAACACTTTGCAGCTATTTTGGGGTTCTCCAGATGCCTCATTGATTCTCTATGCTGATACCACAAGGGTCTTATTACTTATTATTGCCATATTATTGCTATTGGTTTGTTCCCACGCATTTATATTTTTGAGATCAAGGGGATACCATTTCATTTGGATTTGTTATAGATGTTGTCCTTGGGTTTTGGTTTTGCCATATAGTTGCTTTGTCTGTTTTTATGCAGAGATTGAAAAAGTATGCTGCTGTTGTCATCTTTCCACAATTCTCCCTCAAGAAACAGATGTCTTAAATTACTTAGTAGTCATCTTAAAAGACCACATACTCAAGCCATGGCCTCGTTTTGCAAACATTATGTATAACCACTTCTAACTACTTCCCCTGCTACCACCATCACCTTCTCTTATCTGGACTGTTATAACAGGCCCCAACTGGTCTTCCAAAGGCCACCCTGCTGCACACTACAGCAGTCAAAATGATTATTTTAAAACACAAGTCAGATCATAGCACTCTTACCTCAAAACCTTATAAAATCTTCTCAATTTTTGGGGCCTCTGTGATCTGGCCTGTGTTTCCCTCTGCCCTCCTCCCTGACTGCATTAGGCTGCTTTAGCCACACTGGCCTCAAACACCCCTCGAAGGCGCTCACCTCAAGGCATTTGCACAGCTAATCTTCTCTGTCCCAAATGCTTTTCCTCCTCATGTGTACTTGGCCTTTTCCCTTACTCCTTTTGTCTCTGCTCAAATGTCCTATACTCAGAAAGTCCTTCCCTGACCATATCCAACTCCCCACTGAAAAATGGAACCACCTTTCTCTCACTATGTTTTATTTTTCTTCACAGCACTCATTACCACCTGACATGCTATATATTAATTTTTTATCTTTCTACCGAGAATGAAAATGCCATGAAAGTAGAAACTTTGTCTTAGTGTCCGGAATAGTGCTTGGCACAATGTTAGTACTCAATACAAATTCATGAGTTCACTGAATGAGTGCTGAATGAATATATAAAGTTCCTAGCACCTGATCAGTATTCAAGAAATGTTAGCTTTATTTTTTCTTGATAGGGAAAAGGAAGTGATCTTTAGAGAATGCTACCATTCCCAATGATAGAAGATCCAATAATGGAAACAGAGGTGTAGTCAGAAAAATGGGTGATGGGAGGCCGAGTCCAGCAGTTCACCTGAGGTAAGGAGTTTGAGACCAGCCTGGCCAACATGGTGAAACCCCGTCTCTACTAAAAAAACGCAAAAATTAGCCAGGCGTGGTGGTGGACACCTGTAATCGCAGCTACTTGGGAGGCTGAGGCAGGAGACTCACTTGAACCCGGGAGGCGGAGGTTGCAATGAGCCGTGATTGCGCCACTGCAGTCCAGCCTGGGTGACAGAGCAAGACTCCGCCTCAAAAAAACCAAAACAAAACAAACAACAAACAAAAACAGAAAAATGGGTGAAGCAGGACAAAACAGTGACATTAGAGCCAAAAGCAGGGGGTAGGCAATAACACCAAACATACAGCGTAGTCAAGGGCATCAGGGTCTGAGAAGAGGTTATAAAACTAGTTCTACGGACTGAATTGTGTTCCTCCAAAATGCTAATGTTGAAACCCTAACCCCTGGTATGGCTACATTTGGAGATTTTAGGAGGTAATTAAAGTTAAATAAGGTAGTAAGAGTGGGGCTCTAATCTGATAGGATTAGCGTCCTTACAAGAAGAGACATCAAGAGATCCCAGAGAGCATGTTATATACCCTCCCCGCACTGTGTGAGGACATGGTGAGATGGCAGCCATCTGCAAATCCGGCAGAGAGCCCTCACCTGTCTGCCTGCCACAAGTTAGGCAGATCCCTACCTTGCCAACACCTGGATCTTGGACTTCCTATACTCCAGAATTGTGAGAAATTAATGTCTGCTCTTTAAGCCATCAACCTGTGGTATTTTGTTATGGCAGCCTGAGCAGACTAATACAACCAGATATCTGGGAAATGCCATAAAATTTAGTGTTAAGACAATAATAAATCTGGAAATAGAGTTTTTCCACTTTTCAGTTGTATGGTCACATATTAGAATTGCAGATCCTAAGAAAACCTGTACAGAAAAACCCAAATCACAGAGTCATTTAAGTGTAAAGAAAAAGCCAATTATTGCTTAAAGAGTATTTGTAGAAAATATCCGTTGAATATAGAGGAATAACAGCATATTCATAAAAATTTTTTAAAAAGTGTGCACGACAGTGATTTTAACACTTCTAATCCAATGGAACTAACATTTTAAAGTACAATTATGGCCAGGCACGGTGCCTCATGCCCATAGTCCCGGCTACTTGAGAGGCTAAGGCACGTGGATCACTTGAGCCCAGGAGGTGGAGGCAGCAGTGAGCCCTGATCATGCCACTGCACTTCAGCCCAGGTGATGGTGTGAGACCCTGACTCTAAAAAATACAATTATGGTTACGGTTCTTGGGCAGAGTGGAATTCAAACAGGTTAACCTGAAAGATCAGTAGGGTTCTAAATCCAGGATAAATTATTTTCAGAAAAAGAATAACTTTTTGAATCTTTATTTAAATTGTTAAATGTTCCTGTGAGTAACACTCATCAGCGTGATTGTGACTGGTATGGCTGCATGGAAGCTTCCCTGTGGCATTAATCATAAAATGCTGGATTGGGGTTTGATTCTTCAAGGTATAAGAAGGACCTAGTCTCAAGTAATAGATTCACCAAAATGTAACACCACTAGCCCCCTCCCACCAAAATCTGCTCCAGTCAGAATTACCGTAAGAGCTCAGAAGTGACCTGTGCTTGGCGGCACCGGCCCACTTTCCCAGTGCCGGTTCCTCGCATCCTGGGCGCAGACGGGGTGACCGCCTGACCCCTGGACCCGAGTCACCTTTCCCTGCCCTGAGCTCCTCCTTGAGAGCTTCAAAACAATGCTCGCCCAGGCCGGAGGGCGAAGTCGGCCCATGTGTAAGTCAAGGGAACTGTCCCAGGACTGCAGCCCGGCCAGAAGACGCCCCGCGCCGCCGTCCCAGGCAGCCACCGCTGCCGCCGTGGCCCCCGCAGGCCGCCGTAGGCCCCCGCGGGCCGCCTGACCCCTGCGGGCCGCCGTAGAAGGACCCTCCAGAGGCCGCGCTCTTGAGATGGCCGTCGGGCTCCGCTCCCCGCGGCGCCCCGGCTGAGGGCCCGCCAGCGGGCACCTGGCGCCACCGCTGCGTTCCGGCACTAGCACGGGACACGGTCAGGGAGCGGCGGGCCGCGGCCTTGCGCGCGCCGTCTCTCGGGGCGGGGCACCGGGCCCCTTCCGGGGATGGGCCCCGGCGCCCGCGTCGGCCTGGCTGTGCCCGGCCCCTCCCCGCTCGGGCGGGCGCTGCGCCGTATCCCCGCCCGTCAGTCCGCCCGGCTCGGCTGGCCGCAGAAAGGGCCTGGGCGGCCGCACTGAGAGCTTTACGCCCGGAGGCGTCGGCGCTGCCACTGGCCCGCGACGGGAACGGGGCGAAAAGGCGGCGGCACCATGTTCTCCCTCAAGCCGCCCAAACCCACCTTCAGGTCCTACCTCCTGCCACCGCCCCAGGTAAACAACCCCTCCCCGCGAGCGCCCGACTCTCCTCTGCGCTTCCGTGGAGCCTCCAGGCCGACCCCCGGGAACTGGAGGACCCCAGGAGGCTGCGCGCGTCTCCCTGCCCACAGCAGCGCGGCTGCCTGATTCCCGGCGCCGCGAAATGCGCCTTCTCGGGAGCCCCCACTGGCTCGGCGAAAACTTGTAAAACTCTTCTGCAGCCATTCTCTGCCCGAAGTTCTGTCGTCCGTAGTTTTGCGGAGTGTTGAGGCCCAGGGGAGCCTTGGGAGCTGGGGTTTTCTTTAGTTTCCAACCCATCGACCCTCCCTCGTATGACCGCCAGCATGATTGCAGCGCTTGGGGTCACTGGTCGAGGCGGTTACCCGTCTGTCATAAATGTGAACACCTGGAAGCGACACTGGCAGTTTAAACATTTTTTATTATTAGGCTTCCAAGTCGATAATGAGCAGATCTTAAAAACAGCTCAGTTAATATGCGAAAGAATTTAAATGGGGGGCTGTGTGTCTTTCGCATGTGTCATCACTTAGAAAACAACATTTGCTGTAGCATTTTACGGAGGGTGGGGGGATTGAGATTTTGATTTATTTTGCTAATGTATTTCAGACTGACGATAAGATCAATTCGGAACCGAAGATTAAAAAACTGGAGCCAGTCCTTTTGCCAGGTAAACATTAGTTAGGATTCTAACAGATACTTTAGCAACGTATTTTGGTTTAAGATTATTCTGCCGACTAGTATCATGTGGTTAACTTCCCTTCTCTCATTAAACTTTCTCCAGTTAAAAGTCTAGTGACTGAGAGGAGAAAAAGGAACTGTCAAGAATGTCATTACCTCATTTCCTTTTTTGTCTCCCGAATTTCTTTTTGAAAAGATGTATATGTTTAATTGCTTGGGTAGTAAAAGTACTCTTTGCTGACGTGTTTGCCACTTATTGCATTAATGATTAATCATTTTAATGCATTTTGATAGTATAAAAAGACGCCTTTATTATGTGTGTGTCTCTATACCAATAACAGAGCTTAGTGAACTTTGAATTACTTGCTTGGCAATTGTTTTTTGAAGTTGTCAGCTGTATTTGCAAATTTGCTTGTTTCAGTTTAGAACCAGGCTTTTCCCAGCAGAGACACTTAATTGACATTTGGGGCCAGATAATTCATAGTTGGACGGGCAGGCTGTCCTGTGTATAGCAACAAAGATGGCCTCCACCCACTAGATGCCAGTAGTAGTACCCTTATCCCCCACCACCTAGTTGCGACCTAGTTGCCACACCAAAATGCCACCAGTCATTGCCAATTTTTTTTTGTCCCCTACCTCTGGGGGACAAAAATCTCACAGTTGAGAATCACTGCTTTAGAACAAAATTTGCTATAGGTGACCTTAGAGATGGAAGTAGGGATTGGTGGTAGAAAGGGGTTTGTTTTAGAGCATACAGAATATTGGTATGGTATTTTGAATTGTATAACAATTGTATAATAATTAGGAAAAGTCAGTTGTTTAATGCGATTATTAGGGGAAGTAGCCAGATACTTAGGAAAGCCTGTTTTAAACCTGAAATCGGCCGGGCACGGTGGCTCATGCCTGTAATCCCAGCACTTTGGGAGGCCGAGGCGGGTGGATCACGTGGTCAAGAGACCGAGACCATCCTGGCTAACACGGTGAAACCCCATCTCTACTAAAAATACAAAAAAAAATTAGCCAGGCATGGTGGCGGGCGCCTGTAGTCCCAGCTACTCGGGAGGCTGAGGCAGGAGAATGGCATGAACTCGGGAGGCGGAGCTTGCAGTGAGCCGAGATCCTGCCACTGCAGTCCAGCCTGGGCGGCAGAGTGAGACACCGTCTCAAAAAAAAAAAAAACCTGAAATCAAATACTAGTTTGTGTGGCTACTATCAGCATTGCAAAATCTGACTCATTACTTAAAGCCAAATCGGTAAAATAATTAGAATTTTGTAGGTAAAAATTGAACAAATGTGGAAACTTTAAAATTTTAAATATTATATAGGGACAAAATATTAAAAACACCAAACTTTGGTTCCATATGAAAGTTTAAAAAGTGTTTTTTAAACTTTACTATGGGAGTCATAAATATTTTCCCTTGATTTTGTTAGTGCTTTTCACTCAACAGTGTGTACTAATTAATCATTTGTACTTTTCCTCAGAGTGAACAGTAGAATTACTAAGTAACCCTTGCTCCCTGTGTGCTCTGTTTTAGTCTTAGTCACTCTGAGCATTTAAAATGCAGGGACGAGGAAACAGTACTCATCTTGAATGAGTGCCTATGAGCTATTGAACTTTGACTTCGTTTACTCTGAACAGGCCTGGTTCTTAGGCTTTGATTCCTCCACTCTGCATACTATGATTTCACACTCAGAAACAACATGGTCTTAGCTGTAAATGTCAGTGCTTGCTTTTTAATTTTTTAAAATTTTTTTTAAATTTTTTTTTTTTTTTTTTTGAGACAGAGTCTCACTCTTACTTGGGCTGGAGTGCAGTGGCGTGATCTCGGCTCACTGCAACCTCTGCCTCCCAGGTTCAAGCGATTCTCCTGCCTCTGTCTCCCAAGTAGCTGGGATTACAGGAGCCCACCACCACACCTGGCTAATTTTTCGTATTTTTAGTAGAAATGGGGTTTCTCCATGTTGGCCAGGCTGGTCTTGAACTCCTGCCCTCAGGTGATCCGCCCGCCTTGGCCTCCCAAAGTGCTGGGATTACAGGCGTGAGCCACTGCGCCTGGCCACTTTTTTAAAATTAGCTTTTAAATTTAAGATATGTGCTAAGAAAAGGTGTTACTAAGTATGCATAAACTTGAAGAACTTTCTCACTGAGGGTTATCAATTCTATAAAATGGCTAAAAGTCAGAGTTTTCTGGGGAAGTTGTAAACCAAGTTTCTGACTGTGCTTTTCTTGTCCCAGAAATGGCAGCTAAATTCCGTATTATTTTTAGAGAAATTCTAAAAGAGCTGTAACACTAAGTCTGAACCTTTTAGTTGCCCATTAAGGAATTCTCTGACCTGTGTTAATTTTTATTGCATTGGCGGCCAAATCATAGCTGAAATCTGTACATGCATACATGACGGCTCTATCACCCAGCATTCTGTTTGTACCTGACTTATCCTTACCCAACATTTAGCCGGTCCTGAATTAGGATGTCTTTTGCCCCCTTCCTCTCCCCTTCTGTTCTTACCCTCTCATTCTGGCCTTCCTGCACCCATCCTGGCTGTGTTCTGTCTGGCTGCCCTGTTGTGGTCTCTGTTTCCTGCTTTACCTCGCCTGTCACATCTCTCACTGCTACCATTTGCTCTTTGTTGGCCTGTAGCCTACTGCTCTACCCATGAAATCTGGAAGACAAGTGGAAAGTTACCGAACTATTGGTGATCTAAAGACCTAGACTAGGCTAGAGCTTTTACTAAGAGGGAGTGAATAATATAGTTCTTGCCTTTGTGACTATCAGAATCAATAGAAAACCTGGCCACATCACCTGTGGCTATATACAGGGATGCAGAAGTTATTGTTCAACATGGACACCGGGAGGGGAACATCACACACCGGGGCCTGTCGGGGGTGTTGGGGGTGGGGGATGAGGGAAGGGAGAGCATTAGGACAAATACCTAATGCGTGCGGGGCTTGAAATTCCCGGCGTCATCCCTAGATGACGGGGTTGATGGGTGCAGCAAACCAGCATGGCACGTATATACCTATGTAACAAACCTGCACATTCTGCACATGTATCCCAGAACTTAAAAAAAAAAATAAAAAAAAAAAGAATTAATTGTTAGAGATATGGTATTGCATGCTTTGCTTTGGCATAATGCCTTGGGTCCAAGGGTATCCTACTTCAGTTGCCCAAAGTTTGAACTTCTAATTCAATAAGCAGATGAAAATTAGAACACAAAATGAGTTGTTTATTTGTGTGCTGTCACCATGTGCACTGTTGGAACTTAAGCCTAATTTCAAAATGATCCTCATCTTTTATTAAGTAAAGAAAACAGAAGAAAATGACTAGTAATTTAATTTAGATTGTGGTTTATGTTAGTAATTTTCAGCTTTCCTGATACATGAAACTCTGAGATGGGTATTGTGCCTACTTCAACTTTGTGGTCTTGATGTCTCACAAAGTGCCAGGAATGTGGTAGACACTGAGATGTTTACTGAGGGACTGAACGAAAGGACCTCTCAGACCACCTGGCTTAAACTGTTACCTTACCCAGGCACACACACAGACTAACTTTCAGATTTAGGAGTAAAGGGAAGACTGTGTTATTTTATGCCAGACATTTCAAGAGATTTATGTCGGAGCCTGGAATTGAAATAGAGTACTCTGTCAAAGTAGTCAGCTTTTGTGTAGGCTTTCTCTTTATCTTCCTCTCATTATGTGAATTTCATTCTTTCAGTGATTATATTGTATATGTGTAAAATCACTCCAATACTTGAAAACTGAGTTTGACTTTTAAAGTGTGTGTGTGTATATATGTTTGTGTTCCAGTATATATTTGTTAAGAGCATGTAATGCCAGACTCTGTCCTGTTTAGCTGCTGGACTGGTGGATCGGTTCGGTGAGGATGTGAGTATCTCCTGGGTGCCAGGTCTGTCCTGGATAGCGAGAATGCTGGAGGTGTCATGTGCCTGTATCGCAGAAAGGCGTGGGGTGAGCCCTAAGCTGCCTGTTGACAAGGTAGAAGACTGTGACCTGGATCACTGGTACCCAGATTCCAGCCAGGGCCTGGTATCAGATTTGGATGAAGTTTTTACCAGCCCTTGGTCAAAGTGAGAAAATTAAGAAAAGTGCAGTTTTCTTTAATAAAGATAAATTTATTTGATTTAAAAGATTGTCTTTTATTCTGAGATTATGTTCTTCTAACTTACTTGGAATAGATACTTTTTTTGTTAAATGTTGGTGATAATAGCTGTAGCTTTAAAAAAGTTTTTAAGTTAACAAAATTAAAAAGTTAAAAACTCTTTATTGGTCCTTTAAATTAGTTTTGCACTATACCTGGTTTGGAATCTAAACTAGAACCTACTAGATGAGATTATTATAATACTATAGATACAATTTTGTGAGCACTCACACAGAGAACATTAATTATTTTGTCTGCCTAGGAGTACTGCCATTTTTTTGTTTGTGTTTTGAGACAGGGTCTCGCTCTGTCACCCAGTTTGGACTGTAGTGGTGTGATCACGGCTTACTGCAGCTTCAACCTCCTGGGCTCGAGTGATCCTCACAGCTCAGCCTCCCAAGTAGCTAGGACTACAGACGTGCGCCACCACACCTGGCTAATTTTTGTATTTTTTGTGGAGATGGGGTCCAACTATATTGCCCAGGCTGGTTTCGAACTCCTGGGCTCAAGCAATTGGCTCACCTTGGCCTCCCAAAGTGTTGGGATTATAGCCGTGAGCCACCACACCCAGCCCCCTTCCACCATCCTCTGAAAAATGCATCCTCCCTCTTTTGACAAATTATCCTTTCCTGACTAACTCCACCCAACCTTGGGTTCCAGTGTGGCCAGCAAGGTTAATAACCCACCCTGGACTGCAAGCATGAACACAGGTCTGCCTCTGGATGTTGTTAGGTTGGTACTAAGGGAAGAGGTCCTCTTTGGTAATGCTGCAAGTGGCCACAGTTCCAGAAGAATCTGTTGAAAAGAGTGAAGAACCCCAAGGAAGTGCACTAATGTGTGTTGAAGTCCCTGGGTTTCATTGTCCTTGCAGGCCAGGTGACACAAAAGCCTTGTATTCTTCTTTTTGCTAAGCTATTACCAGGCATGTTTCTGAACATACTTTGAACGAGGATCCTTAACTAATATAGCTTGCAGATTAATCATCATAACAGTCTTGTCAGCTAGGATACCAGTTTATCTCCATTTGACAGATGTGAAAACTATAGTTTGCTGAGGTTAAGTAACTTGCCCAGTGTCACACAGCTAGCAAGGCAGAGCCAGAGTTCTCTGTCCAGCTCCCAGGCTGTGCCACTAACTGCTAAGTAGCACGGCCCACCTGGCTGCACTGGTGACACTAGGGTACAGATTTATGCTTTGGAACTGTTGGGGAGTAGATTGGATGTCAGCCTAGAGGGAGTTCTCTAGTGAAGTAAAAAGAGCTCTGTCCTTGTCTTTGCCCTTTTCACAACAGTGACAGATTTTGACCCAGCGTGCAGAAGAACTTTCAGAGAATTTCAGCTGCCAGAAAATGGAATGTCTTAGGGAGGTAGTGGACTTCCTGTTGCTGGCTGTGCCGAAGCACAGTCTGGTGAAATGCCAGCAGCTTTGTATTGAGGATGTAAGATTTGCAGTGAGTGGGGCTTGATGGCCTTTGCTCTCTTCTCACCCCAGGGCATGCTCTTTTTTAAGGGAGAAGAGTTGAAATGCCAAGACTAACGATAATGAATTTGTTCTGCAGGTATTGAGTGTGTGCTTGATGCAGTTTGGCAGAAGGGTAAAATGCTGAGGAGATGGGATCCTGTTCTTAGACAGTTTCAGTTCACTGGAGAGATGCTTCAGTAGAGGAGAGAAAAAGTAGTAAGAGCTCAGAGGAAGGTCACCTAAGCCAGATTTGGAGTAGGGCAGGGGTGTCAAGAAAGATCTCTGGAAACAAATGCTTGTGCTCTGAATCTTGAGTGCCCGTTGAGCCTGGGCCCCTGTGCTGAGGCTGTGCGTCAGCTCAGTTCTTTCCCTGTTCGCATCTACAGTGCTCACAGCACTTTCATTCTTGAGATTAACTATTAGATAATGAATGCAGTGATTGTCAGAGTCTTTTGTAATCGGATCAGAAAAGCATACAACCATGGGCCATCTGGGAAATGAAAATAGCCATTGTTGTATAGATGTCTTGTTTATTTTTTACAAGCTCACTGGCCCGTACTGTTCTTGTTTTCTGTCTCACCATACGTCTTATTTCCTCAGTTGGGTTGTTAATTCCTTAAAGGCAAAGACTTTATCTTTCAAGTGTTTTATGTAATTCCTTTTTGTAGGTAGGCTTCATAAATGATTGTAGACTGATTTTTGTAGTATTTTAATTTGTGAATGCATTGTTTTTGAAAGACCAAAGGACTTGTAACACACCCTCAGAACAGTGAACAGTGTAACTGTACTATCTTAGCATTAGCTTTATACCTTACCCGTAGAGCCTTAGGAATGTTTGGAGCTGTCCATTCCTTAGGCTTTTGCTGCAGTACCTTAGGCCAGCATTTTCTTACCCCTCCAAACTCCTCACTATCGTTGTCAACACCGTTCATGAACCTCCATAAATAAAATCCTACTTAAGCAGGATAAAATCCAAATTCTTTAACCTTGTAATTTGCTAACACTGTACCTCACTGACTTCATTTCTCAGTATTTCCCAATATTGATATTTGCTTCAATCATGCCGCTTCCTTGGTCTCTTCCAGATGCCTTATTCCTTATTTAGGACCTTGTTACTGTTATTATCACACATTCTCTACTATCTCAATGCTCTTCTTCCTTCAAGATTTCATTCTACAATTTTTCCTGAGATCGGCACTATACCCTTCCTCCTGCCCCATCCTATCCTGAGTGCTACTCACTGGACTTGGTACTTGCTTTTTTACATTGTGTGTTAGTACCAGCATTAAAGATTTGTGTTTATCTTCCACATAGTTTCAATTTCCTGTGATAACTTTTGAGCCACTTTAATTCCTGAATTTACCTAAAGCTAGGGTGACCAGCTTGTCCCAGTTTGCTTGAGACTGTCCTGGTTTTAGTGCTAAAAATACCACATCCCAGGGAAACCCCTCTGTCCCAGACAAACTGGGGCAGTCACCCTACTGTTAAAAGCCCAAGTTAAGTTATGCTTTTGGCCTCTACACATCCCACAGGTTAATTAGCCACGTGTGCCGTGAGACTTTGCCTTAAACTGTGTTCCAACCTAAAATGTATGGGAAACATTATTTCTGTCCATCAAACGTGATGAATTTCTAAATGTATAAGGTGTTAGGAAAGATAATACAACATGGTTTTGAGGTCCTCAGGGAGTTAAAAACTTTCCTAGCCATATCATTTGGAGGTTTATTAACTGTAATTGCATTTCCCTTCTTATTTATATTTACAGATGAAAGGGTCTTGAGAAAATAAACTTGGATTTCTTGATTTCCTCCCAGGTGTTAGTAGAAACCTTTGGCTCATCATCCTCTAATTTAGAAGGTTTTTGCTTACCGCACACTGAAGCTAATTTCCTGCTTTTTCTGGCTTCATGAGGCTTCCTTGTGGCATCCTGGGAAGTGCTTGGTGCTGTAAATGGTCCCACCGTGGCTGATGGCATAGCACAGAGCTGGGAGAGAGGAGTCTGGTGGGTTCTCACAAGCAGGCCAGCCAGCCGTCTCTAGCACACCACCCTTTTACTGCATAAAAAGCACAGGCGTATAGTCTCCCTGAAAACTTCAGAACCTCTAGAGCTTTGAAGCTTTTATTCGGAGTTTTCTCTTCAAGGTCACTTAATTTAACATGTGAACAAGAGCAGTCTCAGTACCTTCTTTTTATATATCCTATCTGGGAAGAGGCCACTTTGTGTCTTCTTTTTCTTCCCTGTGTATAAGCTAGTTTTCTGGCCCACAGTGTTTCAGTGCATGGCAGGAGCTTATGACAGCTCCTCTTCAGCATTCCTTTTTTTTAAAATTATGAACAAATGACTTACGTGAGCAGACAGCTGTGCTACATGATCCAAATATTTTAAAGACTGGTTCTGCATGAACAAAATTTAGCATTATCAAATAAAACTCATGTCACTAACTCGACACTTAATTATTGTAATAGGAAGACCCAATTGTAGCATATCCTCAGAAGTGCCCTTCTTTTCTTTCTTCTTCCCCTGTATCCCTCTGTACTTCTGTTCTTTGCTCTCTTCCAAGGGCTCATTTCCATTCTGTAAGAAAAGGCTGTGTGGCGCTTAAAAGACCCTGGCCCAGAGAGTCCTTCTTTCACTTTTTTTTTCTTTTTTCTTTTTTTTGGCTGTTGTTAATGTTGTGTCTCTTGTTTATTTTCTTCTTTAGTAGTTTTATTTTGGAATGAATTTGAATTTGTAAGAGTTGTACAAAAGAGGATAGAGTTAATGTGAACTCTTCAGCCAGCTTCCGCTAATGTTAATAGCTTATGTAACCTTGGTGAATTTAGCTCAACTGAGAAACCAACAATACTATTAGCTAAACTGCAGGTTTTATTCGTATTTCCCTAGTTTTTCCACAAATGTTCTTTACCTGTTTCAGGTTCACATCCAGGATACTACATAGCATTTAGTTGTCGTGTCTCCTTATTCTCAATGTCTCAGTCTGTGACAGCTTTTTCATCTCATCTTTCAAGACCTTGACGTGTTTTTTTCTATTGAATTTGATTTTCTTTTTTTTCTTTTTCTTTTCTTTTTTTTTTTGAGATGGAGTCTTGTTCTGTCACCCAGGCTGGAGTGCAGTGGCGTGATCTCCGCTCACCGCAACCTCCAGCTCCCGAGTTTGAGCGATTCTCCTGCCTCAGCCTGTTGAGTAGCTGGGAGTACAGGTGCGCACCACCAGGCCCAGCTAATTTTTTGTGTTTTTAGTAGAGACGGGGTTTTACCATGTTGGCCAGGCTGGTTTCGAACTCCTGACCTCAAGTGATCTGCCTGCCTCAGCCTCCCAAAGTGCTAAGATTACAGGCATGAGAATGAGATTTTTATTTTGCCTCAAATAATACATATTAAAGCTCTTTAAACATAGAAATATACTACTACAAAAGGAAAAATTTTATAATTACTAGATTTCTGTTCTAACAAACCACCCCCTAGAAACATCATCAAATTGACTTAAAAATGTAGACGTAATTTCAGACTTAGAGAAAAGTTGCAAATAACAGAAGAATCTGTGGATACCCTTTCCTTAGATTCCCCAATAAAACCTTGACGCTTTGGAAGATTATTATTCAGGTAGTGTCTTGTAGTATGCCTCTTGGTTTGGATTTGTCCGATGTTTTCTTTTGATTAAGCAGAGGTTATGGATTTTGGGAAAGACCCACAGAGGTGGTATCCTTTGCCCTTGTGTCATGTGAGCAGGCACAAGACATCAACATGATTGGTTATTGGTGAGGTTAACCTCGATCACTTCAGGTTAAAGTGATATCTGTCAGGTTTCTCCTCTAGAAAGTGACTGTTTTTCCTTTTCTGTACTGTTTGTTAGAAACAAATCACTAAGTGCAGCCCACATTCAAGGGATTGGGAATTAAGCTCCACTTCCTGGAGAGAGGAGAATCACGAATTTATGGGCATACCTTAAAACTACCACAGTAATTAGTCAATACTTTTGGGAAGATAGCTTTGTGCTTATACAAATAACCTGTTTCTCCTTAAAGTTTGGCTCTCTGAATTTAGCATTCATCAATGCATGTTGCACACAGCAGTCATTCAGTCTATGACATTGAGTCCATGATAGTTTCTTGATCTTTACTGTAATGTTCTAATCATGATTTTGTTTCCTTATTCCTCCTACATTTATTAATTGGAATTCTTCTGTGAGGAAGATTTGTCTCTTCTCCGCCATTTATTTATTTATTATTCAGTCATCTGTTGACAACAGTATGGATTCACAGATACTTTTTAATTTACTTTCTAATCCGGCATTTTTGTTATTTCTTTTGTTGCTCAGATTGTTCCAGCTTTGGCCATTGAGAGTTATTTCATCTTGGCTCTTGTATCCTTTGGAAATGCCGTCCCCCCGCTTTTCTTCACCCCCACTTCCATATTTTCTGGTATTCTGGCATTACCAGAGGCTACAGACTCATCTTCTGTTTCCCCTGCCCCAGCCTTGGAATCAGCCATTTCTCTAAAGAGCCCTAGTTCTTTTTATTGGAAAATGGTATTTTAAAAGCAAGAGCTGGGTACTGAGTGTGTATGTTGTTGCTGGAGCGTCACTGCTTTTAGCACTTTCAGAGGGCAGAGCTAGAAAACATACACACATGTACCAACCCAGGTGTACACACATCTGTTACTGCATGTCTATTTGTATGTTTATTAAGGCAAGCATAAGTTCATTCTGCTATCTCAAACTCTTAATCTAGCCCCTCGGGGTTCATTTCCAAATTCTTGCTTTTGCTTTTTGTTGATGGAGTATGGGCAGTACAGCAGTTAAACCTGGTTTCCATATTTACTTTCTGCTGAGTGCTGTAGCTCATTGGTGAGAAAGGGATCTTTTGACTTGACTTGCATGGACACATTCTAGTAGGAAGGTTGTCTGTCCTCATCACTCCTGTGAGTGGTCCTCTAGAGCTCTTTGAAATGGCTACAACATTGCAGATCAAAAACACCTGCTTTTCAGGTGCTTCACTTCTCACCTTTCAGATGGGACATGCCCAGTTGTGTCTTCTAAACCTTGTTTCAGATAATTTTAAGAGTTGTCGCTTCAGTAACTATCTCTAACACAGGGATCAGCAAACCTTTTCTGTGAAGTGCAGTAAATATTTTAGGCTTTGCGGACCATAAGGTATTTGTTTCAAGTACTCAGCTCTGTCTTTGTCCTGTGAAAGCAGCCATAGATGGCACATGAACAAATGAGTATGGCTATGTCTTACTAAAATTTCATTTACAAAAACAAGGTTTTGTATTTGGCCCGTGGGCCATGGTTTACCATCCGTTGGACCCATTAAGTATATTCTCCTCCTCTTCTTTGTCTCATTCTCACTGCGTTCATAGGCTTGATACGTTAACATTCGTGCATCAGTAAAAGAATCTGGCTTCTAGAGAAGAAGGGCTGTCCATGGGCGTTTGACTCCTAAATACAGTTTGTTTATGGTACTAGTGTGGCCACAAGGCTCTGCCACACAAGCTCTGTCTCTTCCTTCCTGTTATTACTTCTGCTTCCCTTCTCAGGAACCTGAAATCATATGGTAGTTTGTTTGTTTAAGTGATTTTTTTTTTTGAGATGGAGTCTAGCTCTGTTGCCCAGTCTGGAGTGCACTGCAACCTCCACCTCCTGGGTTCAAGCAGTTCTCCTGCCTCAGCCTCCCAAGTAGCTGGGGCTACAGGTGCGCACCACCACGCCTGGCGCACCACCACGCCTGGCTAAATTTTTTTTTTTTTTAATAGAGATGGGTTTCACCATGTTGGCTCAGGTGGTCTCAAACTGACTTCAGGTGATCCACCCGCCTCAGCCAAAGTGTTGGGATTATAGATGTGAGCCACCACGCCCAGCCTTTAAGTGAATTTTTATTTGAGTATAACATGCATAACAAGTTTGTGTGGATCATAAGTCTTAGAAGTGGATGAATTTTTGTAGCAAGGTTTGAAGAGTCTGTTTTTAGATGAGTTTGCTAAGGTGGCACAGTATGTGATGATTCCGTGTAAAGAAGTCATTGTTACAGGGCTGTGTCCTCTATCTGAACTGGCATGGTTAGTTTAGTTGTTTAAATTGAGGGCCTGCTTACAATTCATATCTAAGATTTACTGGAGAGGAGAAAGGGTTGAGTATTCAGTGGCCCAGAATCTGATATGGGAATTGGTGAGGTTTATGTTCAAGGAGCCAAAGAAGATTTAAATTTTATGTATTTGAATTACTCAGTGCGTCTATATATATATATATTTGGTCATCTTAAATTTTTTTTCTCGTTAGAATTCAGTTAAGGCCAATATTTGAACTTTAATAAGTTTTGGTACTTGCTACACTGCAGTACATTTAATTGTATGTAATTATAGGGAAAGACTATGGGAATTGAAGTCAGAACACTTGGTTATAAGTGCGAAGTCCACTACTTCTTTTTAAGATCTTAGGAAAGTGATTTAACCTCTTTGGGTGCAAATCCTTTATCTGTGTATTAAGGAAACCATCTGCCTTCCTCACCTTACAGGTTGTTGAAAGAATCAGACAGGACAGATGTCCTATTTATAGCTCTTTAATGCATATGTAGGCAAGCAGTGGCAGTTCTGTGACTCTTCTCTAACTTACATATCATTTACCCAAACAGCCCTTATCTTCCAGCCAGCTTGGCTGCTTAGCCATATTGAATTACTAGTTTCTCTTATCTAGAACAACTTCTGCCCAACTCATGGTGGACAGAACCAAGTGTCATGAAGTGATTTTATTCATTCTTGCATTCAGCACTCTTTTCACAGGCACCTACCCTGTGCCAGACACTGTTCTAGGCACTAACATTTCAGCAGTGAATAAAGTCAGTCCATCTTCTACCCTCATGGAGCATATAATCCTGAGGGTAATGCAGGCATTAATTTAAAAATATATAAATATAATTGTAGCTATCATGAGTGCTGGAAATACAATGCTTCGATATGTGAATGTAAACTAGATAGGAAGATTTTTTTAAAGAGGCATTCCCTAGACAGTGGTTGGACTAAGGTAGAAGAAAAGAATATTCCATGAAATGGGAAGAAGCATGGTCCCATGAGGGATTAATAGGCCACCACTGTGGGCAGAGCAGTGAGGGTGAGGAAGGCTGGTAGCTGGCTGGGTATGCAGGGCTCCCAGCCATGAGAGGGAGGCTTGTCTTCAAAGTGGAAGTTAACTCAAGCTGTTGGCACTGTGAATTTGACATGAGCAGATTTTAGGTAAATGTTAAGGGGCAGTTACTAAAACTAGCCTTGTACATTTTTAAGAACTTCGAATAAAAGTTATTGCAGCTCAAATTTGTTATAACCTATTTGTTAAAGAGAGGATTGTTTTGAGACTATAGTTCCATTCTTCATGAATTGGTAGGAGTTTGGAGTTTGTCAGCAAACATTCTATCGGGCTAAAGGTTTTTATAATGAAAGAAATAGGCAAAGTGGATCAGTACACTCACTTTTCTACCATTGACCCTGGAGACAGATGGCTTAAAATGTTCTGCGTCTAGTTGACTTTTAGATCTTGAAATTAAGGTTTAATGATGACCAAGCTTTAAATAAATTGTAGAAAAGTATTCTTTCAAAAGTACATTATAACTTTTATATTGGTTTCTTATATTTATTTCTTTTAATCTTTTCTTTTAACTCAAACTACGTTTTAAGGTTTTGTTGCCTACTAAGTTATAATCTGAGTGCAGAAGGAAACTTGATTTGGCTTTATGGAATACATTTTACATTCAGTGAAGCTGAGCTCTGTTTCTCATTCCTTACAAAAGGAATCAAAGGCATTGGTTTGAGAGATCAAGTCATGTGTTAATAAAACACAAATATTCCATCAAGTAATACTCTGAAGGAGCAGGTGTAGTTTATTTCTTCTCCAGAAAGTCTTCCAGCAGATAAATAATGAGAGGTAGTATGGCATAGGAAAAAAGTACACTGAAGTCAGCCTTTCTGGTTCAACCAGCTCAGACCCCTGAGCTATTTTTGCCTCAGTTTTACGCCTTGGAGAACAATGCCTTGTCATTACTATTCACTTTATGACCATACAGTGCCTGGCACCTGGTGGGCAATTGGTGAATGTTTTCACTATCCTCATCCTTGCCCTCATGAAACACTCCTTCTAGGTCCCACAAAGACCGTTGGTATTTTATGACAAAGTACCTTACAAATATTTTTCTTTTTTTAAAGGAGAAATTGTCGTAAATGAAGTCAATTTTGTGAGAAAATGCATTGCAACAGACACAAGCCAGTACGATTTGTGGGGAAAGCTGATATGCAGTAACTTCAAAATCTCCTTTATTACAGATGACCCAATGCCATTACAGGTGTGTTTTATTAGTACACTGTTTCATTCTATCAGGCTTTCAACTCTAAGTGGTACATATTATTATATAAAACATAGGTATGGAAAAGTTATAGTAGAAGTATTAGGTAATGCAATGTTTGGGATAAATTATATTAAGATTTAAAGTAAAGTTTAAGAAGAATGTTGGAACTTGCTAGAGGAGTATTAGTGAGAGGATTGTAAGTCACCTTGCTTTATTTATCCTCTGTGATCGTTCATTATATGTCCTTTTCATTAAGGAAGTTATTCCCTCTGTTGCAGATCTTTTAACCTGCTTATAAAAATGACATAAAGAGAAAAGGTTGTTTGCTAAATGATTTTATAAATGCCACACATTTTAGTGATTTCATAGGTTTTTTTGTTGTTGGGTTTTTGATTTTTTTGTTTTGAGCCTGGATCTCGCTCTGTCTTGTCTCCCAGGCTGGAGTGCAGTGGCATGATGTCGGCTCACTGCAACCTCTGTCTGCTTCCTGGGCTCAAGCTATCCTGCCACCTCAGCCTCCTGAGTAGCTGGGACTACAGGTGCATGCCACCACTCCCGGCTAACTGTTGTATTTTTTTGTAGAGATGGGGTTTTGTTATGATGCCCGGATTGGTCTTGAACTTCTGAGCCCAAGCAATCTGCCTGCCTCCCCCTCCCAAAGTGCCAGAGTACAGGCCACTGCACCCAGCTACCTTTTTTTTTTTTTTTTAAACTAATTAGTGTTATTTTCCTAAAAAGTTAAATTCTAATTTCTAGGAAGAGTGAAGAATAGTATCGATTTAAAAATTTTCAGTAGCCCTCTTGCTATTTTATGTTCTTACTGGAAAGTAATAGTTCCATGTAATTTTGGTTTTTAGAAGTTCAGGCATTCATTTGATTAACTTAAAAACCCTGGACTTTTCTGTCAGCCATTTTGTATTTTGTTTTATAAAGTATTATACACACTTACCCCTAGATCTTTCTTTATAGTAATTGTTCTTTAATGAAATATTGGTATATGAACTGTAAACTTTTAAATTTAAGGATCTAATAGTTTAGTGTAAGTATATTTCATGTAGTCACTCACTAATTTACCATAATTATTATACTGTACAAATATTTATTGTACTGTATATTTGTGTGTTCATTACAGTCTTATGTAGGTATATTTAGACTAAATTTAAGGCACTTAAAGATACCCACTGTGTAGGGACAGTAGCTTATTTGGATATAGGCTTGTGTGTTTCTCTTTGTTTTTAGCTTCATAATGATCATTGGCCCCAGACTTCACTGTAAATGAGAAGCAGATACCTGGAACAGCTTAAATCCAGTACCACTATTAGGAAAAAGTAAACCAGTGCCCTACTGACAGCAGATTGATAGTGTTAACTACGTCCTTAGTTTGAACATGCAAAACCTTTTCTAATGGTTTTTATTTCTAGTAGACTTTGTGCTTTAAAAAGATAGTTATTTTGCACTTTAAAATCTTCAGTGTGAAAATCAAACATGATTTTACCCACTTAAAATCTGATGACCTAAGAGCCCTTTTTTCTTTAATATGTTGTGGCCAGCTTATCCAGATCTAGACATGCAAATGCTTGCTGGTAAGGTGATTGATGATATTCCCTATCTTAGGTATTATAATAAGATTGTTGTGTACATTTTAACCTAATTTCTATCTGTCAACATTGGAATGGCCCTAGCTACCTAGACAAAAGCTTTTTGTGCTTTTTAGAGATAACTGTCACAGTTTATCATCACAGTTTAAGGCTTATACTACCATTGTGAGATTATTGGGAAAAGAATTAATATGAACATAATTTTTTATTCCAGAAATTCCATTACAGAAACCTTCTTCTTGGTGAACACGATGTCCCTTTAACATGTATTGAGCAAATTGTCACAGGTACGTAGTATTCCGTACATACTCTAAAAGTCAATTCCACTCTGGAAGTATTATTTGAAAAGTCATACCTCTCAAAATACTTGGATTGGCGTTTTATTTCTGTAAGTTTACTTTTGCCGTTTTTTTGAGTCCCGGGAACATAAAGAGGGATATGTTAATAAATTATTTTAAAAGGAAGATATAAAATGTATAACTTTTCATAGTTTCTAGGTTTTTTGTCCTCTTTTTAATTAAAATTAATCATTAAATGTGTCTAGATGGTGGTTTTATGCAAATAATCATTTAAAATATCTTCCAAAGCAAAGTTAAAACCAACCCCCAAGTTCTAGGAATTACAAGTATGAAACATTCTAGACAAGCAGAGCTCAAATGTTGGGTGACCTTCCAATTATTTTCACTAAGAATTTGTATTAAAGGGTGAGTAACAAATAACTGTTACGCATTTTATTTTCTCTATTTTTTTTTCTTTTTTAGTAAACGACCACAAGAGGAAGCAGAAAGTCCTAGGCCCCAACCAGAAACTGAAATTTAATCCAACAGAGTTAATTATTTATTGTAAAGATTTCAGAATTGTCAGATTTCGCTTTGATGAATCAGGTCCCGAAAGTGCTAAAAAGGTAATACTGTTAAGGTTTATCAAGTTCTGGGTTCTGTACTGTGTTTACTGATTTCAATTCCGTATGGCAGTTTTCATTTCTCAATTGCTCAGATGTTTTTTAGGGGAAGTTATCAGACATCTTCTTAAGTAAAGTCAAAGCCAAGAATATTAATAGAACTATTTTCTTGGATTGGTTTATGGCTGTTTTAAAGTGTTCTATATAACTTTTTATCAGCTTCTCAAATATTAAAGACTCTTACGTGGAAATTAGCATTTTTTTACATAAAGATCATTACTTGTCAGTTTCTTGGTTAAAAGGTTGAAAAGTTGGTGATATACTGTAATTAAGGTTTGGTTAGGCTTTTAATTCAGTACTGCAGAACTTTACCAACAAACTGTAAGCTAGACTTATGTTACATAAGATTTAGGTAAATATATAATTACGGGAAAGGCCTAGTAATTATTAGTGGTTTAAAGAAATATTATGAATTGAGTGACACTCAACAGGGGCAACACAAAGCTAGTAACTTTTTAACTGCCTTATTTTTCCACGGCCTTCCAGATAATGACTTATTACCCTACTTGTAAGAGTCAAGGGCATGTTTTCCATGTTTTGCTTTGCCAGAGGAGTGAAGCTGGTAGACCTAATATGGCCCCCGTTCCAGTCTGTGCTGCAGCAAATGCAGAGTCACAGACTTTCCAGTAGGAAGCTTGCGCGTGTGTATGGGAATAGGGCAACAGTATCTTAGTATAATAGGACGTGGCTTTCTCTCAGAATGGAGGCAGTCTTTGCACCACCAAGCAATGAGTGCCTTTGTTTTCCATGGTTAGTCAACTGACTGCAGTAAATCTTCTGTTGATACCAAAACAAGGCTGGCAAAAATACTGTAAGGCAGCTGTCTTCATATACTTTGGTGAAGAGGTGGTAGATTTGTTTTTAGATTGAGAACCAACAGTTTCTTCACAGGAAGGCAAGCAGGAGATGAATATATGAAAATACATCTGAAAATATGTGACTGTCTAGCAGAGTAGAGTGGTTGTAGGCTCCTCTATGGGTAAAAGTTTTCAAATGGTCTGTATAACCATCTCTCAGCAAGCTGCATTATTGAAAATTCAACTAGATAACTCTTAAAGCCTCTTTCACCTGTTCGATTGTGCTGTTTGTGATTTTGGCATTTTACTAATTTAAAGTGCCTATTATATAGAAGGACTTTAGAATTCATGATGTATTAGACTGTACATAAAATATTTCAGACAGGTTAATTCCTCAAGCTTATTTATATTTGTAATTTAATTGATCAAAGCATCAAAGACCTGCTTATGAAAACCTTAAGATGTGTAGCATCTCAAGATTAGGGACATCACAGAACTTGCTAGATTGAGTTAGGACAGCATATTCCTAAGGAAGAAATTGATGCAATTGACCGGATCTCTTTCGGAAAGTTCAATTCTCCCTCTTTTACTGTATTTTTCAGTTTACACTATTTTAATGAGTGGAAATAATAATTATTTGGCCTAGTTCTTGAACCATCTGTAGTACTTGTTGGTCATTTTTCATGTTGAGGCAGTGTGCTAAATTTTGCAAGTAGAAAGAAGGGTAAGATGCAGTTTCTTGCCCTAGAGAACTTAAATCTAGTGAAGAAGATAAAGCATGAACAAATGAAAAGTAATGGTACAAAGTGGCAGCATAAAATCAACTACACAAATAGTTGATTTCCAGATGAACAGAGCATAATAAGTGCTGTGGAAATTCAGAATATCCCCTATGTGTTGTGCTGCTGGTTCATGAAGAGGGCCTTACTAAACCGTCTGCACAAAACAAGCCAGTCCCTCATATGCCCTTTCCTAAGACCAAGTTTCAGACAAAAATCTTTTCCCCAGTATCCTAAAATATAAAAAGCATGTGAGTCTCTGTCTTTTGTATAGCCACGGGGGTTGCAGGGCAGGGGAGGGTGCAGGAAAAAAAAATAGATGCAATGAGAATATAAATAGTTTTTTTGGGATTTACGCATTTCAAACAGGGTTAAGTTGTATATGGCTACCAAAGCTTGACGGCTTTGTGAGTTAAAAACAAAAATTATGGCATATTCTTTTATTTCAAGTGAAAAGTTTTCATCTAAAATTCGGTAGCAGTTAGGAAATTATGGCTCATTTTTACCTCCTGGAAGCTTGGAATACTGTTTTCTCTGGAAAATGCTTTGCTATTTTATCAGTTGCTTTAAAATGATGAAATGCATGTTTGGAGTTCTCTGGTGGGTAAACCGTTGATTCATTTTGAAATACCTAAGCCATTTATGTTTTTGTTTTGAAAAATGAAATTCAAGAATACTAAATTGGTTCACATTTTGTTAAATGTTCTGAACCCTTCTGGTTGTCTTGTTGGTGTTGTTTCAATTGTATTATGACAAAATTAGATTGCTTTGGGCACTTGTACTCATTAATATTCATCCTCATTATCCTCGAGCTGTCACAGGAAAATAGTGATATTTGGGAAAGGTCTGTATAAAGAAAGAAGGAATTTGATGGTGCAGAATTGGACATCTAACCTCATAGCAACTTAGAACCACCATTTTCTTTTGCAGAACCTTTGCTCAAAACTGAAGGGCAAAATAATAAAGGTTGTTTTTAATGATTTATCTATATATCTGTCTGTGTAGATAAAGATAAATATATAGATACACATGAGTGACAAGTGAAATACATGCCTTTTGTCTCCACTTTGTTCTCTGATTAGTGGGTTGTGAATCACTTCTTCAGGAATACTTTATAGAAGTGAATTCCATTCATCTGATTAAGGAACAAGTTGGCCTTTTCATGAACTGTCATTTTTGACTTGAATCTGGTACTGTTTTTTGGTGGCTTTCAGGCCACAGAAATAAACCACTTTTGTTTGCAAATGAGATAGAACTTAATGAGGTTTGAGTGTTTCCTGGATTTGAGTTTCTTCAGTACTGCACCCCAGGTGATCTTAGGAAAGAAACCATCCACTGTGGGTACTTCTGGCTTCTGTCCAGAGAAGATTATCAGCTTTGGTCCAAAAATTGATTTAAAAGTAGTTTACTTCTTTTTCTCCAATAAAATATTTGCCATAATTTAATGTCTTTAATACCAACATTTTCTTCATTTCCTGTGGTAGCCAGGACAAATGAAGTATTTCAGATCTTTCAAAAACTCTTAGGATGAAAGGTAGGAATTTGGACTTAGGTTTTTAAAATAGTGTGTATGTAAAAGTGCAAAGAATGGGGCCCTGGCTTTCTCTTCTCGGAGTGTTCCACAGTAACAACATGAAGACAATCCAGGTACACAAGTTTGTATGTGCCTTAGTCTGTGTGTCCAAAGAGGCCTCTTACTTAGGTCATATGAACATAAGTTATACACTTGAAATTCACTACTGAAAAACAATGTATTTAGTTCGAGTTCTGCCACCCCAAAAAAATCAACGAGTAATTCAACTGACTTGCAGTTTTACAATATTTTTATAGACTTCTTTCAGCGTAGATGCTTTTGGACATACTCATTTGTTTCCTAACCTGATGTGATATTGTGCTATTTTTAAGGGGCTTTTAAAAAATACGCTGTGTTGGGTTTTGCCTTGAAAATAGGCTTTATTTCTTTTTTGCCTCATGGCCACAAAAAAAGGATGTCCATGATCAATGATCTGTGAATTTCTTTTCTGTAAACAGAAAGAGCATGTAACTGCTTTCTAATTGTTTTGGAGAATGTGATAGACATTAGTATTATTATTATTGGCTTGGAGCATTTTCCTTAATATGTTGGTAACTACTTTTGTCAGTGAATATTAGTGTAGCCACTGTTGGACACAGAGCACCGTCAGAAAGCTACTGAAGTGGTGCTGCAAAGTGCAGACATCTTCAGATCTTTACTCAAGTCTGTGCAGAGAGGTCTTTCTTGGTCTCCTTCTCTACTTTTTAGCCTGTCTCCCTCTTCTCACTGTAACACTTCATATTCCCCTTCCCTGCTCTATTATTTTTCTCTTTTAGCATTCATAGTTATCTAACTTTCTGTATTTTTTCTCTTTATCTTGTTTAGTGTCTGTCTTCCCACTAGAATGTAAGCTTCATGAGGACAGGGATTAGTGTCTGTTTTGTTCACTGCATCTCTAGGGCTTACAACATTGTAGGTACTCAGTAAATATTTGTTAAATCAATGTGAAATGTGTCATTTATCCTTAAGGAATTGACCTTCATGGTAGAAGTGTAACAGAACCACCTATATCCTACTTTTCATCCACATCATAACTATTATGTGAATACCTTGGAAGTAAAGCAAAATAAGCACTTAACTAAAGAGACGCTTTATATTGAAACTGTTGTTCTGGGTTTCTGGAATTAGTACTCTGAAATTGGCTCCCTCTAGGAAGGCTTGTGAAGAGAGTAGTGTTGAACAGACATGACAGTTTCCAAGAAAGCATAGTTGGCTAAGAGGAGTAGGATTTTCCAAGCAAAGAGTGTGACAGTGGAGATGGCTGGGGCTAAGTCAGGCAGAATGTGTTCAAACCTGTTTTTCTCTGACCTGAGATTGCGGAGGGAATATTGGGAAGGTATAGTTACCTGGTGAGGAGAGCCAGTTTTGTGAAGAATCAAGAATGAGGAGATTTAATTTGTTATGCAGATGTCTGGGAACCACAGCAGATTATCAGGAGAGCAAAATTGTTAGTCAGAATTACATCGTTAGAAGGTAATCCTTAAGTTTTGTAGATTTCTAGAATGTAAGGAAGCTCTCAGAGGTGCCATAAGGTGAGTATGGCCTAAGGATGTGGCTATGGCAGTGTAGCAAAATGGACAACTATGAAAAATGTCTAGAGAAAAGTGCAACATAGCTTATCAACGGTGCCCAAACAAATAGGAAGGATGAGAACTTTTTCAAGCTACAGATTTCAGTAGTTTTGCTGCTAGAAATGCTTTAAGGAAAACTGTTAAAAAGATTAGGAATGGGAATATAGATAACCGGCTCCTAAATTTTGCAAGTGGGACCGTCATAGAAAGCTCTCCTATAGGTATTGAGAAATCGAGATACCACGTAAGTTTCAAGAAGCAGTTTTTTTTTTCTTTTTGGTCAAAACTAATGACAAATTCTGTCCCCTTGTTTGTATATTTTAACTTAGTGAGACAGGAAACATTTATTCTATAGAAGACTTTTAAAATGTAGTTTAAACAAGTTGACACATGCTTACTGGTTAATGAAATGTGCATCAACCCACTCCAAACACCACTAATTTGACATGAACTAACAATTAACTTTTCTTACTCACTGTCAAAAGTATATCATTCTGCCTTAACTTAACGCTTTACCTTCTAAATAAAATTTAATCTTTTAAATAAGTTTTTCTGCTATGTTTTCCTTGCATATGTCTTAAATTTCTTCTTTCGTCTTTGCTCACTGAAGAGCATTTTCTCCCACATTCTAGTGACTACCAGGGTTTGTAAGCCTAGAGCACCATCCTTCATTCTATCTAGCAGCAGTTGAGAATAATAACAGCCATATTTCTATATATGGAGCTCCTCCAAAGGCCTAGCCTGCATTAAGCTTGTTAATTCTTACCACAGCCTAGGTATTACTTTTGTTTTACAAGTGAGCAAACTGAGGCTAGAAAAGAGGAAATGACTTCACACATGTTATGTAGCAAGTACTTGACAGAGCTAGGATTCAAGCCCCCTGATCTGTTTGATTCTAAAGCCCGCACGTTTTCCACCACAGGGCACACAGTCCCAAACCATTTTACTTAAACACAGTTTGTGTGTGTGTGTGTGTGTGTGTGTGTGTGTGTGTGTGTGTGTTGTTTTTTTGATGTACCTCTTTGAGCCACCCATGCATTTTTGGAGTTTCTTGCTAATTTTAATTTTTTGTAATTATGTTTCTCTATTTAGATGTTTAAATCCATGAGGCGTAAACTTTAAAGTTTCATGCCTTATATTAATCCTTTATAGTCCACCAAAAATGAAACTTTTTTCTTCCTTTTTTGGAGTGGACATGTAGTCACTGCCTTTTTGGAGAATGCTTCTTTAGTTTGAAGCTTTCTTTATTGGACTAAAATTACTTTCCAATTAAAATTTAACTCAGCAAATATTTACTGAATACTTGCCATGTGCTAGCTAAAGATAAACAATGTCTTGAGGGCATGAAAGTGAATGAGATACCTGGCCTTAAGGAGCTCTTTTATATTCTAGGTCAACAGAAAAACATGTAAATAGTATCTATAATCACTGCCCCAAGATGATGCTCCCAGTGCCCAAGGCCTTATTGTACATTTCATTTAACTAAGTGTGTTAAAATCAAATTCTAAATGTAGAATTTTTCCTAGGTATGCCTTGCAATAGCTCATTATTCCCAGCCAACAGACCTCCAGCTACTCTTTGCATTTGAATATGTTGGGAAAAAATACCACAATTCAGGTAAATATGAAAATATTAAATATTGTGACTAATTTTACATGTGTAAATTTTACTCTTATGTTTACCGGAAGCCTCCAAGTACATGAGCTTTAATGATTGTAGAATTACTAGCTTCATACCTTAGAGAAGTAAGCACTACATGCTAAAAGAGCCAATAGTTTGTCAGATTATTTCTTGACAAGTTACCAGGAAGAACCTTTAATGCTATGAATATGGGCTTATAAGTTATGTCAGATATTTAATCTCCAGTCACTGGCTTGTATTTTATGATGAAGAATATATAACCCACCCTTTTTAATTGATAGCTTGAGTTAAAGTAATCTTATCTTTTAAGAAAACTGGCAGAAAACTAAAAGATATATTAAAAGCATAATCTTTTCTGGCAAGGTGTGATTTCATGCAAAAGCTAAAGTGATTAAAAACTTTTTGTGGACTTCATTAAGATTCTCAGAATACTGAGTTTCTATTTCTGAGTAATACTGATGAAAGGAAGATGAGCATTTTTCCAAGGACAAGTATATTCTAGACAGCTTTTGTGAAAGTAAATAGTTTTGTCTATATATCTGACAGTCATGACATGACCAGGGAAGATTCCAGATGATCATGCAATTCTGTACATTCTGTTTCGTACAAATGTAATTTTAATAAACAATTTTTAAAAATATCTTGATAGAGAAAAACAAAGAGCCGTGTCTCCTGTTAGCCCCATTGTCAGTTAGTGACTGCAAGTCAGTTAACTGAGCGAAGCCTGTGTTCTTTTATTTAAGCAAGAAAAATAAATCAGCTGTGTATTTATAATGAAAAATCCATTCACCCAGCATGCTCTGGGCCATACAAATTATTAATTGTACTGAAATTTTATATTTTGTTACCACGAAACATGGTAGTAATTTAAATAACTGGCATAATAAAAGTATATTCCAGCAACACTATATTGTAAATACATTAAAATGTATCAGTGTACGGTATCTGAAGATGCATGTGTATAAGTAAATTTTCCTTAGTTTAAAAGATAACTACCTTTCTGTTAAGCACTGAGAGGACCAAAAAAAAAAAAAAAAGAAAATACAGTAGAGATAATATATGAAAATAATGCTTTGCAGAGCAGCTTTTATCATACAGTATTATATTTATAGAAATTGTATAACAAAAGTATTTGTAACTTAATTTTTCTTATCGATATATACATAATTGTAACTGAGGCTTAAGCAATACAGTTATTTTTTGAAGTTTATTAATATTAAGTAAATTCACTTACTGTCTAAAAATAAAGTATACAGATCCTGCACTATTAGGTAAACACTCCTTGGGATCATCGTCAAGCTACAGAACAGTGATCAAGGTTATCTTCAATAAGATCCTCACCCAGAGTTGCAAGGGTTGTAGGAGTGAGTCTTTGATTCCTGCTCAACTGTTTATGATACAGACCAGTTCTTCATGCTGCTGTTTTTCCAATAGAAATGATTCATTTCAGTTTACAGATCCATAACTTCTACAGTAATGTAGTGACTTGGGCTCAGCAAAGACAGTAAACTTCATTATACAGTTGGTAACCTGATGCCTGCTTCAGTTACTTTCCACATTTTTCTTCATTCATACCTTGTGGGCATCTCTGGTTTACAGTACTTTAGTTTATCCACCCATAGGTCTTCTACTACTGGAATTTTAAAATCTACATCATTCAGTTCCACTATTTCTTCTTATATAGCTTATTGATAAAATTTGATGATTAATACTGAAAATATTCAGGGATGCTTTTTTATATTACATCCTTCAGACTCCTCCTTTGACAAGTACCTCATAAACATAACACTGGCCATAGTTTTGTTAAGATTCCTCGTAGGGTAACATCCTTTAATATCCTTCCATGCTGTTACAGAAGCATAAATACTGCATCTTTAAGATCAAAAGGAGCCTGAAATTTCCACACACTGCAGTCAGAATTCATTAATTTGTGAGTGAAAGATGCCCACTCATCCACTCTTGAACTTCTGGATGACACCTTGATTCATTGGCTGGATTAAAGAAGTCCTTTTTGCAGGCAGGTAGGTGACAAAGCTGTTTCCACAAATAAGATCCAAAGTTGGAGGAGCTCCCCTGCAGTTATCTGAGAAAATGATATTTTAGCTGGCCTTAGTCACTCAGGTTTTCATTCATATTCAGTATCACATGAGGAAAAGCCATCTCTGAAAGGTCCTGCAGTCATCCCAACACTTCTGTGAATATCCTGGAGTAAAGTAAGATGTGTAGCACCCAGGCTTTGGAACATCGCTTTGCACAAACACCCCAGGAGATATTACTAGCACAAACAAGAACAATGATTCTGTTTTTTCTCTTTTAACTTTAAAGAAACCATGAGGACTCTGTTTTCATCAGTCAGATTATTATTGGGCAAATAACGTCAAAAAAGTACAGATTCATCTTTCTTATAGAATTGATAAGATGTCAGATTATGCTTCTGGACCAAAAATATTGAAAGTTTCATGAAGTTATCTGCAGCCTAGTGTCAGCAACTGCTTCATGACAGACATCCTGCTTACAGATGCTGTGATGTAATCTGAAGTTGTAATGAAATTTCACATCAGAAGTTGTACATTTTCAGTGACATTTAATTTTATCCTTTTTATTAACATAGATCTTGTTATTAGATTTTCCTTAAAATGCCTATTTGAAAAACACAAGGTACACAATCCATTTGAAACAGTATAGGAATTTTTAAACTTTGTTGCTTAAGATTCTCAGAATAGCTATAAATGATTGTTGAATATTGGTGGTTCCAGCCAGCTGTATACATCAGGATTACTGGAGGAACCTTTAGAAATGCAGCCATGTTGGCTCCAGCACAGGTCAGAATCTCCCAGTTAAGAACCACTTTGTTGACTCATGCTTTTGAACTGATTAATACTCACAGTCCTCTTTTTACCTTATTCCTTTGTGACTTCTAATTTCTGCAGTATCATCAGAGTGGTGGGCTTTCTTTTCATATATTGATGACTTGTATTTTCTGTTGCTTGAAGCCATTCTAGATATCAATTGGCCAATTCAGTGGAAATTATCTAAAATAACCCCAACAGTATAGGATTAGACTTTTGTACTGTCACAGAAGATAGCCAAGGTCAGGAGCATATAATATCTATTTCACGCTTAGTCTGCTGTGGAGGCATGTCATAAAACCTCAGTCAGGTAGCGGTCAGCGGAGCCAGGTCTCCCTGAGATGACCCACCTTTCACTGTGTTGGTCCAGCCCCTCATAGCGATCCACTCATAGAGCAGGCCACTGGTATCAGGTCTTTTGAACTTTGGAAAGCATTCAAATTTCTGGACTATAAAACCAGATTGAGTATACATTACACATTCTGTAATGAGCTCTAACTGAAGATGATATAGAACATATAAAAGACCTAGTCCCAGTTGTTTAGAAAAGTACAGGATTTGAACGAGAGAAATGGCAAAAATAACAAACGATAGAGGATCTCACTTTATGCTTAGAAAATATAGATGTTCTCATTTTACGTTTAGAAAAATTTGTGTAAGTTAGATCTTGAAACAAAATTTGGCCAGAGAAACAATCTCATAAACAATAGCACATTCTTAGCCTAGCTTATTAAAGTCTGCAACCCAAAACACTAAAAAGTATTCAGTGCTGCTGGACTCAGTCACCAAACTGTTTTACATAACTGTTAAAATTTTGAGTGTGTTTTTTATAATTCTTTTTTGGTGGTGGTGGTTTTATTGTTTGGCTAGGACTGCTGGTTCAGTGTTGAATAGCAGTAATATTAGCAGGCATAATTTCACTTCCCGCTTTTAATGAAGATGCTCTTAGCTATGTCTTTTTGATAAACACCCTCTATCCAGTTAAGGAAATTCCCTTTTATTCCAAACTTGCTAACGTTGTTGGGTTTTTTTTTTTAAGTCATAAACAGGTATCTATCATATGTTTTTCTGCACTTACAGAGCTAGTCATTCATATAGCCTTTTTCGTGTTTAATGTAGTCATATGATGAATTACTTAGATTTTCTAATATTGAATAGCTTTCTTTGTTTTGGTGCACTGGAACACTGTATAGATTGGGCTTTGCCAAAAATTCCATATGCAGGTTTTGTGTTCTGGAGAGATCATAACTCCTAAGTCTTCCTTCTCACAGACACGCTTTTTAGTTGTGTTACTCCAGAGAAGGCCCTGAGATGGAGTGGGACTCTAGGATGTGGGCTTAGAATGAGCATTTTACTATCTATCTATCTATCTATCTGTCTGTCTATCTATCTATCTGTCTATTTATTTTTGAGACAGAGTCTCGCTGTGTCGCTCAGGCTGGAGTGCACTGGTACGATCTCGGCTCACTGCAAGCTCTGCCTGCCAGGTTCACACCATCTCCTGCCTCACCCTCCCAAGTAGCTGGGACTACAGGCACGTGCCGCCACACCCGGCTTATTTTTTTTTTTTTAGTATTTTTAATAGAGACAGGGTTTCACCGTGTTAGCCAAGATGGTCTCGATCTCCTGACCTTGTGATCCGCCCACCTCGGCCTCCCAAAGTGTTGGGATTACAGGCATGAGCCACCGCGCCCAGCAACATTTTACTTTTTAATGAGCTTTGTTAAAATCAGAATCACTGGATAATTCTGATACCACTTAAGAGGAGTCCAAATTCCTAACATAGCCCCTCCGTAATCTAGAGCAGCACCGTCCAGTGATGGAAGTAGGGCAGCCACTAGAGCCACTAGCCACATGTGGCTGTTAAGTACTTGAAATGTGGCTAGTGCAACTGATGGACTGAATTTTTAATTTTATTTAATTTTCATTTCAGTTTAAATTTAAATGGGCTTGTGTGGCTAGAAGTTACGTTTTTGGGAAACATACTAGAGTCTAGGCCCTATTTGATTTCCCGCCTCTCTTCCACCACCTGTTGAATCCCTATGCTCTAGCTGTATTTAGTTACTTGATATTATACAGTTATACCATCTTTTTAAAGTTCTTCTCTGTCTAGCATGCCTACCTCCTCCTCACCAGCTACCTGGCAACTTTTGACTTGTTCCTTAGAACTCTCTTTAGTTGTGGTCAAGTCATGAAGCTTTTCCTGCCCCGGCCTCTCTCTGCAGCGAGAGTTAGGGGACTTCTCTTTTGCATCTTCATTGCACTCAGACATCTGGTACTCTGTGATTATCACACTTATTAATGCTCTCAAGATAGAGATAAAATCTTATTCATCTTTTTGCTCTCAGGCATTAGCACATGGGGAGTTCTCAGAAAATACCTGTCTTATACCAGGAATTAATGAATAATCAGTAGGAATGAGCATGACATGTTCATGGGACGTTGGAGGGTAGTGCATGGCTGCAGAGGAGAATGGGAAATGAAGGTCAGATAAGTTACGTGAGGGATCTCTAAGGCCAAGAGAAGCCATTTAGGTTTGATTTGGTTGGAAAATGAGCTTATTGAAAGTTTAAGGCAAGGGACTAGCATCATGAACACATCTTTTTAGGGAAGTGTGTCTTGTGGTAAGCTGCTGGCTGGTTTAAATGCAGCAGAATATTCCATTGGGGATGCCAGCTGGGAGACTTGCCACAGTTGCAGCCTGCAGCAGAAAGACCCTGGGCCAGAATGGGTTGTGCCATCTGTCACCAGATATTGCCAAGGTAGATCTGGCTGACTTTGTGGGACAGCTTGTTTCTCAATAATCACTTTGCAGGCACTCTTGAGGCTGTGAGCATGCTCCCAGAAGATAGCATTACTTCTCTCTCAGAGCAGGCTCCTTTCTAAGGAAATGCAAGTCTAGGCCTGCCCTGCTGTAATCTTCATGTGGAAACAGCACTCTAGCAAAGAACAAGGAACCTGATGAGCTTTTCAAAGGAAAATCGAGTAGATACAGGAAACCAAGAATTTTCTAATGAGCAGATAGAAAAGAGCAGGTAGGTGAGAAGTTGGTATTAGAAAAATTAAAGATTTGAAGGGCTTGAGGACAGAGATGATTGTTGGATGTTTCATTTTTCCAGGCAAAATATGTGGAGCAAATAATCAAATGACATGGACTTACCCCACAATTAGGGACGGAGATGAGGAAGGGTTAGGAATAGTTTCTGTTAGAATGGTAGGGATGGAAGACAATTGAAAATTAAAGAGAAAATAAATGGAGAGGAAATCTAGGCAGCAGCCATTCTTCATTCTGGGGGAAGGTGGTCAGGAAAAGGAAGGAAGAAAAATGTATAGCATAGTAGCTAGAGTGGTCCGGCGTGATCAAAGTGTTTTCAATATCATGTTGACTGACCTGTTTACGTTTGAAGGCAGAGAAGATAGAGCCAGTAGAAGGAGAGAAAAATCAAAGCTGTTTTACGGAGTTGTGAAAGAGCTGGATAAGGACAAGACTAAATGAGTTATTTTTAGGCCAGGCGTGGTGGCTCATGCCTGTAATCCCAGCACTTTGGGAGGCCAAGGCAGGTGGGGCACCTGAGGTCAGGAGTTCAAGAGCAGCCTAGCCAACATGGTGAAACCCTGTCTCTATTAAAAATACAAAAATTAGCTGGACATGGTGCATGGTGGCAGGTGCCTGTAATCCCAGCTACTCAAGAGGCTGAGGCAGGAGAATAGCTTGAACCCGGGGGGCGGAGGTTGCAGTCAGCCGAGATCATGCCAGTGCATTCCAGCCTGGGCGACAGAACGAGACTCCGTCAAAAAAAAAAAAAGGAGTTATTTTTAAATGGAAAGGGCAAGACAGTTCTCGGAGAGACTTGGAAGGTGAAGCAGGTTAGAGACAGCACATCAGAGTATGCATGTGACAGGAGGCTCAGAGAAGAGGGAATGCTGGGGAAAATGTGACTGTTAAAATTCATAATGTTGCTTTTTCCTACAGCAAACAAAATTAATGGAATTCCCTCAGGAGATGGAGGAGGAGGAGGAGGAGGAGGTAATGGAGCTGGTGGTGGCAGCAGCCAGAAAACTCCACTCTTTGAAACTTACTCGGATTGGGACAGAGAAATCAAGAGGACAGGTGCTTCCGGGTGGAGAGTTTGTTCTATTAACGAGGGTTACATGATATCCACTTGGTAAGTACAATTTTAGCAATGTTATATATGGCTGGAAGTCACTTCCCTATGAATAATCATCAAACTCTGTTGTCATTGATGACTTTCAAGTTGTGGTTAATGGAATATTTGTTTTTAATAATGTTTTAATAAATATTTTATTTTAAAGATCAAGGCTTATTAATATAAATTACGGTATCCCTTAAAAGAAGTTGATAGTAATTCCTTACTGTCATCAGTAGTCAGTGTTTATTGCATTATATCTTGTAACTGGTGTTTTACAGTTGGTTTGTTCATATCAGGATCTAAAGTCTTCACATTGAATTTGCTTAATATGTCTCTTAGGCCTTTTAATCTACAACAGTCTCCTCCCACCTCTTTTTTACCTACTATTTGTTGACAAACCAGGTCATTTGTTCCCTAGAATTTTCCACATTGTAGATATTGCTTGTTTTATCCCCAGGGTGTCCCGTAATGTGTTCCTCTGTCTCTAATATTTCCTTTAAAATGTTAGCAACAGAGGCTTAATCGGATTCAGGTTCAGTACTTTTGGCAAGAATGTTTCATTAGGTGGTTCTGTGTTCTCCTGTGGAGTCACATCCCATCTCAGGCTGGCTGGGCTGTGTCTCTCTCATTGTAATCCTGACGACCAGTGGGCTTAGAGGGTGTCAACCTGATCCACCCAGTAAAAGTTCCCCTCTTATATCATGGTTTGAGCTCCCAAAAATAGTTTTGCACTGGGAGGGAGGATCATTGCTCAGATCGTTATTTCACTAAGGATTGCTATTGTTCACCTTCTAATTCTATCATCTTTCTGCTTTTATCGAACTTTTCTCTCACCAGCTCTTTAGTGCCCTGTAACACAGTTCGTACAAGAAAAGCAATATAAATATCTACATTTTCTCCTTTACTTAACATTTTTCCAAATAGTGAGCTGGTTCCCTAGGGGATCTTCTAGAAGTGACTAGGAATTTGTTTTTTTAATTTGTTTAATGTCATTTAGTTATTATGAATTTTTTGGAATGCCTTATTTTAAGGTCATTGAAGTCCTCATTAGTTCACGCACATAAGCAGCTTTTTAGAAAAAGGAAGAAAAGCACTACTGTGTTATTACTGGTTAATCCAGTACCAGGAACTTCTAGTACAGTTCTAGAAAGGTGCTTTGCAGCATGTAGCTTGTATCTTTTGCTTCCCCTGGAATTTAAGCTTCAAGGCCAGCACACTCTGGTATATGTGCTGAGAAACATGTGATGGGGCTGCCCAGCCACGTCGGGGAAAGAAGGAAGATGTCTTGAGGTGCAGTGAGCTTGCCCACTAGTAATTATTGTCTGATCAGTGTCCTAGAGTCTGACTGTGCCTTTTAGGCATGGGGAAAGGTAGAAGAGGGACTTAAGAAGAGAGCTAAAGCTCCTGGTAGATTTGTGGGGTTTTCTTTTGTTTGCCTGGTGTCCTTAACCATAGCCTGTCAAGAGAACAAAGGTGGATATATTTTTCAGTGAACACATACATGTTTAATAGTCATTCTGGAAAATATTTCTAATACCTTCTTTGGAATTTTCTCATGCTATAAATTTAGATTTTTAAGAATTGGTCATATCGCACCAATTTTAGACTAAGAGGTGTAGGATCGTCACTGCCCCCCCATGGTGCCCACCATGTGGCTACTAAGTGGGGTGCACATTAAATGCGGACAACTTGCTTAATTATTTATAGGGTCTGCAGGAGCACACTATTCCTGCTTTTAGCACAGCACTCATATAATTTTTTTTTTCCCCTCCAGCCTTCCAGAATACATTGTAGTGCCAAGTTCTTTAGCAGACCAAGATCTAAAGATCTTTTCCCATTCTTTTGTTGGGAGAAGGATGCCAGTAAGTGATTTCTGTTGGATTTTATGAATGCTGACGTCCATTGTTTCTACACAGTGAAGTAAGGATTCTACCTCTCCCCTAGCTCTGGTGCTGGAGCCACTCTAACGGCAGTGCTCTTGTGCGAATGGCCCTCATCAAAGACGTGCTGCAGCAGAGGAAGATTGACCAGAGGTAATTGAGAAATGGTCATTGTCACTTTAGATAGTTTTACTTGTTGTGTAACTACAGTGAGTTCCCTACTAATTGAAAATAACAAAATGCATAGTCTTACTAATTAGTTAGCACCATGTTTTATATAAGAATTGCCATTTTGAAAAGAATGTGATAATATTAAAATTAACTGACATTGGAGTTACACTAAATATAATTTAATTATTTGGTTTGTAAGACACTTGTGGATCTTACATTGCTGACATCTTGCTATAGCATTTCCTATAACATACTTTCAAAGTGCAGTGATATCCAGTTGAGACACTTCAGGATAAATCAAACTTTTCTTGTAGTTTGATGTGTCTTATTTAGGTCTACACATTTGCAATAGCTAGAACAGTGGTTTTAATTAGCCACCACAGACGAGTCTGGCATCATCTGCTGTGGTCATTAGTAACCTCCACGTCATTAAAGTAGGAGGCCTTTCTCAGTTGTGCTCATAGCAGTGAGCAATACTATTGATCACTCTCTCCTTAAACCCGCCTGGGCCCTCAGCCTCTGCTCCTCTCCACTCTCCTGAAGCTCCTCTTCCTCACTGGCACTCCGTGCCTTCTGCAGACCCATCCTCTTCTCTCCAGACATTACACAGATTCTAAGGCCGCTTCCTCATGTTCTGTATTCTTTTCCTAAAGAAGTTTCCCCAAGAATGTGGCTTTAGTGACCAACACATTTATATCTTCAGTCTACCTTGACTTCTACATGGAGGTCTCAAAGACCCCTTAAACTCATTATGTCCAAAACCAAACTCAAGGATATGGCCTCCATGCCCTCCCCCAGCCTGCTCTCAGAAACCGGGGGGTCATCCTGGATGCCTTCCTCTTTCTTTCCCTTCCCCATCACCAATCCCTCCTCAGGTTTTCTCACTTCACTTTTCAGACACCTTGCAAACCCATGTGCTTCCACAAACCCAGCTCCACCTCTGCCTGTGTGTTATAAGTGCTATCATTTCCTCCTTCCATGTCTCCTCCACCCCTGGGCTCCAGCCCCCTGGACTTTCCCTGGTGTTTTCAACCTCCTGACATTGTCCAGCGCTCTTCCCTTCTGGACTGCCTTCTTTGCACTCATCTGGGAACACTCTCCACGCTTACCCACTTGGCACTCCTTGTTTCTTTTTTTTTGAGACAGAGTCTCACTCTGTCACCCATGCTGGAGTGCAGTGGTACGATCTCGGCTCCCGGGTTCAAGTGATTATCATGCCTCAGCCTCCTGAGTAGCTGGGATTACAGGCACCCACCACCACATCCAGCTGATTTTTGTATTTTTAATAGAGACAAGATTTCACCATGTCGGCCAGGCTGGTCTCGAACTCCTGACCTCAGGTGATCCACCCGCCTCGGCCTACCGAAGTGCTGGGATTACAGGCGTGAGCCACTGCACCCGGCTCACTCATTCTTTATATCTCAATTCAAACATCATTTCCTCAAGATAAGCCTTCTCTCCCCTCTAAAGTTTGATCAGACCTCAAAAGTCTATGTTCTTAGAGCTCCTGAGTTTTTAACATTTATTTCAGTTTTTAATTATATATGTGTGTGTTACAGTTTGATTACCGCCTGTCGTTTTTACTCCATGAGATGAGGGACTATGTCTGTTTTGCACACCGTTATATATTTAGCACCCAGGAAGCATATATGATATTTATTCAATACTTGTTGAATAAATGAGGAGTAAATGAACAGATCTTATAAAACAGGCTTATGGAGCCTCAGAAATTGTGTATCACAGTCCTTTTTGGTACAGCCAGAGTGTAGGGTTTTTCCACTGTACCGTAACTGACAGAGCCATATTCACTGAAGCAAATAACCATCAAGTGACCCTCAAATGACCTTCAGTTTTCTGGAAAGGAAGGTGACTATAGTTCACACGAGTCCGTATTCTCTGTGGATTTTGATTTACCTGAACTCCATTTGGAATTAACTGTCTGCTGTGTCATACTCCAAGCCTTGTTTTCATTAGCATACATGCTGATGAAGTGCACAGTTAGGAATTTTGCTGTTAAAGGGACAATTGTAGCATTGTTGGGTGAGAGTTAGTTATAAAACCTTATAATCAGTGGCAGTTTCAGTGATTTATTAAGCTGAAAATTACTTTAATGCCTTTTGTGTTTTCAGCTATCCTATTCTTCATAAGTAGAACAGATCCTCTTTTTTGTCCAACCTCGTCTCCTAACCTTTTTCCCTCAGGTGTGTCATCTAGCCCCACTGGCCTTCTTTAGGTTTCTCAGCAGCCATGCTTGTTACCTGCCACAGGGCCCTTGCACTAGCTGCCCTCTGCCTAGAACATTTTCACCCCAGATCTTTACATTGCTTCTCTATTCATTTAGGTTTCGGCTTCAGTACCATCTTCACAGAGCAGCTGTTTTTCACCATGTGACCTAAAGTAGCCTGTAATCTCATGATTACATCATCCATGGCATTCACCACAGCCCATTTATCTTATCATCTACCCCACCCCACGAAGAATGTCAACCCCCCACTTGCTTGGGCAACACCAGTAGTAAAATTGGAATGATACAGGGAAGGTTAGCATAGCCCTTGCACAAAGATGACATGCAGGTTCATGACACATTACATATTTTAATGAAATGGGAGCATATTCTTGTTATTTAATTTTTAAAAATCAGTTTATCAAGCAAATGTACAGCGCCATTTTATTTTTCATGCCTACATTAAATTCCATACACATAAAGGTGCATAGAGGAAACCTAGAAAGATTGCACCAAAATTTTAGAATTCTGAGTGATTTTGTTTTTCTTATCTTTTCTAGGTGTTTTTAAACATTCCACACTAATTTATATTACTTTTTCTATTCAGGAAAAAAAAAAACAACAGCAGGGTTTTGTTTTGTTTTTTTAAAGTGGTGTGGAAGTTACCCATTGAATATAGATGGGAATCCCAGTCCTGGCTGTTTCCTTTGAAAAGATCTAGAGACCCCATGGCACATATTTATAGTAGCCCATTCTCTCCTAAGAATAGAGGAAGGGTGGGAGGAATTTTGGTGAATGTCTGTACTTGCAGTTTATCCTACAGCAAATCGTTAAGACTGTGGGAATAGGTGCTTTGCATTCTCTAGAGCTGGAGAATGTGCATCTGGTTTGCCATCCTTCTGTCTACATCATGTGGAAAGATGTGGGAGTGTAGGGTCTCCTTAATCTAAATGCAGTGCTGCCCCGCCCCCCCCTTGGCAGTGTTTCTGTTTCCCAGGCAAGTGTTCCAATGGATGTGCTTTATTTTCTCCCATCAGAAATAAGGGAATGAGCCCGGGCGCGGTGGCTCACGCCTGTAATCCCAGCACTTTGGGAGGCCAAGGGGGGTGAATCACAAGGTCAGGAGTTTGAGACCAGCCTGGCCAACATGGTGAAACCCCGCCTCTACTAAAAATACAGAAATTTAGCCAGGTGTGGTGGCGGGTGCCTGTAATCCCAACTACTCGGGAGGGTGAGGCAGGAGAATCGCTTGAACCCGGGAGGGGGAGGTTGCAGTGAGCCGAGATGGTGCCACTGCACTCCAGCCTGGGCGACAGTATGAGACTCCGTCTCAAAAAGAAAAAGAAGGAAATGATCTAATTTGTTCTGTGCACTGCACGTGGGGGTGGCAGTGAGGTGAATGGCAGCATTCTGCAGTAGTCAAAGCCAGATGGGTGGGAGAAGTTGGGTGCTAAGAGGGAAACAAAGTTTACCTGTCTTCTCCTTGATTTCACTCTCAGTTTTATGAGAATACAGAAAAATCATGCAGAGAAACCTGATGGAATAGTCTCTAAAACTAAAAAATAAGATAAGCAATGGTTCTGTCTTAAAAAAAAAAAAGTAAACTCCATGAAGGCAGAGACCTTACCTGTCTCATTCCTCTCTCTATCCCCTGGTCTATAGTAAGGGTTAAATAAATATATGCTGAAATGAATGAGTAATGACTAAAGTATTTTTGTCTTTATTAGGATTTGTAATGCAATAACTAAAAGTCACCCACAGAGAAGTGATGTTTACAAATCAGATTTGGATAAGACCTTGCCTAATATTCAAGAAGTACAGGCAGCATTTGTAAAACTGAAGCAGCTATGCGTTAATGGTAATTTCATTCTTATTTCATATATATAATGAACACAGGATACAGAGTTGCATGAGATGTCAGGAAAAGTGATGTTCTTAAAAATGTAGAAATAGATATATTTAAGGAGTCTATGGAACTATTTGTACAAATTATATATTATTGTATGAGAACTTCAGAACCTCCTAAGGAATTAAGTTTAAACTACTTTTTGTTTTAGAGGGGGAAAAATGAGTGTATTAAATTTCCTTCAGATGATGAAAGGTATAGGAGAATACTTTTATAAAAGCATTTGCTGAGTAGAACACTGTATTACCTTACAGACAAACTTATTAAGATTGTAATACATACAGTTATACTTTGAGATAGGTGACTTGACATGGGTATCAAACAGCTGTGTTATATCTGTAGCATCAGAATTCTGATATATCTGAGCAAACGTACCAGGTGGCTTTCATGTGTCCTGCGGGATGAGTCACATGAAAGCATCTTTGGTGTAATGTGGGTCCTCCTCAAGAGATCCTCTAAGTCACCAGGGAGTCAGCAAAGGCAGCCTTGCAGCAGATCTTGAGCAATGAGTAAGCACTTCCCTGGGGGAGGGCCTTGCAGGGGCGGGGCAGGGGCAAGTTGTTGAAAAAACTAGTGTCCTGAATGATTATGTGCACTCTGGGCAGGGCAGTGAGGATGCCTGTCCTCATGCAGTGGCTAGCCCTCGGCCACGTGAGCCATGCACAGAGGCACCACTGGCAGCAGGGGTGGGGCAGGGAAGCAGGAGGGCAAGGCTTGCAGTGAGAAAGCCAAGGGCTAGGGCCTGGGCAGCTGACCTCACAGGTCAGGAGGGCCAGGATCAAGGCATAGGCTGAGCAGGGACGGCTGGAATTCTTAGCTGTTGGGAGTCAGAGTTGGTTGGACTCCAAGATTTCCCTGAAAGAGCGAGAGAGAAGATGATGGAGCCCCAGGGGAATGCTTTGTTTTGCTTTGTTACAGAATTGTAATGTCTTCTTAAATGCTTATTCCATGTTATTAAAGTGAAAATGCATGATATTTACTTAAAGCTAACTTTTAAATATTAGAAACTGATGTATCTCTTTACTCTGATAGGGATCGTATAAAATAAAAAGTAAAAATGTGTATGTATATAATTTATTACAGAGCCTTTTGAAGAAACTGAAGAGAAATGGTTATCTTCACTGGAAAATACTCGATGGTTAGAATATGTAAGGTTTGTACTTCTTTACTTTCTTTTCCTTTAACTTTTTATTTTGAGATAACTACAGACTCACTGGAGGTACAAAAATAGCACAGAGGGCCATGTACTTACTCTTCATCCAACTTCCCCCAATAGTAACATCTCGTAACTAGAGTACAGCATCCAAACCAGGAAGCTGACACTGGGACACTGGATAGCTCTTACTCACCAGTTCATACATGCTGTCGTCTGTGTGCATGCCCTTAACACAGCTGTGCGATTTTATCACGTGTGTAGGTTCACGTAACCACCACCACAGGGAGATACAGACCTGTTCCATGACAAGGCTCCCCTGTGCTAGCCTTCTTATAGGTGCACCCTCATCGCCATCTGTGTCTGTTGACTACCACTAATCTCTTCTCAATCTCTATAGTTTTGTCATAAGTCAACCCCTTCCTTTTCATAAAGGGTTTATGAATTTCCCTGATGAAAAAGTACAAAATGAGGCCAGGCGTGGTGGCTCATGCCTGTAATCCCAGCACTTTGGGAGGCCAAGGCGGGTGGCTCACCTGAGGTCAGGAGTTCAAGACCAGCCTGGCCAACATGGTGAAACCTTGTCTCTGCTAAAAATACAAAAATTAGCCAAGCATGGTGGCACGCACCTGTAGTCCCAGCTACTCAGGAGGCTGAGGCAGGAGAATCACTTGAACCTGGGAGGCAGAGGTTGCATTGAGTCAAGATCACGCCACTGCACTGCAGCCTGGGTGATAGAGCAAGTCTCCATCTCAAAAAAAAAAATTTACAAAGTGGGGCCGGTTGTGGTAGCTCATGCCAGTAATTCCAAAGCTCTGGGGAGGAAGATCACTTGAGGCCAGTAGTTCACAACCAGCCTGAGCAACACAGTGAGACCCCATCTCCACAAAAAAGTTGGAAACTAGCCAGGCATGGTGGCATGTGCCTGCTGTCCTAGGGAGCCTGAGGCAGGAGGATCACTTGAGGCCAGGAGTTCACAACCAGCCGAGGAACATAGTGAGATGCCCATCTCCACAAAAAAATTTTAAAACTAGGCAGGCATGGTGGCTCGTGCCTGTGGTCCTAGCTGCTCAGGAGGTGGAGGCAGGAGGATCACTTGAGGCCAGGAGTTCAGGGTTACAATGAGCTGTGATATGCCACTGCACTCTAGTGTGGGTGACAAAATGAGAGCCTGTCTCTTAAAAAGAAAACAAAAATTACAAAATATACTCCTTTGAGAAATCGTATAAGTAACTAAAGAAACTTTACGGTAATGCGAAAGCTATGTGCATTCAGTAGAAAGCAGTCAATCCTCTCTTGTGATGCTGAGTAGCAGCAGGGAGCCACAGCTGCCAGTCAGCCACACAGTCTCAGTTTAGGGTATTTTCAGCTTACAGTGGGTTATCATGGGTCATGAGTTATGGGAATATCATGATCAGAGAGCATCTGTAAAGTGAGAAATTAGATTTGCTTGATTTCAAGTACTTTATGTATTTGTAGTGGAAATTTGATTTTTAACACTGCTTTTCCTTTTCTCTCTTCAGGGCATTCCTTAAGCATTCAGCAGAACTTGTATACATGCTAGAAAGCAAACATCTCTCTGTAGTCCTACAAGGTAACTAAAGTAACTCCTGAAAGCACCATGACCACCATACCAGCCAGCCTTGGTTTACTGCTTGTCCCCATTCAAGTAAATCACATCAGTTTTAGCTATTTCTTATTTACTACAGTACCATCAAATACATTACAGATTTTGCACATCATTTGAGTAAAACAGTGGCACAGGCTGGGCGCAGTGGCTGAAGCCTGTAATCCCAGACTTTGGGAGGTCGAGGCGGGCGGATCACTTGAGGTCAGAAGTTTGAGATCAGCCTGGCCAACGTGGTGAAACCTTGTCTCTACTAAAAATACAAAAATTAGTCAGGAGTGGTGGTGTGCGCCTGTAGTCTCAGCTACTCGGGAGGCCGAGGCAGGAGTATCACTTGAACCTAGGAGGCGGAGGTTGCAGTGAGCAGAGATCGCACCACTGCACTCCAGCCTGGGCAACACAGCAAGACTCAAAAAAAAAATAAATAAAAACCAGTGGCACAAGGACTGCAAATAGAAGAATAGAAAGTAGTCCAGTTTTTACCCTTTATTAAATTATCCTTCCTATTTTATGGGAAGGGTGGGTCCCATCCCCTAATGGATTAATACTTAGTGTTAATTTTGACAGGGCATTCTCTCTCTGTAATTTTGCTGTCTAATTTGTACAAATTTGTTTTAGTTTAAATACCTTCTGGCTCATGCTAGATTATGACTCTAAGGAAGCAGTTTGAGATGAAGAAATTTAGACTGAACTGCTGAATAGCTAGTAATGTAATATTTGGTAGGAATAAACGGTGATGTAAAAATCTTTCAGTTAAGCAAAGGATAATTACATATTAAATAACTTACAGCTAATAGAATTTGTAAGTTTGCAGATAAAGTTCAATAGACTAAAAACTACCTTCGTATAATACAGTAGTAGGTCCTTTGTACCCATGGCTTCCCCATCTGTGGTCAACCAACCCAGGACTGAAAATATTGGCGGGGGAAAGCTTTGGCCGTAATGAACATGAACAGACTTTTTTTTTGTTGTCATTATTCTCTAAACAGTATAGTATAACAACTGTTTACATAGCATTTACATTGTATTAGGTGTTATAAGTAATCTAGAGGTAACTTAAAGTGTACAGGAGGATGTGCATAGGTTATATGCAAATATTAACATCATTTTATATCCAGGACTTAAGCATTTGTGGATCTTGGTATCCAAAGGAGGCCCTGGAATGAGTTCCCCATGGATACTGAGGGAAGACTATATACTCATGTTGCATAGTATATGAATACAAAATGTTGCTTAAGCTTGCAGAAGTACTTTTTTTTTTTTTGAGATGGAGTTTCGCTCCTGTCACCTAGGCTGGAGTGCAGTGGAACGATCTCAGCTCACTGCAACCTCCACCTCCTGGGTTCAAGCGATTCTCCTGCTTCAGCCTCCCAAGTAGCTGGGATTACAAGCATGCACCACCACGCCCGGCTAATTTTTGTATTTTTACTAGAGATGGGGTTTCACCTTGTTGGCCAGGCTGCTCTCGAACTCCTGCCCTCAGGTGGTCTGCCCACCTCAGCCTCCCAAAGTGCTAGGATTATAGGCGTGAGCCACCGTGCCTGGCCAGGCTTGCAGAAGTACATTTAACAACTGCCAAACTTGATTGACTTTAACAAGGCAAAAATCTTTAAGACTCTTAGAAAAAAATCAAATAGTAATGTGTCATATAAAGTAATCCTGAACTGATACAGTCAGAGTGTGTGTTTAACTCACAAATGCATGCAGAGCCTAATAATCACAATTTCTCTCATCCAGTGGGTGTTCTCATCGTATTGGAGAACCCTACTCATCCTCCATTTCTCCATGCATTTGTAATAGAAAAGGCCTCAGAAGTAGCACTGAACCTTCATTTTACTAGCATTTTTATATACGTTTATTTTTAAACAGTTTGTTAAAAATTTACATACTATGGAATTCACCCATTTTTAATTTGTAATTCAGTAAATTTTAGTAAATATACAGAGTCTAGTTTTGGAAATTTTTCATCACCCCAAAAGTCCCAGCTCCAGGCAGCCACTAATCTTTCTGTCTCTAGATTTTCCCTTTCTGGGCATTTCATATAAATGGAATCATACAATATGTGGCCTTTTGCCGCTGGCTTCTTTCATTCAACATACATGTTTTTGAGGTTCATTCATGTAGTGTGTATCAGCAATCTTTTCCTTTTTATTTCTGAATTGTATTCCACTGTTTGTAAATGCATTTTGCTTACCCATTTACCTGTTGATGGACATTTGGGTTGTTTCCACTTTGTGGCTGTTATGAATTATGCTGCTTCATTTATTTAGATCTTTCATTTTATCAGCAGTGTTTTATTATGTAAGTCTTATATTTATTTTGTTAAATCTCTTAAGTATTTTATTTTTATGTCACTGTGAATATAATTGTTAATTTCATTTTCAGGTTTACTATGTACTCAGATTGTTGTGTACAGAATTTCTGTAACCTTACTGACCTCATTTATTAATTCTAGTAGTTATTTTGTGGATTCCGTAGGAGTTTTTACATACAGGATCATATTGTCTTCAAAGACAGTTTTTACCTTTTTCTTTCTGATCTGAATGCCTTTTATTTTCTTTTTCTTGCCTAATTGCTCTGGCTAGATTCTCCAGTTCAATGAGATGGAGAAGTGTAGAGAACAGACATCCTTATCATCTTCCTGATCTTAGGGAGAGAGTATCCAGTCTTTCACCAGTGAAATGGGAATAACATTAATTGTAGGTTTTTGTGGATGTCTCTGATCAGTTTAAATATGTTTACTTTTATTCCTAATCAGGAATGAAGGTAGAATTGTATCAGATGCTTTTTCCGCATCTAATGAGATAATCGTGTTGGTTTTGTCCTTTATTACTGTGGTACGTTACTACAATTGACAGATGTTAAACCAACTTTGCATTCCTGGATAATTTGGTTTACTCATATTTTTATTGATTTTTACATCTGTAATCATAAGGGATATTGGTCAATAGTTGTCTTCTGATTTCCCTGGCTGACTTTGATAGCGTGGCAATTCTGGCCTTATTGGAAAGGACAACAACTATAAAAGACAGGAGGGAATCGTTTGCCACAGCTTCAGTTGGTAGTGAACAGTCCCACTCTCCCCATTCACTTCTCAGTATTGCCATGTGGCCTGTCAGTAGAAAGATTACCTTATACTTAATACCTTGACAAAAGAGCAGTAGAATGGAGTCTAGACGGATTTTCTACCACAAACCATTCGAATGTAAAAAGTATGAGTGATGAGCTTCTATTATCTGGCAAATATCCATGTATAAAAGACCATCTCCTATTAAATGCTAATTTAGTTTATCTACAAGTCTGTAATATTTTAGAGTTGCTGGAATCCAGTAAAATTTCCTTATACAGATTTGGAAGGCAGCCTAGGTGTGCAGAATACTAAATTATCTAGTTTACCTTTCCTTCCCTTTCTCTCTCAGCATTTTTCTATGTTGTAATCATTTTCTTTCCATTTTATTAACAGAGGAGGAAGGAAGAGACTTGAGCTGTTGTGTAGCTTCTCTTGTTCAAGTGATGCTGGATCCCTATTTTAGGACAATTACTGGATTTCAGAGTCTGATACAGAAGGAGTGGGTCATGGCAGGATATCAGTTTCTAGACAGATGCAACCATCTAAAGAGATCAGAGAAAGAGGTAACAAAATCTTGATGCCTTTTTATCAGTCTTTAAGGATACACAAAATAAAATTTGTGTCATTAAAAGATGAAGGGGCTTTTAAAAAATACTGTATTTAGTACAACTTAATTTCCTTAGTCCAAAGCTAACTAATGGATTAGAGTTCAAATTGATGTACTTATTATAAAGATTATCGTAACTATGAAGGTGAAATTTTTAAAAGTTGTCTATTGAATTTGTCTAAGTGGAAAACTACTGAAAAAATTCTGAATAAAATACTGAAAAACAGATAACAAGCACATTGGCTATTTTGAAAAATCACTTTTGGAATATCATATTTTCTTAAAATGGGATACATAGGTTAAGATGAAAAGTTTGAGAGGGCCACCTTTGCAACAGCTGTGGAGTTAGTGGCTGCCTCGGATCTCTAGTTAGGCTGCGGAAGGCCTTACAAATATCTTACCGGCCAGGCAGGTCAGTCAGATCAGTTTTTAGAAGGTTGTTTCAGAGAGCGCCATTTGACTTGTGGTGTCTCATAAAAAATAGTGGTCACCCGCTACTGCACTTGGGGACACACCACGTGACCTAGGCTCATCCCAAAGTGTTTTCTGAAATATGGGGATGTTTTCTGGATGCTGAGCCTACAGGATCAACCAAACATTAGAGAAGTTTGGTTGATGGTTTTGTTTTGTTATATAATCTAAAGAATTGTTTCTAAGACATGCTTAAACACATATTTTGCTCTTCCCCCTTCATATAGTGGCAACCCGCTCAACTGTGTGCTTTGCTGTTTCAACTTGTTACATGTACTGGGCAAATAAGGGTTGTGATGTTTATCACGGTTGAATGTTACTTCTTGGGTTTGATAGATGTGTATAGCTCAGCTTAGAAGGCAAGTGTTTTAGGCTTCGATGTTTTCTCATTCATCTCTTCTTTAACATCAGCAGTACATTTTGAAGTAAATGTGAACGGCTGAAGGATAACATTAAATGATCCCATTGTCTCTTTGTATTTGCCAGTCTCCTTTATTTTTGCTATTCTTGGATGCCACCTGGCAGCTGTTAGAACAATATCCTGCAGCTTTTGAGTTCTCCGAAACCTACCTGGCAGTGTTGTATGACAGCACCCGGATCTCACTGTTTGGCACCTTCCTGTTCAACTCCCCTCACCAGCGAGTGAAGCAAAGCACGGTAAGCAACCCTGTGGCTGTGGCTACGTTTTCCCTGTTTTTACAACTTTATCGAGGCATAATTGAAGTATAATTCACTGCCTATTTAAAATCTTATGATTTAAAATTCTTACTGCCATTTTCAGCTGAAATTTCTGAATGGATTATTTTGAAGACACAAAAATCTAGGAAATTATTTTTATGAATGAACATTTTTTGTTTTACTCTAATGTAAATGTTTTGTAGTAAACCCCTTTAAAGATGTAAATTACTTTAACCACCTTAAATGTCATGCTTTTGTATTTATATTTCACATTTGGGCTATTGGGTAGTAAAAAACAAAAGCCCTGTTACACGACATTTATTTCCTAGGTCAGTAGGATAAAAAGTTGTACAAAACAAGATTATTTTCCTTCACGAGTTTGAAGTTTCTGGTCACAATTCATTGATGTAGAGGATTTATGACTAAGCAGGGTCTCAAGCCAAACTTGAAACCATTCTGAACCAAAGTGCCATTTCACCCACCTCGAACCAACAACAGAAGCTGACAAATGCCGTGGAGACCATTGAGAGAAACAGAAAGGGGCAGCTCTTGTGGACCTTCAGGAAGCCTTTCTAGGAAGAGGATTGCCCTCATAGTGAGCTCCGGGGTCTTCAGCCTCAGCCGTAAGGCCCTGGGCTAGGCAGTGTGACCTAGGGAGCGGGAAACCTGAGTTCTGGCCCTGGTCTGGGAAAAGTGCTAGGCCCATGTTCCACTCAGGCTTCAGCCTGAGAGTCCAGGTTGCTAACCTGTAAAATGGATCTGTCAAACTAACACTTATGCCTTTAGTCTCATTGTATGAGGTGAAACATTTTGTAAACTGTGAATCATTATGCAAATTTTCCTAAAGACATATGAATTATTCTGGATTTGTTGGTATAAAAGACAAAACACACTGGTCAGTTAAGGAGCTGATTTTATTTAGGCTATTGCAGGAGGGAGAACTTAATTAATGGGCATCCCAAAGAAAAGGACAAGGCCTGGGATTTTATAGTCAGAAGACAGGGGAATCAGGAGGGAGGGCAGTCTCAGTCCACAGGAGCCAGTTCTCAGGACACAAAAGGCAGGAGAGATTGTCCAGCATTGCCACTTTTGGGGAACCCAGGGCTCAAAGAAACTCAACACCGTCAGCCTGTCTCTACAAAAAATACAAAAATTAGCCAGACATGGTGGTGCGCACCTGTGGTCCCAGCTACTGGGGAGGCTGAGGTGGGAGGATGGCTTAAGCCCAGGAGGCAGAGATTGCAGTGAGCTGAGACTGTGCCACTGCACTCCAGCCTGGGTGATAGAGCCAGAGTCTGTCCCCTGCCCACCCCACCAGGAAAGTTTGACCTTTCCAGATACTGTGCTGAGAACCAGTGATACAGGCTTAGAGGCTCCTGAGGCATGGAACGCTCATTTGTTCCTAAAATACATGCTCTCCCAGTTGCTTGTTTTTATTTTTCGTCACCATAATCATTCTTGGGGCCCCTCTCTGCCTCGAGCTAGGCTTTCCCCCTGGCCTTGTTTGCCTCCTTCAGCTCTTCCCCATTGTCTCCCGTCACTACCCCGTGCGCACACAGTGTGAGCCTGCAAAAGGTGCGTGAGGCGAGGACAAAGACTTTGGGGTCTGGGGACTGGGCAGTGCATGGGTGGGTATCTGCGTGGAGGACTCCCAGCCCCCAGACACCACTGCCTCTGCTGCTTGGCTGATGCTGTGTGTGCGGACAGACTTCTCACCAGGAATGAACATTACTGAATTGTATTGAGGGAGCTGTAAAAAATACTTTCTACAAGTATTTCCTCTGCTTTCCCTGTTCATGTTCTAGTGCTCTTTTTAATTTGGCTCTTTCAAAAGCCTTTTCTGACAAATACTAACATGAATCCCCCTCTCCCTTCCTCCCTAGCAGGAACTGGTCATTGTCTAAGGGTCGTGATTCTTAACCGTTCTCAGCCCCTTCCACACAGGCAAAAGCCCAAAGCATTTCTTCCTTTTTTTTCCATTCTGAGGCCACCTTAGGTGCTAGTGGCCAGGTAGTGTTTATAGAAAATCTGGTCTCTCTTGGGATAAATATTTTTAATTTTTACCTTTTAAAAAAGAGAACATCTTTTTTTTTTTTTTTAAGACAGTTTGGCTCTGTCACCCAGGCTGGAGTACAGTGGTACAATATCAGCTCACTGCAACCTCTGCCTCCTGGGTCCAAGCACTGCTCTCGCCTCAACCACCTGAGTAGCTAGGACTGCAGGCGCATGCCACCACGCCTAGCTAATTTTTGTATTTTTTTGTAGAGTCAGGGTTTCGCCATGTTGCCCAGTCTGGTCTTGAACTCCTGGACTCAAGCAATCCGCCCACCTCAGCTTCCCAAAGTACTGGGATTACAGGCGTGAGCCACCGTGCTTGGCCAAGAGGACATTTTCTATATACTTACTGAAGGGCCATTAAAACACGTTTGGGTTCATGTTTTACTAGATTTCAGCTCTTAACAGTGTTTGAAGCAAATGGATTGTTTTTAATCCATGTACATGATGAAATGTCAAGTAACTAAAATTTTTTTTTTTTTTTTTTTGAGACAGAGTCTTGCTCTATCACCCAGGCTGGAGCACAGTGGCATGATCTCGGCTCACTGCAACCTCTGCCTTCCAGGTTCAGGTGATTCTCCTGCCACAGCCTCCCGAGTAGCTGGGACTACAGGTGCACACCACCATGCCTGGCTAATTTTTGTATTTTTAGTAGAGACGGGGTTTCACCATATTGGCCAGGCTGGTCTTGAACTCCTGACCTCGTGATCCGCCTGCCTTCGGCCTCCCAAAGTGCTGGGATTACAGGCATGAGTCACCACTGCGCCTGGCCAAAACTGTTAAGAGTATGTGTATTTGGTGCTTAATGAATTTTTACTTATTTGAAATAGAAAATTTTGTAAAACTTTACAAAATGCCCTGTGCTGTTACACAGCTTAGCCATTTCTTGATGATTCAAGCCGCCACTGTGCCAGGGAATGCCACCTGGCTGTGATGTAGTCATGGCCTCCTGACTGCTATATTCTTGTCCTAATAACATTCATTGTTTGCCTTTTTAATAATTTCCAAATAAATTCTTGGGGGTTTTTTTTTGGTAGAAAATTTGGAGAGTACTGAAAGGTACAGAACAAAGAATCAGACATTTCCCATCATCCAGCGACTTTGTGTCTGGAGTTATTTCCTCCAGCGAACTGTTGTGTATACACTGCTGTGGTAGCCTGCTGCCATCAATCAGCTGAGATGAGAGTCCTTTCTCCACATTGCTAAATGTGACTGTGCTTCATAGAAATGGTCTGGGCTGCCTTCCAGAGGAGCTCCATGTCTTCCTCACAATGCGGTGGTTGGCTGTCACCCTGTAGCCTTGTGTTGCCTCAGTTTACTGTGGTGGGAAGCCAGATAACTAGGCTGCACCCGCCCAGAGTCCGGGCTAGAGGTGGACTCCTGTGAAGGAGGGGTCTCCTGTGTACATGGTCTCCATGGTTTTAGCCACATGCTAGGACCACAGGGAGTTGATCCCTTCCTTCCTACCCTGAGTCTGTGGTCTGTGATTTGAGATCACTGGCTCAGTGAAGTGTAGCTCCCCACTTACGAAGTAAGTTATAAAATTGGTGGCAGTGATTTCCATCCAAAGATTTTGTTAATCCACTTACCAACAGGTAACTACTTAAATGTACTGACCGTGTGCTCATAAAAGTAAAATACTGTAATTATAGAAATAAATTCAACATGTTTAAGACTTTCTAGTATCATGTTAGTGAAACTTCTCTTAATAACATTCTTATTGCCCAAAGGGCACGGCTTCCTTGGGGTCCTAAGGCAGAGGGCACCTGAAAAGCACACTCCTTGTTCATGGGGACTGTGGGGCCCTCTGAGCTCAAAGGCCAGGAGCGTCTCCTCTCTTGAAGTGAAAGTGCCACTCTGGTGGGTTTTGAGGGCTGCAGTACAGAACATTTAACCTGTGTAATGATGAGTGGCTCATCTGAAAAAAGGCATTCATGAGAGAATCTTTAGTTTTGCAAATATTTATTTATTTATTTTGCAGGAATTTGCTATAAGCAAAAACATCCAATTGGGTGATGAGAAGGGCTTAAAATTCCCCTCTGTTTGGGACTGGTCTCTCCAGTTTACAGCAAAGGATCGCACCCTTTTCCATAACCCCTTCTACATTGGAAAGAGCACACCTTGTATACAGAATGGCTCCGTGAAGTCTTTTAAACGGACAAAGGTAAATCACAGCTAACAAAACGTGATGTTGGCTCACACGTAACCAAACACCTCTTTTTCAGAACAGAGAGCGTTAAAAGTAAAGGCACTTCCAAGAGTAACACTGCTAATGCGGGTTTCTGAGGGGTCATTCCCTTTTTAACTCAAATGACTGTATCCCAGCTTTCTTCCTGGTGTCTGAGGCCCACAAAGTCTCAGTACCTGAGAGTGGGCAGATTGCAGCTTTGAGCCTGCAAGCCTGATTTACTAAAGCCCCATTTATCCATTTCTTGATGATTCAAGCCGCCACTGTGGCAGGGAATGCCGCCTGGCTGTGATGTAGTCATGGCCTCCTGACTGCTATATTCTTGTCCTAATAACATTCATTGTTTGCCTTTTTAATAATTCCCAAATAAATTCTTGGGATTTTTTTTGGTAGAAAATTTGCAGACTACTGAAAGGTACAGAACAAAGAATCAGACATTTGGCCTCCTGACTGCCTCTGTTCAGTTTGCCATTGTTCTTGATAGAATCGGCCAGGTCTAGTGTTTTTTCTAGCCCGTCTTAGAACTTATCCTTAAGCAAATTAGTGGATAGGAGGTACTCTCATCCCGCCCCCATTCAGGCTGATAGTAACAGCCTAGGTAGAGTCAACACATAAAAAAGTGTAATTCCAGGGGAGGAGGATTAGAATAAGGACACAAAGGAAGGGAGGAAAATGTTCTTTGAGGCTGAAATTCCATTAATTTTTCATAGTATTGAGTTTATATTTGCCATTGCATCCTTCAATCTTTCTAAAAAGGGAATCCCCGGAACATAATAAAATCTCTTCTGTATAGAAAAGCTACAGCTCCACACTAAGAGGAATGCCGTCTGCCTTAAAGAATGGAATCATCAGTGACCAAGAATTACTTCCAAGGAGAAATTCATTGATATTAAAACCAAAGCCAGATCCAGCTCAGCAAACCGACAGCCAGAACAGTGATACGGAGCAGTATTTTAGAGAATGGTTTTCCAAACCCGCCAACCTGCACGGTGTTATTCTGCCACGTGTCTCTGGAACACACATAAAACTGTGGAAACTGTGCTACTTCCGCTGGGTTCCCGAGGCCCAGATCAGCCTGGGTGGCTCCATCACAGCCTTTCACAAGCTCTCCCTCCTGGCTGATGAAGTCGACGTACTGAGCAGGATGCTGCGGCAACAGCGCAGTGGCCCCCTGGAGGCCTGCTATGGGGAGCTGGGCCAGAGCAGGATGTACTTCAACGCCAGCGGCCCTCACCACACCGACACCTCGGGGACACCGGAGTTTCTCTCCTCCTCATTTCCATTTTCTCCTGTAGGGAATCTGTGCAGACGAAGCATTTTAGGAACACCATTAAGCAAATTTTTAAGTGGGGCCAAAATATGGTTGTCTACTGAGACATTAGCAAATGAAGACTAAAATAGGGTGTTTTCTGAACATTTTGAGGGAAGCTGTCAACTTTTTTCCTCTGAATTAACATTGCTAACCTAGGCGTTTGAATCTCTAATAACTTTATATGTAAGAATAATAGTTGGAATTTGCACTAATATTTAAAAACATGTTGAATCATGCTTCTTTCACACTTATTTTAAGAGAGATGTAAATTTTGTTCCTGTCCTCTTTCTGTCATTACAGGTCTGGCTCTTGTAACCGTGATCAAACTGTTCATGTTGTCTGCTACATTTTTGTCTCCATCCATTTTTCCTACCACCTCCTGAAGGCTATCTGATAGTCAGTCACATTAGCAGCCCCAGGCAGCAGACAACAGGAAAGTTAGGAAATTTGTGTTTCGTGTCATTTTTAGGAGCATCTGATAAAACCTCCAGCAGGTTTTAGGAAGTATTCATGTATTTTTCTGGTTACTTTCTGTCGTCTCTAATTGAACTCACCTGATGAAGGTTCAGTGTTCTGGGGCCAGAATTTATGATTTTAGATCACCTTCTTTGGAACCTTAGATCACTGTGTTTTGAAATCATGAGTTTGCTTTTAACTTCATAGGGTCAACTTTAAAATGATATGCACTGTTAATTTTAAAGCATTTGCTGCAGATAATTAAACTTAGAAGTGCCTTTGACTTTAGGATACAAATATTACAGAAGAAAATATAATTTCACTTTTTAAAATTGGGGTGGGAAAATCCCATTGCATATTTGAAATAGGCTTTTCATACTAAGCTTCATAGCCAGGAGTCCCCAGAGTCTTGTTCCTCTGAAAGCCACTGGGGAGTGGCCTCTGGGGTGCTGATTCCACAGAGGTGTATGCTGTAGACAGGAGAGTGCCATCTATGCCAAAACTCGCCCTCAAAAACAAACAAGGCTTGCTGGGAGGCGTGCTGGGCTTGGCCATCAGTATTTCCAGTGTGGTAAACTATTGCTGGCACTTCCCCCTGGAAATAACTAATGAGGTTACGAGTTGGGCACCTGCACAGATGTCCTTCTCTCATAGTTCCTAATGCTTAGGAATAGAGGAGAAATAAAAAAATGGATTCTCTCAAAACACTGCCATTTGAATAGCGACAGAAGTGCTCCCCCAGCCCCCAACTTTGGACAGCAAAGTTGAGGAGAATGAGCAGACACAGTTGTTTGCTTGATCTGAATCTCTCTAAAGTAAAGTATTTCCAAACTGTGTGACAAGAGCCTACCTACCACTGTAGCGGTCAAAGCTGAAGCTTCTTACAGCAGTGAAACGGGGCACCACCTCCCCCACACTCCTCATTCCCCGCTTAAAACATGGATACTTTCAAATTTGACTGTTTCTTAAACTGCCATCCTAAGATATGGAAAATTTTTATAGTAAAGTGTCTAGTTAGCTTATTTCCTTTTCTAAAACAAGTGTTTTCAAGATAACTGTATTTTACCTTTATATGTACTGAATAGCTGTTTCTTTTTGAATTATTTGCCTTTTAAAATTTGATAATGTCTCTGGATATAACAGGACAGGAGTTCTTAAAAAATATCTTAAGAAATTCACTTTATGGGTAAACCCAAGGTTTTTGCCAACTTGTTGCCTAGAAAATAAGGGCTAGTTTCAGTTTATACAAATAGAATTATTAAACATTTTACAGTCCTTGATTAGAAACCAGACCCAATCTCCTTATAACACCACAGCGTATCCTGCCATTGACAGTGTAATCACAATTCTCCCTTTTTCATTTAGCTGCTTTTTTATTATTACTAAATGTTTTGGATTGAGCATTTTTCCCTCTGTAATTTTCTTCCTTCACGTTTATTTTAACTCTTGTAGTATTTTATTGTTGTTAATTTACAAGTTTAAAAATATTAGGTACTATTAATAATGGTTAAAAATAGAAAAATGCATATTTTTGTATGATAATCAAATGTAAAATACTTTTATTTTTGCTGGACAGTTGTTATATCATGATTATTGTGCTACAGTTTATTGTGCATAATATGAAAAACAACTATGACAGCCTTCAGTCGGGCCAGGGTGAAGCTGCTTATACCACCTCTGCCGTCAGAGGGACATGTGGTGACAGCAGTGGTGTGGCTGCACAGGGCGCACTAGAGAGAGCTCAGCACCCCTGCTGCCCGCCAGCAGAGCCCGTGCTGAGGGAATGCCGCACAGATGCTGATGCACTGGGTGAAATTTCTAGTATTGAACGTAAAGGTGTACAGTGTCTTGCTGTTATTTTATGATGGAAACTGATTTTGAAACCAAAAATAGCTAACTAACTTTATTTAAGGAAAGGATATTAATTTGTACTAACAGAGGGTGAAAGCTGTTCACATTTGTCAACAAAATCTGCTTGCTGCAGTAGTAACCTCAAGTGGTTAAAACTTGATTTCCCGAGAAAACTAAAACCTTTGTGCCTAAAATTGATGACTTGAGTTCAAGTGGGATGAGCAAGAAGATGTGTTATCTTGTTGTTCAACAGTATTGAATGTGAAGGAAATTTTGATGGCTTAATAAAATTCCACAGCGACTGTTTGTTGTTGTCAGTATGAAATCATCTACTGGAACACAGTGATTGATAGAAGAGGTGAAGGCATCTTCTCCTACCCATACTTCTGTGTCATCCATGGGATGTTTCTGCTTGCCCTCTAAAGCCAGGTAGTGATCAGTAACTTTTTTTAACAGCAATTCGGAAGTGGCTAAAGTTAAAGCCATGTGGATATTGATAGATCATGCCCTAACTGGTCCTTCCATTCAATAAATAAATATAAAAACTGGGGAGTAATATTCCCCCAAGAAGGCTTCAAAGAAGTCAAGAGACAGACTGGGGTTCCAGTCCCTGACTCCCGGGCCTGGCGCATGGATAAATCACCTTTCTACCACACCCCCTTGCCCAGCCTGAGACCCTCCCACAATGGTGATGAGCAGCCGATTTGACTGTACTGTCAACAGAGAAAATACCCCTATCTAGTTATTAGGGATGGTCCCAGGGAGATGGACAATGAAGGACAACTGCCTCTGATAAAGACTTCATTCCTTTCATGATCCGGGCCCAATCAGTAGAACAAGCATTTACATGTTATAAATCAACACAACTTCATGAGAATGTTTTGATTCCTAAAGAAATTGGAATTTCAACTGTTTCAGCCCTTCTTAGATAATCATAAAAGTTTAACAGCTAAATGTGTATAGGGCAGTAAAGAAAAACTTAATTCAAGAATCTCGGTTTCCCATATAATTAATTACTTGAAGGAAACACTGGTTATGCTAGTTTTTAAATTTTTTTTTTTTTGAGACAGAGTCTCGCTCTGTCTCCCAGGCTGGAGTGCAGTGGTGCAATCTCGGCTCACTGCAAGCTCCACCTCCCGGGTTCACGCCATCCTCCTGCCTCAGCCTCCTGAGTAGCTGGGACCACAGGCGTGTGCCACCAAGCCCACCCAATTTTTTGTATTTTTAGTAGAGATGGGTTTCACCATGTTGGCCAGGATGGTCTCGATCTCTTGACCTCATGATGCGCCTGCCTCGCTCAGCCTCCCAAAGTGCTGGGATTACAGGCATGAGCCACTGTGCCCAGCCACTACTTTTTTATAAAAAAAACCTAAAGATGAATCATCACTTGTTTTTGAGTTTTCCAGCTTTTTGCACATCTAATCATATAGATGCATCCAGCTCCAATAATGGTCAACAAAATTTTTCTCTTTTAAAAAAGTTCATTATGAGCTGGGTACAGTGGCTCAATGCCTGTAATCCCCAGCACTTTGGGAGGCCAAGGTGAGTAGGTCAGTTGAGGTCAGAAGTTCCAGACCAACCTGGCCAACCAACATGGTGAAACCCCGTCTCTACTAAAAATACAAAATTTAGCCAGGCGTGGTGGCGCACACCTGTAGTCCCAGCTACTGGGGACCCTGAGGCAGGAGAATCACTTGAACCTAGCAGGCGGAGGTTGCAGTGAGCCGAGATCACACCACTGCACTCCAGCCTGGGTGACAGAGCGAGACTCTGTCTCAAAAAAAAAAAAAAAAAAAAAAGTTTATTACCCACTGTGTGGAATCAATGAGTGTATTCAAGCAAACACTGTTTTGTGATATGCAGACACTGTAAAATGACAAGTCAAACTATCAGGTTTATAATGCACGATAACAAAATTAAATAAAACATGTTTTATACTCTTGAAAATCTTACATTAATGTATGACCAAATATCCCCAATTCCATACCTTTTAGCTAAGGCTTTGGCTCTTAGCTCCAACTGCAACCACATGGCAGACTTCTACTTCAGCCCCCAGCTTCTGCAGTTCAGCCAGCCAGATCATCTGCTTATGTGAAAGACGATCATTGGGGCCTTTAACTTCCACCAGCTGGAAAAGAAATTTTTAAAAGTTGTTATTAGTATCTTACTGAATGAAAAGCCATTCAAGTAAGTTGTAGTTGTCACTGACAACTATTTAAATGGCTCTTCTGCTCTCTCACTGTATTTGTAAGTGTAACACAAATATACGGATGGTCCTTCACTTACAATGGTTCACCTTAGGATTTTTTGACTTAAAAATGGTGCAAAAGTGATATACATTCAACAGAAACCATACTCTGAGTGTTGATCTTTTCCCAGTATGATACTCCATGCTGGGCAGCAGCAGTGAGCCACAGCTCCCAGTCAGCCACATGATCATGAGGATAACCAGTACTCTACGGTTTGCAGTGAACTACATGATCTGCCCAACTGTAGGCTAATGCACACATTCTGAGCACATTTAAGGTAGGCTAAGCTAAGCTATGAGGTTTGGTGGGATAAATATGTTAAATGCATTTTCAACTTAACAATATTTTCAGTTGATGTGTAGGATTTATCAGGACATAAGGCCATCATAAGTTGAGAAGCGTCTGTATGTAGCTAAGAAATTTATTCAGAAATTCTTCTATTCTGTAGAAACTAGACAGTTCTTCACAGAGGATGAGTAAACTGATTCTTAGTATAGCAAATGAAAAATTGTTTTAAAGCATGCACTGGATTTTACTTCCTTGCTTAAAACCCTCCGATTACTCTGTTACATTTTCAATTAAATCTAACCTTCTTGCCATGACCAGTCTCTTCCCTACCCCAAGGCCCTCACTTCCACTTGCTACTTGCTGTTCCCGCTGCCTGGGACATTTCTCCCTGTTCTTGACATGCCTGACTTCTTACCTTTCAATGCTCAGCTTAAACTGATCTGGAGAGGTCACAGCTCTAAGTATATCCTCCCTATGCACTTCTTTCATGGCATTCATAAGATAAAAATATATACTACATGTCATCTTCATGAAGGCAAGAATTGTGTGTTTTGTTCACTACACATCACTAGACTTGAAGACACAGCAATAAAAACTATAGGTAAAATATAGAAAAAAATTGTTTAAATACAGCATTTAGCAGCCTAAGGGACATTTAATTAGAGTCCCCAAAGGAACGAGAAAAAAAAATACTTAAAGAAAAAATGGCCAAAAATTTTCCAAATTTGATGAAAACAGTAAACCCAAAGATTGAAGAAAATCAATGAATCCCAGGCACACAAATGTAACGGCACCCTAGGAAATATCACAACTGTATAATCAGGGGATATAGTCAAAGCAGCCAGAATTTTTAAAGCCAGAGGAAAAAAAAAGATTCTCTGATTGGAAACCATGCTAGTTAGAAGACAGTAGACTAATATTTTTAAAGTATTGAAAAATAACTGTCAACATAAAATTCATTGCACGGAGAAAATATCTTTCAAAAACAAAGGTGAAATAAAGGCTAAGACATACAAAACCTAAATACAGCCATCCCTCAGTATCCATGGGGGACTGATTCAAGGACCCCCTCTGTTACCAAAATCCATGGATGCTCAAGTCCCTGATATAAAATGGCATCGCATCTGCATATTCTAGCACATCTTCTCATATACTTTAAATCATCTCTACTTATAATACCTAATATAAATGCTATGAAAATAGTTGTTATGCTGTATTTTTATTTGATTTGTTTATTGTTGTAGTTACTTTTTATTGTTTTTCTTTTTTCCAAATACTTTCAGTCCATGGTTGCATCTACAGAAGCAGAAACCATGGATACAGAGGGCTAACTACTGTAATTCATTACTAGCAGAACTTCTAGACATGGAAATTTTTTCTTTTTCTTTTTTTCTTTTTTTTTGAGACAAGGTCTCACTCTGTTGCCCAGGCTGGTATACAGTGGTATGATCTCAGCACACTGCAGCCTTGACCTCCCAGCCTCAAGCAGTTCTCTCACCTCAGCCTCCCAAGCAGCTGGGACTACAAGTGCACACCACCACACCCAGCTAATTTGTTTATCGTTTTGTAGAGATGAGGTCTCACTGTGTTTGCCCAAGCTGGTCTCCAACTCCTGAGCCCAAGCAATCCGCCCACCTCAGCCTCCCAAAGTGCTGGAATTACAGGCGTGAAAGGAAATTCTTCAAGCAGGAGAATGAGACTACACAGAAACCTGGATCTACACAAAAGAATAGCAAGCACTGGAAATGCTATGTACATGAGTAAATACAGACTCATTAATCAACTGTAGAAAGCAAAAATAATATGTTATAGAACATATAACACGTAGAAGTAAAATATATGAAAACACCACAAAGGCTGGAAGGGAAGATATATATTATTGAAAGGTTCTTTTTACTCTAAAGTGTGTATCACCTGAAGGTGGATAAGTTTAAGATATATAATATACTAACGCAACCACTTCAACACAATGAACAGTTACAGCTAACAAGCCAGCAAAGCTATCAAATGCAATCTTTAAAAATAAGACAGGGCCAGGCACTGTGGCTCATGCCTGCAATCCCAACACTAAGAGACCACGGCAGGTGAACTGCTTGAGCCTGGGGATTTGAGATCAGCCTGGGCAACATGGTGGAACCCCATCTCTAAAAAATACAAAAACCACAAAAATTAGCCAGGCATGGTGGCGTGCACCTGTGGTTCCAGCTACTCAGGAAAAAGACAAGGGACAAAAGAGTTCTGAGACAAAGAGAAAATAAGTATCAGGATTTAAAGCTAAGGATATCAATAATCAAATTAAATGTAAATGTTCCAAACACCCCATTAAAAGACAGAGGTTAAGTTGGATTCAAAAGTAAGACCCAACTATATGATGCCTACAGGAAATCCACATTAAAAATAAGATAAAACAGGTCAAAAGTAAAAGAATGGAAAAATGTATCATGTTAACATTAAAAAAAAGAAGGCTGAAGTGGCTACATGTTGACAATATCGGACAAAGTTGATTTCAGAGCAAAGATTACCAGGTGTAAAGGGGGGGTCACTGCATAATGATAAAAGGGTAGACTCATGAAGAGGACATGACAGTCCTAAAAGTCTATGCGTCTTATAACAGACCTTCAAAATACATGAAGCAAATAGTGATAGAAACGCAAGAAGAAATACACAAATTGGCTGGGCACGGTATACTCTCAGCATTTTGGGAGGCCAACGTGGAGCCCAGGAGTTTGAGACCAGCCTGGGCAACATGGTGGAACCCCATCTCTACAAAAAATAAAAAAAATCAGCTGGGCATGATGGTGCATGCCTATAGTTCGGGCTACTCAACAGGCTGAGGCAGAAGAATTGCTTGAGCCTGGGAGATCAAGGCTGCAGCGATCCAGGATCGCACTGCCACTACACTCCAGCCTAGGTGATAGTGAGAGTCTGTCTCAAAAAACAAAAACAAAAAAAAAAAGAAAAGAAATACCACAATTATAATCAGAGATATCAATATTCTCTCAATAATTTATAGAACAAGTAAATAAGAAATCAGTAAGGACACAGACAACTTAAACAACACTATCAACCAACTTGACCTAATTGACATTTAAAAATACTGCCCACAACAAATGCTAAACACACATTCTTTTCAAGTACAAACAGAATATTCACCAGGGAATACCATATTCTGGACCATAAAACAAGTCTCAACAAATTTAGTGGGATTCAAATCATACAAAATATGTCCTCTGAATACAATGGAGTTAAATTACAAATCAATAGCAGAAAGATACCTGAAAATCTCTCAAGTGTTTGGAAATGTAAATGACTCACTTCTAAATAAGCCAAGGATCAAAGAAGAGTCAAAAGGGAAATCAGAAAGTATTGTGAACTGAATGAAAATGAAAACAACTACTAAATTTGTGAGGTTCAGATAAAGCAGCACTGAGAAGGAAATTTGGAGCACTACCTAACTCTATTAGAAAAGAAGTTCTCAAAGCAATCACCATAGCTTCCACCTTGAGAAACTAGGAAATAAAAAAACAAATGAAACCAAAAGCTGATTCTTCGAGAAAATCAGTAAATTGATAAACCTCCTGCCAGACTCATTAGGGAAAAAAGAGAAAAGACACAAATTACCAATATCAAGAATAAGAGCATGACAGAGATAAAGATTCTACAGATATTAAAATACAGTAAGAAATACATGGCCGTGTGCGGTGGCTCACACCTGTAATCCCAGCACTTTGGGAGGCCAAGGTGGGCAGATCTGAAGCCAGGAGTTCAAGACCAGCCTGGCCAACATGGCAAAACCTCATCTCTACTAAAAATACAAAAAAAAAAAAAAATTATCCAGGCATGGTGGTGCACAGCTGTAATCCCAGCTACTAGGGAGGCTGAGGCACGAGAATCACTTGAACCCAGGAGGCGGAAGTTGCAGTGAGCTAACTCACGCTACTACACTCCAGTCTGGGCGACAGAGCGAGACTCCATCTCAAAAAAAAAAAAAAAGAAAAGAAACAAATATAAACAACTTTAAGACAATACTTAAATGAAATGGACAAATTCCTTGAAAGACACAAACTAGCAAAGCGCAATCAAGAAGAAACAGATAATATGAACAGCCTTATGTTGTTTAAAAATAAATTTAATTTATAGCTTTAAATTTTCCTCCCCCCAAAATCTCCAGGCCCATACTGCTTCACTGGGGAATTCTATCAAATGTTTAGGGAATAATACTAATTCTACACCAACTATTCCATCCCACTCTGATGCTGGTATGACTCTGAAACCAAAACCCAACAAAGAGATAATAAGAAAAGAAAAGTACAGCTCAATATCCTTCATGAACATATATGCAAAAATTCTTAATATTTTACAAAATCAACTCCCATTTTTGCTGATCAAAATAATGCTGTTAAGATACCAATTCCTCTCAGATTGGTCTACAGATTCAAAGGAATTCCAATTAAAATCTCAGCTGGCTTTTTTTTTTTTTTTTTTTTTGAGATGGAGTCTCGCTCTGTTGCCCAGGCTGGAGTGCAGTGGCGCAATCTCGGCTCACTGCAAGCTCCACCTCCTGAGTTCAAGCGATTCTCCTGCCTCAGCCTCCCAAGTAGCTGGGACTACAGGCGCCCGCCACCACACCCGGCTAATTTTTTGTATTTTTAGTAGAGACGGGGTTTCACCATGTTAGCCAGGATGGTCTCAATCTCCTGACCTCGTGATCCGCCCACCTCTGTCTCCCAAAGTGCTGGGATTACAGGTGTGAGCCACCGTACCCGGCCTCAGCTGGCTTTTTTTTTTCTTGGAAACTTAAAATTTGATGTTATAATTCAAATAAAAATGCAAAAGAGCCAGAACAACTTTGAAAAACAAGTCATTATAGGACTTACACTACCTGACTCCAAGATGTATCTAAAGCTACAATAATCAAGAAATACAGACAAACAGATCAATGGAACCGAAGAGTATATAGAAACAGACCCACATATATATGGGTTACTGATTTTTGACAAAGATACAGAGGGAATTCAGTGGAGGAAGCATGGTCTTCTTGACACATGGAGCTGGAACAAGTGGATATCCACACACCACAAATGAATTCCAGTGCATGCCCCACACTGTATACAAATGGCGTCTCAAATGATCATAAAACTGAATGTAAAACCTAAAACTATAACACTTCTAGAAGAAAACAAAGGAGAAACTCTTTGTGACCTTGGATTAGGCAAGTATTTCTGACATGTGACACCAAAAGCATGATCCACTAGAGAACAAATAAGTTGGATTTTGTCAAACTTTGAAACCTCTGCTCTTCAAAAGACACTATTAAGAAAATGAAAAGACAAGCCATAGACTGGGATGAAATGTCACTGATAAAGGACTTGTATCCAGGATATATAATTTTTTAATCTCAAAACTCAATAATGAGAAAACAAATCACCAGTGATGGGCAGCAGGGCTGGGCTAGTGGACAGCGTTCAAGGAAGTGTTCACTCTCTGAGCTTTTTAAAAAATTTTTTGTGGGTACATAGTAGATGTATATATTTATGGGGTACATGAGATGTTTTGATACAGGCATGCAATGTGAACTAAGCACATCAAGGGGAATGGGGTATCTGTCCCCTCAAGCATTTATCCTTTGAGTTACAAACCATTATACTCTTTAAGTCATTTTAAAATGTACAATTATCGGTAAGCTTCTAAAATAGCTCCTGGTGTCCACACCCGTTGTGACCCCCTCCCTTTGAGTGTCAGCTGGACTAGAGACTCGTTCCTAACCACAGAATACAGCAGGAGTGATGGAACATCATGTCCACATCAAGTCATAAGAGATGGAGCTCTGTCTTGCTCACACTCTGGGGCTCCTCTCACCCGCCTGCTCTGATGAAGCCAGTCGCAGGGGACAGGCCCACAGGAACCCAGGCCCTCGGCCCAAAAGCTCTCAAGGAATTCAATCTTGCCAACAGCCACTCAAGAAATGCCTACTTGTGGCCTCTGATTCAGTTGCTAATAAGGTTACCAACAGGACTTTCCATTCTGCCTCAACTGACCTTAAAGTGACGGCTCTGGGAGTTCCACACCACCAGGTCGGGGAGGCCCCCTCGACAGTGTCGAAAGTCAGCAGCCAGGTGCCTGCACACACCACTGAGCACAGGGCCCCCCAGGCAGGAGACAAGATCCTGAACACAAAACACAGGACAGTTAGCCACTTCCCTCGTGACAGAGAATGGAAATAGGCTCCAGGGATCACGAGACGGAGAAAAGCTCAGTGTATATGTAATTCAGTGCACATGGACCCCAGGCCCACCATGCGCTGTTCTGCTGCTTGTACCAGAGCTGCAGAGCCATGGCTGGAATCCCACTGGCAAGTGGTGGGAGACTGGTCCTCCTGTGGTCAGTTTCCAGGCTTCTGCCAGCGTGGCCATGCTGGGGAGCGCTGAGGAAGAGGGATGTGGAGGATGCACTCAGGAACGCGACAGCATGGCCTCATAGAGGGCAGCAGTTGAAGGAACACAGAAGGTATCCTCCCTGCCTCAGCCACAGGGCAAGCAAAAGAAAGCTGTCAACTCAGGGGTGGCAAAGGCACAGCTGGGGCTTTTCTAACACCCTAGTATGTTTCCATCACTAACAGTGGCATTGGGGCCAGGGGGATAGGGTATTCTCATATATATAATTTATATAATATTAATATATATATTATTATATATTTTATACATTATATTATATATGATATCTTATATATTATATATTTTATATATTATATGATATATATTATATTATATATTTTATATATTATATATGATATATATTATATATTTTATATATTATATATGATATATATTATATATTTTATATATATTATATATGATATATATTTTATATATTATATTATATATGATATAATATATTATATATTTTATATATTATATTATATATGATATAATATATTATATATTTTATATATTATATTATATATGATATAATATATTATATATTTTATATATATTATATATGATATAATATATATTTTATATATATTATATGATATATTATATATTTCATATATTATATTATATATTGTATATTGTATAATATATAATATATATTATATATGTAATATGTAATATATAATATATAATATAATAAATATAATAAAGATATAATATATATTTTATATATGATATATACTATATATCATATATATGCACACACATACATGTATTTACATATACACACATGTGTATTTTGATAAAGTTGCTGAAAAGACAGCACTGGGGCGGTGTTAACTTTCTGAGCAAATCCTGCCATGCAGGTGAACCATTACCTGAGCTTGCTGAAGAGACGTGAAGCGATCCCAGCTGACAAGGGAAGCCACTCTGCCTTCCTGCTCATGCCACGTGGCTGCCACCCAGGCCCGCAGGCTCTCCTCGGGGGCATCATGAATCAGCTGCAGCCTGGCCTCAAGGGCTGGGCGTCTGCTTGTGAAGAAGCTGTCTGTGCACAAGTCCAGGGGGAATGCCTGTGTCACAGGGAAAGCAAGCTGTCATACTGTGCCTGCAGAGAGCCGTGTTCACCAGAGGACTAGTCAGTACATACAAAACTTGGAAACCGGCCAACCGATACATTCTTTCTCTCAAAAGATAAGTAAAAGTTAATTGATATAAAAGCAATTTATTAAACTTGTTTTTTAGAGTAATAATTTGCAAAAACAGCTTTTCGCTTAGCTGGGTGGACCTCTGAACAGGCAGATGTGCCCATGTCTGTGAGCTCCTTGGCACAGTGCCTGCGACACGGCAGGTGCTCGGGAGGGCTGATGCTGATGGTACTTTATACGAAAGGTCTAAATGTAAGGTGGAGGCTAAATTAAAGTTTAAAACTTCACATACTTACATCTTAAATTCTATTACTCAGATTTTTAAAATAAGTTATCATCTTGACCTGTGGATGACCCAAAGGACCGTAACAGAGATGGTTTCTGCTGGCTGTGGACACACGGTGCCCAGGTGGGCGTGAGCCACGGATGTGTGCAGAAGGACCTACTCGTGGGGCAGGGGCACTGGAGTACCTGACAGGCGTTTCTGAAGACATCCGGAATCCCATCCATGAAGATGATGTCCCACAGGAGGAGGCCATACAGGGTGCTGAAGGTGGACCCTTCGCCATGAATCCCTAAGACAAGGTCACACACACACACACACACACACACACACACACAAAATCTGTTTTATCTGTTTCTTCCAAAACACCACCATAACCTACTGCACACTCAATTTCAAGAAAATAATAGAAATATTTTAGATTCAGAAGCAAATGCTGTTTTCACGCCATTCCCAGTTTATTTTATACAGTATGTTGTTTATATACAGAGCCTTAAGGGCAAAAATCTTAGTAATCATAGAAAAATTCAAATGAACATTTCAAAGCCACAAAGCAGTGGTTCTCAAACTTTAGTGAATAACCTAAGAAACATGTTTAAAAGAAAAATAGGCAGATACCCTCCTCAGGTTCCCAAGGCTGGGACTTAGCAGGGCTGGGCTGGCACAGAATCCCCATGCAGGCCCTGATGCCGGAGGTCCCTGGGCCACCCCTGAAGAAATGCTTCCCTAAGGGGACCTCCCGGAGGCCGGCAGCAGCCACCTCCGTTCTTGGCCTCAGCAGGTGCTGCTCTGATGCACCTCATCCCCCTGGGTACTACACTGCCCTAGCCCAGTGCTTCCGATAGTCAAGGCTTTTACAGAGACATCTGGCCTTAAAGATCACCCACTTCAGTGCCCCTCCTCACGTCACACAAATGTTTTACTGACTGGGAGATGACCTGAGAGACAGAAGTCAGGTGCTGAGGTCACAGAGTCAGAGGCAGGGTCTGGTGTGGGATGAGGGGGTCAGCCTTGGCACAACACACAGACCTGTGTCCCTGAGCAAGCCCCAGCTCATCCAGCTGCCCTCCAAGTCCGTACTTCTCTGCACATCAGCCCTCCCGACAGAGGAGGAGGCCACATGGATGCCTCTCCCCACAAGACCACTGGCCAGAGGAGGTGCTGACCACCAGACCCCCATCCTGACATGCCAGTACTGGCAGCAAAGCTCCTCTGGCTGGTCCCACCTGACATTTACAGGCCCCAACCCATCTGCGTGGTACCACAGTGAGTGGGATCAGGGGTGCTGTGAGAGCAGAGGGCAGGAAGCCACAGCCCGTCATGCCTGCCTGGGTCACCTCTGTCCTGCACTTCTGAGGCTGTGCTGCTCTCTGTCCTGTCTTCCTGTCAGTTCTAGCCCCTCATCCCTGCAGCCCGTCTCAGGGATTCAAAAGGACAGCGGTTCACTCAGGACTCCTGGCTGTTGCCAAGTCTTCCAGGAGGACTTTTCTTCCTAGAACACTTCATGCTCTTTCCCAGCCAGGAGTGGAGCTAGGACCTGATTTCCAGTCAGTGTTCCGTCCTGGTGAATACACTGACGATCAGGCAGGAATATAAAGGCCAGATCATTTCTGAACTCCTTTGTTTGTTTTGTTTTGAGACAGGGTCTCACTCTGTCACCCAGACTGGAGTGCAGTGGCACAATCTTGGCTCACTGCAGCCTTGACCTCCTGGGGTCAAGAGATCCTCCCACCTCCGTCTTCAGAGTTCAAGTGATCCTCCTGTCTCAGCCTCCCCAAGTGCTGGGATTACAAGTGTAAGCTACCGTGCCTGGTTCGTTCCTTAACTCCTAAGTGGTCCATGCTGTGCATTTGTGTTATAAGTGAAATCATTTTTGGTGCAGTACTTCAGAAATCACCTCCCAGAAGAGGTTGAGATCGCTCTGACACAAAATTCCCTGTGGCATAAAGCCTGGCAGCCAGAGTTCAGCCCAGTTTCACGGCATCGATTTTAATCAGGGAAAAATAGTTTCTACTCTGGGAAAGGAATCGTGTGTTTTTCAGGCTCATGGCTCAACTGAAAGCATTTCAGCGCTCCCACGTCCCAGCCTGCTTCCTCCTCCAGCGAGTGTCCAGTTTCCACGTCTCTCGGGGCCTTGAATGTGCATTCTATTCTTCTATTTCTAACCATTTCAGGCCTACTGTATCTCTCTGTCTTCACTGGCATTTGCACGTCTTCCCCAATAACATCACCCTTCCCTGTAAGTAATAAAGATATTATGTAGATGAATCTCAACACTCATCAGAAAGAACCTGGGCTTTGTAAACTCCTATCTTGTGGTTGTCTTTCTATAGTACTTGTTAATCTTCCGAACACTCGGGGAATACTGAAATCATGTCCTGATTTTCACACATCTGAAAATATCAGTGTTTTTAACACTGGTAACCCTGCAGCCCGGGCACAGGGAGAGTCCTGCCAGGCCCAAGGGCGGAAGGCTCAGTGGCTGTTCCCGAAAGCGACTAGCATGGGCCGCAGGGCCCCTGAGAGGATATCTGGGGCCAGCTTCTAAAATCCCAGGGAAGGGGCAGGAGAGAACAGAAGGAACACTGAATGGAAGTGGGTGTCCGTGGGGTTGAGCACACTGTCCCCCTGACTTCTGTACAAAGGCTTGTGCAGTACCTTCCATAACTTTTATAAGTTTTTATAAAAGAAAAAAGATCAGAGCCAGGCCCTGTGGGACAACTACCCCTGACCTACTCCTTATCATTGATAAGGGGAAGAATAGGAAGACATCCCCCAGCCCACAGCATCTTCCACTGTGAGCAGAGGACAGAGAGAGGACAGCAGCCCACTGCTGACAGCCCATCCAGTGCTGCTGCTCGTCCACCCGGGGCTGGGTGCCACAAGAGAAAGCCTGCTCAGTTACCCTGGTCAAAACCGCTGCGTCTGTAATGGGCCAGTGCCAGCTCCTCCACAGAGCACAGGACCGTGGTGGGGTCAGCGGCCTCCCCGGCCTCCATCACAAACACAGACTTGCACATCCCACGCTGTGGGCACAGCCTGCCTGTGATGGTCACCTGAAACAGCAGCAGAATAACATCTATTAGCCTCAGGTCAGCAAAAGTCCCTGAAAACCTGCCTGTAGCATCGTGAGGATTGACCTCCCTTACCACAAAGTCAGTCACTTAGTAGAGCACACAGCGTGGGGCTCACACACGCAGAACTGCGGGGATGTGACAGTTCGCTGGTCCGGCCCTGGGAGAGCCTCAACCACCAGAACTGCTCTACAGGTCCCCAGTGAGTAAATGAAACCGGGGCAGATGCTGAGAGGCCCCATTCAGGAGATCTGTCACTCAACCCAGGGTGTGACCACACCAAGCAACCCAGTCTCCTCAGGGAGGAGGGCGTTAGGGGGAGACTGGGAGCAATGGCCACACAGCCGTCCAAAACGAGTTTTAGATTATTCCGAGTCTAAAAGAAAACACACACTCAAAACAGCTCTTAGGATGCTTCTGGTCCAAAAAAACCAGGTACACGCGCCTAAGTCCAAAGCACCCACAGGCTCTTTCCTCACGTGTTTCACATCTTGCACAGCCATTTCTGGGAGCTGCTGGAAGAGGTGCTTGAACTTTTTACAGCTCGGAGACTCTCGCAGGCGCACGGCTCGCTGATACAGTGAAAGGCGGTGTCCCGTTCTGACTTCCGGATCCGCCAGCCCCTCTGTGATGCACTTGATAGTCTGGCAGAGAGCATGGTCACACATCAGGCTCCTAAAAAAACCCATGGCGGCTTCCATGCATTTAGTTTGACAGAAAAGCCCACTGTTTATTATTGAATTTTGCTGATTAGCAAATGAGCAAACAGCACTTCTAGAGATTTAGGCTGTTTCCTTAGATCTTATTCTGAGGATTTCAATGCATCTGGCAACCAGAGCCTTCACAGTCAACGTGCTGGAGCGTGACCGGGCTGTAATCCAGGTGGACAGTGGATCCCAGCAGCTGCCCCTCACAAAGGGTGTGAACCTCAGGGGTACCTGACTTTACAGGAAAACTTAGCTCAGTGGTTCTCAGGACATCACCTAGGCAGCTTTGTAGGAAAACATGTGTCCCACCCCGGATCCACACAATGAGAACCTCCAGAGCAGGAGCCCACGCATGGGGGCCACATCAAAGCGCCAGGTCAATCTCATATGCAGTCAAGAACCATGGAGCTGCTTCAGATTCCTTATTTACAGGGACAGGAGCCAAAGGTTTGGAGGAATTACAAGTATTTCCCAAGGCGATTCAGAGTCAGACAAATAAACAAACACAGAAAGCCACAAGGAGATACCACTTCACACTAGGATGGCTATAATCAGAAACATGGAAAATAAGCATTGACAAGGAGGTAGAGAAACCAGAAACCTCACGCATTGCTGGTGGGAATGTGACACTGGTGTAAACACTGTGAAAAACAGTTCAGCCACTCCTCAAAAAGCTCAACACAGAATCACCACAGGACCCAGCAGTTCCACTCTCAGGTATTCCCAAAAGAATTGAAACCAGGGACTGAAACAGAGGTTCATGCAGCATTCTTCAAAATGGCCGAAAAGGTGGAAGGAACCCAGTGTCCATCAACCAATGAGTGGCTAGAAAAATGTGGTATCAGATGCTACAGTGGAAGTGTGTTCAGCCTGGAGAAGGAACGGAGTCCTGACATGTGCCACGATGCGGGTGAAGCTCAGAAACATGATGCTGAGCAAAATACACCAGACATAAAACCACAAATATCGTAGGATTCCACTTCAATGAAATGAATGAAATGAACAGGCACATTTACAGACACAAAAAGTAGATGAGACGTCGTCGCCAGGGCTTGGGGAAGGGAAAGCGGGGCGTAGTTGCCTAATGGCTGCAGTGTTTCTGTTTGGAGTGGTAAGTGGAGAGGCAATGGTCACACAACACTATGAGTACCATGAATGCCACTGAACTGTACACCTAAAAATGGCTAAAATGCTGTATTTTAGGGATGTTAAATTTATTTTACCACAATAGAAACATAAAAAGTGAAAGAAAAAATAAAAACCAAGAAATTGAAAATCAGTGAAGGCTCAGGCCATCCAGAGTTGAGTGGCTGAAGGAAATGAAGATGGGAGAATGAGACTCTGAAGGGCACCCTGTTCGCTGGCAGAAGACGGTGCCGGGCAGCGGCAGCCTGGCCTCGGAGAGGGAGGGCCCAGCTGGCTCCACCTCTGCCCTGGCCAGGCCGGGGCTGGCTGCAGAGCACTTTGCAGGAATTAGCACTCAGCTAGGCGATCCCTTCCCTGGAGACTGAGGTAAAGATCAAAGAACACTAATGAAATAACAAGAGCTATGGCCAGTAAGACCTCTGGAAACAGAGGTTAGGAGGAACTAGGCTTAGCTCAAATCTCAAAAATAAGCTCAGTGGCTTGTCTACCCCCTAGCAGAACTGTGAACAGAGGGGAAATCTGTACTCTCTTGAACTTTTATTTCATTGAAAGAAAGGCGACAGAAACACAAGCTTTCTCCTTCTGTATTTGGTTCTAGGCTACCAGATGCTTTCTCTTGCTATTTCAGCCTCAGTAAACACCGAGTGGTAAGGAAGCCCCACACCCTCCTCCATGAGAGGAAATAGCTTTACTGGCTCTTTCCCTGATACGTGAGGTAACAAGGCACTTTTTCAGTTTACGGCAATAAAAACAAGATGTCATATTTCCTAACCAGTGGTCGTTTTTTTCCACCCCTACATCACCCTGATTCACTTAATGGGCCACTGAAAAAATCAAAAGCTCCCAGAGGCACAGTCCCCTCCATTCAACTCAAATGCAGGGCTGGAATAGAGACAGGGAGGGGCCTGCTGGCGGCCACACAAAGAACCACTGTTGCTGCCTAGCCCACAGGCACAGGCTCTGCGGCCTCACCCGCCTGGCTGTGGTGGCCACAGAATCCCTGTGCTTCCAAGTGCCCCTAGATCGCCACCACAGGGAGCACTGGTGCCTGCTCAAGGTCAAACAACGCTTCCAAATGGCAGAGCAAAACACCTCACAGAAGTACAGAGTCACGCATAAAGGACCTGCAATAAGATAGGGAAAGGAACGCTTTCTCGCCAATCTTTCTACCTAGAGACCCTGTGCTACAAATCAACAAAGTCACCATTTCCAAAACAAACACCTTCCTTGAAGGCACTTGCTGACTTGCTGACGGCTGAGTCATCTGACTCTCCCTTTCCCTTAATTCCTAGATCCTGATTCCTAAATGCCAGCACAGAGTCCACAGTAAGCCCATCTCGCCAATCAGCAAAGAGAAGACAAAAGCTTCCAGTCTCTATGCTCATGCTGTGCTGGCATCCCTGGTATTCTTTTGGGGTTGGAAGAACACAGACAAAAGAAGAATGTTAACAAAAGAAATACATGTTCTAATTACATGTAAATTTTAAGGCATTAAGTTTGCCATATTTTAAAAGTTGATTCTAAAATGAAAAGGTGTTTCAGATATGTTTTGTTACTGAGTACCGGTTCCAGGCGCTTCAAGTGCTGGTGTAAATTAAGGGCCAGTCGATCCCACCATCGGCCTCTGCTGTCAGGACAATAAATTCTCTGAGACAAAAGGCTTTCAAGTTCTCTGACGGCTTCCTATTGCAACAATAACAAAGAAACCTCATTAGATTCACAAAAAATCCAGCTGCAATGATATTTACAAGCCCATAGGATTGGTAAAGCCTATTTATAATGCGTATCTTTCCATTCTACAATGAGGCCAAGGACCCCGAACTGACAGGACAGGGACTTTGAGGTGCCTTCTGGAGTGGGCATGAGTTCCCTAAGGCATCCTCACTCTTCACCCGGTCCCTGCCAGCTGGCACTGGGGTACAGACATCTGTGAGTGCTGCAGAGTGTTATCTGCAAACCAGTCAACCAGTGCAGAGTCGCACAGGGTCAAGTTCCAGGCAGCTGAGCACTGGTCACAGTTGGCAAACCCACATACTTCTGGGAACACAGCAGGTCACAGGACCAACTGCAAGAGGGATTTGGGGTGGGCAGGAAAGTAATGAGGGGTGTCCTCATACAAACACCCTACCTCAACAGGAACATTCTCTGGTCTAGATTATGTACAGACTGTTCGGTCATTCTGTTTGTTAATCTTCTGTGGCTCATGGATGTCTTTGTAATATGGAATGATTTACCCCAGAAAAATGCATAAATCCCCATACACATGCAAGTTTGAGATTCACAGATTTCCCCAAAGCCCACCCATCACTCCCCTGGGATTCACAGACCCCAGGCCAAGAAACCAGCTTAGCACATCCTCTTTGTAAGATCCCATTTTCTTTTCTTCTTGTTTTGTATATATATATTTTTGACCATGCCTGGTCTGGAGATAACATTTTCAATATAGAAATATCAAACACAACAAAAGTGAAATCTAGCAATTTCACAAAGTTTAGGATACGACAAATTTCTGATTTGTGATTATAAATTGTCTCCAGACAATCCATGACAGCTGACAGGGAAGCAAAAGGAAGCAAAAGGTCCCTCAGAGATTTCTGGGGACCTGCCAAGTCTCACAAGGAGTTCTGAAAGAGACTCAGGCTCAGGCTGCAGACCTGTGGGGCACCCTCCAGGATGGTGGCCGCCACCCCCAGGCCATCCTGGGACACAGATTCATCAACACACAGGCAAACAGAACAGCTGTCCATCTTCACCTATCTTCTCTCTACTAATCCAAGAGACAGCGGGCTGCCTACATTAACTATGCCCTCGTTGGCCAGGCACAGTGGCTCACACCTGTAATCCCAACACTTTAGGCCCCCACTGTCAAAGCATCAGAGGCCAAGGTGGGCAAATCACTTGAGCCCAGGAGTTCGAGATCAGCCTGAGCAACATGGTGAAATCTCACCTCTACTAAAAATACAAAAATTAGCTAGGCATGGTGGCGCACGCCTGTAGTCCCAGCTACTCAGGAGGCTGAGGTGAGAGGATGACTTGAGCCCGGGAGGCAGAGGCTGCAGTAAGCTGAACCCTGCCACTGCACCCCAGCCTAGGTGATGGAGTGAGACCCTGTCTCAAAAAGACAAAACAAAACAAATATGCCTCCATTATATTACTGTGTGCTAACCAAATAAGCAGGAAATGCTGAGAGCCCGACAGCTGTCCCTTCACATGTTTAACGCCATCACATCAGTAATGGTGGGGGGCAGGGACCTGTGCTCTAACCTCATACATGTGAAGTCTCTGCAGTATTTCCACAAACCGAGACAAAATCCTTGTATAAATCCACCCAACAGTGAAACACCGCAGGAAGAGTGGTAAATCTTCGTGGCATCTAAAATGAAGACATATACCAGTAGTTTAATAATTTGGTTAATTTATTATAAGACAATAATAACAAGTGACAAAGCAGACTGAATTCCTATCTTTTAAAAAGGTATATTCTAAATACTTTCAGTTGTGTACAATTTTCTACACCACAAACCTACATTCTCACAGCCAGCTACCACGTCCTAGGTCACTCAGACAGTGGAGTAAGATGAGAACTCATCATTCTAAACCAAGGTCAGCAAACTCCGGCCCACAGCCAAACCCAGGGTCTGCCACCTGATTTTCTATGTCCTGCAAACTAAGAATGGTTTTTATGTTTTTAAATTGTTAATAAATAAAGAGAATAATACACTTTGGTATGCGAAAATTGTATGAAACTGAAATTTCAATGTCCACAAATGAAGTTAACTGGAACACAGCCAGGCTCATTCATTTGCATACGTACTTCTTGTGGCTGCTTTTGCACTAAAACAGCAGAGTAAAGTTGGTGCCACAGAAACCATATGGCCTGCAAAGCCTAAAATATTCACTATGTGACCTTTTACAGAAGTTTATCAACCTCTGTTTATAGTAATCTAACTTCTTGTGATTTTTAAGTCAATATTATTTCTCTATAAATATACAGCTGACCCCTGGACAACATGGGTTTAAACTGCACACGTCCACTTATATGTGGATTTTCTTCTGCTTCTGCCACCCCTGAGACAGCAAGACCAAGCCCTCCTCTCTCTCCTCGTCCTCAGCCTATTTGCTGTAAAGACAACAAGGATGAAGACCTTCATGATGATCCACTTCCACTTAACGAACAGTAAATATGTTTTCTCTTCCTTATGATTTTCTTTTTTTTTTTTTTTTTCCCCGAGACAGAGTCTCGCTCTGTCACCCAGGCTGGAGTACAGTGGTGCGATCTCAGCTCATTACAACCTCTGTCTCCCAGGTTCATGTGATTCTCCTGCCTCAGCCTTCCGAGGCTGGGATTACAGACACTCGTCACAACACCCACCTAATTTTTGTATTTTTAGTAGAGACGAGGTTTCACCATGTTGGCCAGGCTAGTCTCGAACTCCTGACCTCAAGTGATCCACTCACCTCTGCCTCCCAAAGTGCTGGGATTACAGGCATGAGCCACCACGCCCAGCCCCTTATGATTTTTTTTTTTTTTTTTTTTTTGAGACGGAGTTTTGCTCGTGGCCCAGGCTGGAGTGCAATGGCGTGATCTCAGCTCACCACAACCTCCACCTCCTGGGTTCAAGTGATTCTCCTGCCTCAGCCTCCCGAGTAGCTGGGATTACAGGCAGGCACCACCAGGCCTGGCTAATTTTGTATTTTTAGTAGAGACGAGGTTTCTCCATGTTGGTCAGGCTGGTCTCAGACTCCCGACCTCAGGTGATCTGCCAGCCTCGGCCTCCCAAAGTGCCGGGATTACAGGCGTGAGCCACCGTACCAGCCCCCTTATGATTTTCCTTAATAACATATTCTTTTCCCTAGCTTACTTTATTGTAAGAATACAGCATATAATGCATATAACATATCCAATGTGTGTTAATTGACTATGTAATCGGTAGGGCTTCCAGTCAACAGTAAGCTATTAATTAAGTAGTGGGGAAGTCAGATGTTACACACAGATTCTTGACTGTCTGAGGGGTCGGTACCCCAACCCCTGCATCATTCAAGGGTCAACTGTATATCCTAAATGATTTTTTCAAAGTGGCATCTGAAAATACTAATTTTTCTCATCACTATGTAACAACAAAGGAAAAAATGTCTTAATAAATATTGAAGATGTTTACCATTTTCAACAAAATAAAAGATCATGTGCTGTGTACCTGGAAAGTTCGCTTGAGCTGTCTTTTGCAGAGTTTTTAACACCTACTTGAATTTCCCTCAGAGGAACCCACCTACCATGCTTCCCACATCCGTCCTGCTGCTGGCTTCCCTCACGTTTCAGTTCAGCTCACCAGTACTCAGGGAGGCCAACACTCCTACAGTTGGCATGCGACAAGTCAAGTATGGGGTTGGCATGTGTGTTGCCCAGGGATCTGAGTTATATCAAATTCACTTTAAACCTTCAGACATTTCCTTCTATTTCACACAGCACTTTCATTCTAGGCAAAGCACGCACAAAATTCAATTCCACAGCTGGTTTAACCACAGAGAAAAAGGAGTATATTCTTCATGAAGAAAATTACTGTAAGTGTTGGGAACAACTTGGTCAATGTATAAATTTTGGCAGGTACCTAGAAAAACTCTCACCTCAGAGAAGGGTGGTTTTTCAGTCTGTTCCAATCCCTTTTTGCACACTGAGCGAGCTCCTTAGCTTCTTCCCAGTTCCCATTGGCCATTGCGGAAGAAATGTCACTCAGCATGTGCGTGGCTGCTGCATATCTGGAGGAAAATGCCATCCAAGTTCCAAATAAGAATGAGCATTCCCATAGAATGACCACATCCTAGCCACTAGATCTCACTCTGAAAGGTAAAAGTGTGTTTTTTAAAATATGAGGGCCACTTAAATTTTATTCTAATAATAATTTATCTTAACCAAATCACTGGAGTGGCCCAGAACTGATAAGAAAGCCCAACTAGAAAGATAAAAACATTTATGCTGTATTATCACATAACATGTTCCATTCTATAAATGTGATATGGATCAGCTCATCATTCCTGATTTTGGCACTCATCCATTCATTCATCCATTCACTCATTCAACAATATGACAGCAAACATGTAAGTGACATCAGAATTATAGTCAGATGTAGATCTGATAATTTAATCATTTACAATCAGAGCTAGCCAGAGGGATGCTGCCCAAGCTAAGAAGATTACCTGGAATATTTCAAAATAACTAAGGGATGCTCTTTGGGAGATGGCAACGCTGAAATGTTACAACACAACTTAGCTTAAGAAAGACAATTTTTCATCGCTCCTTTAGCTACCAAAAAACAAAGACATTTGACCAACAAATTCTGTTAACACTTTGAGTACATGTTCATTGTATTTTGGTCTCACATCTAAAAGAAAAGCATGAAGTACATAATATCATTATGTACAAACACTGTAAAGTAAGAGTAAAGAAATTGCCTCCAAATGTAAAAGTTTGCTCACAAATTCTTAGATCTCATTCTTTTATAATATGCTGCTCATTCAGTTCCATGGCTTCAAACATTGTCCATATGCCAGTGACTCTCAAAATGTTGACTTTTTCCAGGCCAGACCCATTCCCTGAGCTCCTGACCGCAAGTCCAATGCCACACACAACAGCTTCAACCAAACGGCTGAAGAGCACCCCACACACTGACGCCTCCAGCACCAACACCTCTCCCAATCCCCTTCACTGGATGGCGCCCCACCCCAAGGCAAAACACCAGAGCCATCCTTGATCCACTCCTCACCTTCTCGCCCACATCAGAATCAAGTCTTGTCTTTACTGCTTCCAAACTGCCTCATACACATTCACTTCTCTCCACTGCCGCTACCAACAACCCAGTCCTGTCCACCCCCACATCTTAGCCAGGGGTCTCCTGAGTTCCTCCAACTCAGCAAGCTCTTTCCTGCCTCAGGGCCTGTGCACATGCTATCTCGCGGCCGGGACGCAGGCACCCAGACCCTGACACAGCTACCTCATTCTCATCCTCAAGTCCCACTTCAAATGTCACCTCTCCAGGGCCACTCTGTCTATAAAGAACTTATCCAGCCTGTCCCTCAATTATCACAGCACTTCTCACACACTTTAAATAGTGGTTAATTTCTATCTCCCCAGGAAACATAGCCCCATGATGGCTGAGGCCCTCTCTTGTTCACTGCTACAACCCCTAACCAAGTCACATAAAAGGTACTCAACACTCATTTGTACTGAATGAATAAGAAACATTTTAAAAGGATAAATTATCTCAAGTACAGAGGTAGACAACAAGGGTTTCCTGGCCAGGTATCACATTACCAGATATTGAATACTATTACCTTTCCAGAAGTCAATTAAATCCAGTTTCATTTACATCTTAAGGCTCTCTGCTTAACCAAGGGAGTTCTCATTATTTTTATTATTTACAGCACACTTACTTTCTAGAAAGAATATGAGATGCCTTTTGAACTTGTCAACCATGGTTTTGTCATAGAACTTGGGTATAACAGTAAGAATGACAATTAAAATAATAATGAACATGTAGTAGGCATTCCCCATAGCCCAGGCTTTAAGCACTTCCCATGCACCCCACACATGTCTGTAAGAATATACTATTATTCTCCCCATTTGACAGATGAGGAAACTGAGGCACAGGGTGGGTTCACAGTTCATTGGTATAGAAACTGGAACTTGGCTTCAGAGTATACATTCTCACAAGCCAGAAAAGCGTAAAGCCAGTAAAAACAAAAAAGGTAAAAAAGATATGAGACAACTGAAAACAGGGTAAGAATAAACAGTCTTATTAGAGATTTTAACTAAAAAAGTTATTCCCATTGAACACAAATAAGATACTGAGCTTCCTGACAGCTAAGGTAAAATGGGCCAAAATCAGATTATACTGACACTGCTGTGATTCAAAAATTTCAATAACTTACTTCTTAAAGCACCTGGCTTTCCTAGAAACACAGGACTTTCCTAAAAGCAAATATCACAATCAATTTTGGTTAAATTTGAGTCAGAAATCCAAATCAAGAATCAAAAGTGACATTTTAGGAAATCCAAATTAATTTTTCTTACCAAAGGTGTTTTTTTTAAGGAAATCCAAATTTTTTTTCCTAAGACCTACACTATTCTTTCTTATCAAAACCTGCTTTTTAATACTGTAATCCCATTATTTGTTTGGCATCTATTATTATTTTTAATTAACATAAAATTGCACATATTTATGTGGCACAGTGTGATATTTCAATGCATGTATACAATGTATAATGATCAAATTAGGGTAATTAGCATATCCAGCACCTCAAACTTTTTTGAAAATGTTTTAGAGATGGGGTCTCATTATGTTGCCCAGGCTAGTCCCGAATTTCTGGACTCAAGTGACCCTCCTGCCCCAGCCTCCCGAGTAGTTAGAAATATAGGCATGTGTTGCCATACCAGGCATCACCTCAAACATTTATCATTTCTTTGTGTGGGGAATATTCTAAATCCATTCTTCTATTTAAAAATATATAATAAACTGTTGTTAATTATAGTCATCCTACACTGCTACAGAACAACAGAACTTATTCCTTCTACCTAGCTGCACTTTTGTATCTGTTAACCAACCTTTCCCTATCCCCCTTCCCCTCCCAGCCTCTGGTAACCACTATTCTACTCTCTACTTCTGTGAGATCCACTTTTTTACCTCCCACATATGAGTGAGAACATGCAGTATTTGTCTTTCTGTGCCTGGCTTATTTCACATAACATAATGTCCTCTGAGCTCAGCCATGTTGCCACCATGGAGAATTTCATTCTTTTTTATGGCTGAACAGTACTCCATTGTGTATATGTACCACATTTTCTTTATCCATTCATCCACTGATGGACACTTAGGTTGACTCCCTATCTTGGCTATTGTGAATAGACTGCAATAGACATGGGAGTACAAATATCTCTTCAATATACCTATTTCTTTTCCTTTGGATATTACCCAGTAGTGGGATTGCTGGATCACATGGTAGTTCTACTTTTAGTTCAAAATCTACTTTTATTGGACAAACCAAATTTTCACTAAATCCGTGTGCCAATATAAATTAGTGAAAATTTCTAATTTATCATCTGTATATCTAATTATCATATGTATGATATACAATATACAAGTTATTAATAGCTTTACCTAAAGTGTTACTAATAAGAAAATATTCACATTCAGTCTTGTTCATGCCAACAACATATTCCTAAGTCAAGTTTGTTAATATGTCTGTGTCAAAAAAAATACAGGCCGAGGGCGGTGGTTCACGCCTATAATCCCAGCACTTTGGGAGGCCAAGGTGGGCGGATTGCTTGAGTCCGGGAGTTGAGACCAGCCTGGGCAACATGGTGAAACCCCATCTCTACCAAAAAAATACAAAAATTAGCTGAGTGTGGTGGCATGTGCCTGTGGTCCCAGCTACTTGGGAGGCTGAGGTGGGAGGATCACTTGGGCCCAGGAGGTTGAGGCTACAGTGAGCGGTGATCATGCCACCGCACTCCAGCCTGGGCGAAATCCTGTCTCAAATTAAGACAAACAAACAAACAAAAAATACTCCCTTCCAAAGGTACTTGGAAACATAAACCAGAGAAGTTTTTGTAGTTCTAACTCAAAATTCCTTGGATTTTGGCAACCATAATCTCAGCACACTTCTACATTTTCCCTATAGTCATAGAAATGTATACAAGTGGGGCAAAAAAAGATTAAAAACTGTTTTGGCTGTGGACTTAATGTTTCTACTTTGGCTGGAAAAAAATAACAAAACCTTTTACTAAATTGTGAAATACACATATAGACATTATAGTGAGCTAACATCATCTTACCTGATAAGATCATCTCTGTCTTGGAAGATGTGGGTTTTCCGATTGATGGTGTAACTAGGAAACTCCATTCGGCCGAGGTTGACCAACAGGACTGTTGAAAGCTGTCCCTGACCTCCACAAGCGGCGTCTTCATCTTCCATTGAGTCGGTCAACGAAAACAGTAGCAAGATGCGGGAAAACACAGCCCTGGGGCCTTTACAGATTCGTACTGACTGTCCAGCCAAGGCTTTGGCTCTGAAAAATGTACAATGTAGAAATAACTTTTAGCTTTTTAAGCATTTGGATGTCAGATTTTACAAATTATTTTCATCTAAAATAAAGAGAAATGACATTCACTATTTTAAACACTGGAGCATTACTTAACTGCTCTGGGGCTGAGAGCTCACCCAGGGATACACAGGAGTAAATGAATGTACATCTCCAAATGGTTCCACACATGGTTTGGCTCCATACAAGTGCTTCCTTCCTCGGCTGCACAGTAGGTTGGGGTTTACCCTGGTCATGAGTGCTTCAAATACCAGGAAAACTTTCAGAAAAGTATTGCCTAGTCAACATGAAGCAATTCTCAATTTTTTATTCTAGTGATGATTTAGATTAAATAATGGTATTTCTTTAAAATGTCATTATCAAAGGCTCCAGGTAAAACATCAGATTTTGTGTACCAAGACGTGGTGCAAATGTATATGCCAAAGTTTGGTGCTGTTCTCTAGCGCAGCAGTCAACGCTTTTGGCACCAAGGAGTGGTTTCATGGAAGAGAATTTTTCCATGGACTGGGGTTGAGGGAGGTGTTTCGGGATGAAACTGTTCCACTTCATATCATCAGGCAATAGATTCTCATAAGGAATACGCAACCTAGATCCCTCGCATGCGCAGTTCACAATAGGGTTCACACTCCTATGAGAATCTAATGCCACTGCTGATCTGACAGGAGGCAAAGCTCAGGCGGTCATGCTCTCTGGCACACTGCTCACCTTCTGCTGTGTGGCCCAGTTCCTAACAGGCAATGGACAGTTATCGGTCTATGGCCTGGGGGTTGCAGACCCCTTCTCTAGTGTACAGAATGGTCCAGCAGCATCTCTATTCTAGGATAACATTGGAGTGAATTCAGTTCAACTCTGGATGTCTGCAAGGTGGGCTTGGAGGTCTAAATTAAATCCAGGACCATGTGGGCCCTCTGACTCTAGCAGCTTAGACACCATCAATAGCAGGGTTTTTCAGCTTCAGCACTATTGACATTTAGGCTAGGTAATTCTTTGTTGTCAGGGGCTGTCCTGTAAATTATAGGATGCTCAGCAGTGCCCTGTCCCTGGCCTCTAGTCACTAGATGCCATTAGCTTCACCACCTCCAGTACTGACAACCAAAAATGTCTCCAGATGATGCCAGATGCCCCCAGTTGAGAACCACTTGGCTAGTGAAAGATGTCACACCCTTCTGGTGCAGAAGCTATTAAACCAAAAGCAGCACTGCATCCCAGAGGGTGTGGGAGAGATGAGTGCCACCATCATGGAGTTGAAGGGGAAGGGGTGGGATTCCTATCACACCACCACTGAACTGAGAGCCACTCATCTACAGACTGCCCCAAAGTACCCATTTCATCCACCTCCACGCAGAGTCCCGGGGATGCCCCAGTGGACACAGCCTCCAGTCTGCAAAAGGAAGCATTAAACACAGAAAACTAAGCAGTGACTCCTGCAAGGATTAAGAAAGCATAAATAATGTGCCTTTTTCTGTAATAATGTGGCTGTTTCTGTTTCTTTATCATAACAGCAGAGTAAAAGCACCAGGCGCTGCCCTAGCGTGGGGCTGGCAGGGACTCTGAAATTCCACTGCTGGGCTTTACCATCAGAATGAAGAAATAAAGGACAACCTTAAAGGACAGTGGTTTTCACTAGAACTAAAACAGCCTTGAGGATTCTATTTTCCTACAAGTCCAAAGTTAGAGATAAAATATGTTCATCTTATTTACTTTATCTGTTCTATGCTAAGTGCATATACCAAGAAAGGGCTGCTATTTTTTTTTTTTTTTTTGAGATGGAGTCTCACTCTGTCACCCAGGCTGGTGTGCAGTGGCGCGATCTCAGCTCACTGCAACCTCTACCTCCCAGGTTCAGGCAATTCTCCTGACTCAGCCTCCCAAGTAGCTGGGATTACAGGCACCTGCCACCACACCAGGCTAATTTTTGTATTTTTAGTAGAGACAGGGTTTTACCATATTGGCCAGGCTGGTCTCGAACTCCTGATCTTGTGATCCACCTGCCTCAGCCTCCCAAAGTGCTGGGATTACAGGTGTGAGCCACTGTGCCCAGCCAGAGGGTGGCTAAATTTAATGTTTACTTGCTTATAAAATGTTACATATAAGGTTAACATCAAATACTTAAGAAATACAATTAGATAAAGAAAGGACTTAGAAGACATTTAACATACCACACAGATGAGGATTCTATACTTCTCAAGTCAATTAATTACAAGTATGTAATTTATTGAAGTACTTTTTAAAAATCTATAACACGAGCTTTTTTCAAGTGTTGGTATTTATATTTTTCTTAATGTCTGCCTTATTACACCTATGTTTCATTAAAGATTAGTATTTATAGCACCTCCCCAACAAGGATGGGCTCATAACAACTGAAATATACAAAACAAATATATAAAATAAATAACAACATCATGTTAAAGTGTTTTCAAAAGCATCCTCTCATTTCATCCTCGACTCCACAGTAGTGAATTCCCAGGCTAGAGTTGATATAGTTTGATTATATAAATAACATGGGCAAAAGAAATCAATTCTAAAAGTTTTTGTAATTTTCAACTGAAACAGGTCAAGGGCTTCTCAAGGACAAAAGAAGCCACTCACAGTTTTTGGTAAATTGTTACGTTTAAACTCAGGAAAACTTGCACATTAAGACTGCCTGATTATACTTTGTTTAGTAAACAAAAACTAAAATAAAAATTTGACTAAATAGTTTACCTTAAAATCCCATAAGAATCACTTAAAACTGTATTTTTCTCGGAAAATAAAATACTACAATTTACCAAAGGCCTATTGCCTTCCGATTTTTCTTGGTCCTGGAAATTAGTACGGTATTACGACAAAAATTTTGAATAATAACCCAAGAAAGAATCCAGGCTATTGCAATTAAGGCTTTTCCAGCCTTCTCAATCTAACTACAACTGAAATAAACAATTACAGTTCAATCAAGTATACAATCTACTGTAAGTTAATATGTGCTATCAACATTTTAAATGTTTTTACTGTAACAATAGCCAACAAAACCTTTTTAAAATCACTGCACCAATTCCAGGCTTATTCTTGCCCCAAGTGCAGACTGAACGCTGTTTGGCCAATTTGAGAAAGGCGTCCACCAGCTGCTGTTTCTGTCCATTGGGATTCACCAAGTGGAAGGTCTTGGCTAGGGATTTTAGTTCAGGAGCAGAAAGGAGTTCAAGCACTTCAGAGAGTTCTTGCAACTCAGATTCTGAAATGGTTAAAAAAAAAAGTTTTTTTAAATTTTACTATTTTCTAGCTTTATTTACCTTAGTTAGATGAAAATAAAATGAAATGCTACTAAGAAAATTTTAATTAGTTGGCCAAACCAATCATTAAATGTGGAATTATTAACATGGTATTATTAACGTATTAATAACACTATTATTATATCTCTTAAAAGTTATCAAATAATAGAATTTCTCACTAAAATCTAAAGGAAAACATAACTAAAATAAAGACACACATGGATAGCCATTATGGTTTGGGCATCTCAACACCTGCTTGGAATATATACTCCCTGCCTTTCTCGTCACAAAACCCCTACAAAATGGGACCTCTCAAACCAGGTCAGAGAGAACTGATCATCAGCCCTCTTCTTCCCACAAGCCTCTCCTGCTCACTCGGCATTCGTGAGCCTGTTCGGCTACTGTGGGCCCCGACACCAACCTTGGCCTAGGAATTCGGCTCAGTCAGACCTCGCTGGTCTTTGCCTTCAAGGCTTCACAAGTTTAGGGCAGTGCCTTCTTCCTCCATTCAGCAAATATTTATTGGGTGTACACTGTCGGCCTGGTAATGTTCTAAGGCCCCGGGCATGCTACAGTGAAAGAAATCCCATCCATAGGAGCTAGCCTCCCAGCGTAACAATTAAATGAATAGGCAAATTTATCAGGTGGTAATAACCGCTCTAAAGAAAAACACAACTCAGGAGGCAAACTGAAGCTGGCAGGAGGCTGGCTGTATTTCACACAGTAGTCAGGCAAACCTTTGACAAGGTAACACCACGCAGCGGGGAAGGAAAGGAGAACTATGCCGTGTGGCCACGTGGTGGAAACTGACCTGGGTGGAGGGGAAAGTCAGTCCAAGGCTCTGAGACAGGAATGCACTCATCCTGGTGAAGAACACTGAGGGCTGGGTGGCCGTGGCAGAAAGCGAGAGGGACAGCCAGAGCCAGGCCCCATGGGGCTGGAGCATGGATGGGACTTGCACTTGACTGAGTGCCACGGTGAGCCACTAGGATCCTGGTTTTGTTGCTCATTTGAAGGTAAGTCAAGGCTCACCTGCAGCAGTCACCTGGCATGCCTGTCAGACATATGAATTTACGGAAGCTGCACCACATTTTCCAAGTCAGGTGGGGACTGAGTATCAAGTTCCCAGGTGACCCTGCTGGCACTGATGTGTGGGAAGCGCTGCTCTGCAGAGGGTCCTGTGTCCCACCACTAACCATTCACAACCAAGCGCCTTCACTGAGCTTTTATGCCTCTCCCGCAACTTTCCCCATCCCACGCCATCCAGCCCCACCCTAACACACTTCCTGCTCACTTCGCTTCATCCCCACTTACTGCTCCCCACAATAAACTCTGCCCCAAAGAAACCAGCTGGCTGATTCGCTTATTTTGGTCTAAAATGTCAGCAACTTGAACCCAAGGCTCACATTTCCCTTTCCTAATACAGTACAATTTTGTACCCAATACATAGGTAGGTACTTAACGAATGCTACTGACAAGACAACGAAGGGTATCACTGCAGAAGATAGACTCTCCTTAGTGTTCACATAGGCTTAAAGCAATTCAACAATGCTTAAGGCAATCAACATAATCGAAGAACTGTATGTGTGTGCAAGGGGGGCAGATGAAGTTTTTAGAGGCAATATGGGTTTCAAACAACCAGCTTTATTCTATCATAAAGAAGAGGACTCTGAGTAAGATGAGTCAAGCTCTTGCTGGAAGGAGAGCGCCAAGAAGGGATGTATCCATTTTTTTTGAGACAGAGTTTCACTCTGGTTGCCCAGGCTGAAATGCAATGGTGCAATCTCAGCTCACCGCAACCTCAGCCTCCCGGGTTCAAGTGATTCTCCTGCCTCAGCCTCCCAAATAGCTGGGATTACAGGCATGCGCCACCACACCTAATTTTGTATTTTTAGTAGAGATGGGGTTTCTCCATGTTGGTCAGGCTGGTCTCGAACCCCCAACCTCAGGTGATCCACCTGCCTCGGCCTCCCAAAGTGCTGGGATTACAGGCATGAGCCACCGTGCCCGGCCGGGATGTATTTCTTCTGTGGCACACACCCATGTCTATGCCCAGGTGACTTTCATTCTAAACCTGCCACAGTCAAGAAAACAGCAGCAGACCATCTCTCATTATTCTAGTATTCTTAACTCAGGCTAAGAATGGCTTTAGCATCACATGAGTAATTTGTTGTCCTAAGATTAAAAATTCAATTAAAAAACAGTAAGTTACCAGGCACCACCCCGGGGAGGGCACCATAATAATACTGCCATCATTCTGCAGAAGCTCAGTTCTTCAGATCATATTTTCATTTCACATCTCCTTCTACTAGTCATACCTGTCTGTAGAAAGCCTGCATTCGTCAATTCTTCAATCACAGGTGTTAAGTCTAAGGCAATCTCTTCATACTCTAATTTGGTCATCTTAATCCAGCTTAATTTACGTTGAAAGAGCCTTACATATAACTTCTGACCAGTAGCTGCAATAAAGTTAAGAAAAATGTTGAAAATCACTGCATTTACCTTTTAAACCTAAGGTGAATAAATGTACGATTTAGAAATACACATATGCTTACTGTATGTATAAGGCCTTCATTTTATGGAATAAACCATTTTGAAAGTACATTTAAAAATTTGGTAACAATTATTGGTCATTTTAAAACTTCTAAGATCAAGTTCCCCATTTTCTAGACATCAACATTTCTACTCCCTCAGAAAAGCCCTACCCAGAATTCTTATTTTGTTCTCTGCTCTTAGCTTAATATGCATTATTCTGATTTGATCGAAAATAATCTGAAATAATTTTCCAAAAAAAATGTCTAGCTTCAGTAGGGCAGTCATCTCTAACCCAGCAATCTTGACCAAGCTTCTTAATTAACCTGTTTGGTCTCAATCTCCCTATTACCCAGATTATCTTTAAATTTCGGCCAACTCTAAAATGGCTTAATTGTATTTTGAAAATTTCCAACATTTATTTTCCTTTCTTCTTTAAAAAGGCAAAATTGACCTGTCATGATGGTTCATGCTGGTGTTGTTTTTTTTGGTTGTTTTTTTGTTTTGTTTTTGTTTTGTTTTTTTTGAGATGGAGTTTTGCTCTTGTTGCCCAGGCTGGAGTGCAATGGTGCAGTCTCGGCTCACTGAAAGCTCTGCCTCCTGGGTTCATGCCATTCTCCTGCCTCAGCCTCCAGAGCAGCTGGGATTACAGGCGCCCACCACCATGCCCGGCTAATTTTTGTATTTTTAGTAGAGACGGGGTTTCACCATGTTGGTCAGGCTAGTCTGGAACTCATGACCTCAGGCCATCTGCCCACCTGGGCCTCCCAAAGTGCTGGGATTACAGGCCTGAGCCACCATGCCCAGCCTATGGCTTATGCTTGTAATCCCAGTGCTTTGGGAGGCTGAGGCAGGAGGATCGCTTGGGACCAAGAGTTCAAGGTCACAGTGAGCTATGATTACACCACTGCACTCCAGCCTGGGCAACAGACAGAAACCTTGTCTCTAAAAGAACTTAAAATTAAAAAAAAAAAAAGGCAAAAACAATTAGCAGTAATTATTTCTACACACCAACAGATTGTACATGATTCTCCATGGAGTGCAAGACACATGCATATGCAGAACTTGCACTAGGAAAACTGTTCCTATTTCTCAATTACATGGAATTACAGAGCCACCAATCTCTGAAATACTCCAGGAATGCAATCAGCACCCAACCAAAGATCTGTGACTAGTTTGGATAGAAAAGCCAATGTGCTATTATGTCCATCTTCTGGTGAGAACAGCAAAAGTAGAGATGGAAGTGGATACTACACACAGCTGTGCCCAGAGAAGTATCGCTCACATGTTAAAAAGTAACCCAAGGAATACCATAATTTCACTGTGCGAATTTAAAATAGAAATCCTTCCCTTGAACATCAATAGTAATGTTCAGGATTTTTCTCTTTTTTATCTACTGAGGAGTCACACATGGCCGCATTTTACTAAACGACAGTGTGACTACCATGTTTTTTCCTGCCCTCAGGGACATGGTTCCACAGAGTCATCATGGCCCTCTGAATAACACCGTAAAGACACAAGGGTGGCTTTTACTACAAACCTGCACTGCTGGCTTGGAGCCACCCCTGGCTGCCAAGGACTTCAGGCATAGACTAGTATTTTTAATGTACCAATTTCAGCTTGAAAGTTTCCATTTCCTCCACACCCTGTCTTTAAAAGGCACAGTCCATAAATCTAAAATGTTGTTGGGAGAAAGAAAATATGCCTCAGGTTGGTTTGTTTTCTTCCTGTATTGTATTTTATTCTACTTTCATCTTTGAGGAACAACAAAACAACCTAATGGAAAGCCTGATTACACGCTCAAAATGCAAAGTATGCTTTTCTAAGTCACATTATATTGTTTTTTAATCTGGAAAAGGTTGTTTCATAACTATCAAATGTACCTATAAAAGAAAAACAGCTGCTTCCAATGTAACCAAAGTTCAGCAGGAGTAAACATCACCCGGGACAAAATCTTGTCTCTTTTCCATGCATCCCTCTCAATAAAACCTTCGACTATGCTCCAACTCCCATGAACACTCCCACAGGGTGCTCACAACACCACAGTGACTCCTTGCGGTCACTAGATTACTGCCCATCACATCATGCCCCAATCAGAGCAGCAAAAGGGGAATGAAAACTTGAAAACAAACACGTGCGTAAGATACCTGATAACTGATAAAATTTAGTTACAATTCCCTTCTCCTGCTCATCAAAGAGCAACATATCATCTTCATTCTCAAGTACGGTTTTCAGCACCACAAGGAAACTCCGAAGGTAGTAAGGATGACCGGTTGTTTGACCAGGACCATTGCAGCTTGACCCCTGCTCCAAAGGAATGCTGTGAGGGATATCATTGTTTAAGCAACTGTCATCCTGCAGAGGAGCCTCTTGGATGTTACTCCATGCAGAAGCATCATCTGCAGAACTATGAGATTTTGCCTCTGAATCTGACAGCTGTATTTTAGCTTCTGAAGCAACAGTCATTTTTACTTCTTCACAATGACATGCCTCACGTTTTTCAACCACTTCTTTGATACACTCTTGCTTTACAAGACTGTCTTCTGAAGTAGACTTTAATGTATTCCTAAGAGTGAAATCTGGTGAGAATAACATGATCGCATTATCTGAGAATCCAGGGGTGAGGGCTGATTTCTCACATTCCCGGGTAGCCTTTTGGCTTTCGGCTTCCATTATTTTACTTCCTCTTACCATATGTTCAGGAATGCACTCTTCCTTTAGAGAATCACATTTAAACACGTTTTCTTTTTGAGAACTGTTCTCCAAAATTTGATCCTCGTCCTCAATTTCTGAAGAGTTATCAATCAGGCTCTTAACAACTGTGGATTTGGAACTCTGTGGACTAGAACCGGCAAATTCTTCATCCTTATCTATTGATTTTTTAGCCTTTACGTATTTTCTGGACAATTTAGATGCTAGGCTTCCCAAACAAATGACTTTCACACTACGATTTCTCAGCTCATCTTGATTTTTGCACACCACATCATTACTTTTAAAGTAGGGACTGATCTTCTGCTTTACTTCCCTTTTTGCTGAATCACTTTGGCCAGGGGTTAAATTTGTCTTTGGTGGTGGTGACTTCTTAGGTGTTACATCTTCTAAGGTAACACTGGTTAAATCTACCATAGACACATTTGAATTTATTAAGCCAACCTGCCCTGGATCCACTTGAACGAAGTCATTGTTAGCACACATTTCATCAAGGTGCCGGTTTAAGTCATATCTAGGCACCATTTTACTGCAAACGGGGCAGGCAAGTTTAGCAGGTGGTGCATTGTTAAAACACGAAATAATAGAATTAGATGCTTTTTTCTTATTCTTGCTGATTGATAAGCTTCTACGAGGCCTTTTTTTGTCAGGAGGTTTCCCTTCTGACATCATGAGTATTAGAAAAACTGGATGTTCTGAGCAATAAAACACAGGATATTTAAGGTGAAAGATAGCAATGGTTTACTTTTACTTTCTTGACTTGAAATCACCAAAAGTGGGATTCTATATGACCTCATGTTATTCGTCTCGACAATTTCTTCTTCCTACAAGAAGAAACACATATAAATTAAAAACATTTTTATGAATTCAGCAAGGGGAAAAGCGAACTCTGAAACGTTTAAGAGCAAGGTCTCCTGTAACGAGGAGACAACCCTGAGCGTGAGACAGAAGACCAAGCCCCTCCGACAAGCTCTGTACGCGATCTTAGTGTCCCTTACTATAAAATGACAGAGCTGGGCTTGTAAGGGTAATTTCTAGGACATCTTTAAGACCTAAAACTATCCGTTTCTAAAAAGGGACAATTTGACCACTTCAGACCCTTTACAAGACCACTGTATGAGTAACTTTTTCTGAGTGAGATGGAGACGATCAGCGCGTGGCCCAGGGCGATGCCCGCACCATAGGCCGGCGCAGATGAAACGCCCCAGCCGCGGGCAGCTGCGCCCGCGCCGGCTGCCACCACCGCGGCTTCTGCTGCGGAGCCGAGGCCCCGGCCAGCACGGCGGACGCTGCTGGGTCAAGGCCGCGCACCTGGGACGCGCACCTGGGGCCACGCGACTGAGCCCGAGCCACTCTCCCTGCTCCCTAGGGCCTGGCTGCCCTCGCGTCCTCCTTCCCTCGGTGCCCTGTCACCCAAGATCCCCGCGCGGCCACCTCGCACCTCCCACCTGGCTCCGCGCGCCGGCGCTTCCAGGCATTCCCAGCCGATCCCCGCGTCTCGCTTCCACAGGCTTGGCAAGTGGAGGCTCGAGTGATCGATCTCCTTTCCTTTCCACGTTAAAGGCTCCCATACCGTAGGTGCCCAAGGCAGGCTGAGCCCTGGGAGCGGAAACCCGGGCACCTCCTTCCTTTCCCACCCGCAGAGGCAGGCGCCTGTGCGCCCCTGCACGCCCCCGCACGCCTTCTCTGCGACTGTGCACTCTGAGACTCCTCTCCGCAGTCGGTGAGAAGGGCAAGCAAGCTAAACGTGTTTGTTGGGGGAGCATTCAGTGTCAAAGCGAGCAAACAGCCTCCTGCGGGGAAGACAGGCGACTTCTGCAACCAACACGCGGAGCTCTACTTAAGCTGACTCCTGCGAATAAGCGAGAGGGAGTTTCAGTTGGAAAACCACTGAGCTGGGTTTTCCAAAAGATAGTACTAATCACCGGTTATCTGATACCCTTGAAATAATAACATCAAGAACCAAGAAATAAAATGTGGCGACTAGGAAGTGATGCGTCTTGAGTATTTATGACTTCTGTTTTTAATGTAATTTATTTGTAAAGCTATATGATTTATTTAACTTTCAATAATGGCTGTGTTTAACAGCTGAATTTTTTTTTTTTTTTTTTTTTTTTTTTGAGATGGAGTCTCGCTCTGTCACCCAGGCTGGAGTGCAGGGGCGCGATCTCAGCTTACTCCAAGCTCCACCTCCAGGGTTCACTCCATTCTCCTGCCTCAGCCTCCTGAGTAGCTGGGACTACAGGCACCCGCCACCACACCCAGCTAATTTTTTGTATTTTTCGTAGAGATGGGTTTTCGCCGTGTTAGCCAGGATGATCTCGATCTCCTGACCTCGTGATCCGCCCGCCTCAGCCTCCCAAAGTGCTGGGATTATAGGCGTGAGCCACCATGCCCAGCCTAACACCTGAAAGTTTAACAATCAGCCCTGAAGCACTGACACCAGCGTGTTCCAGCCCACCATGAATGACCTAGAATGCAAGCTTCTTAACATCAGGCGGTTGTGCTTGTTGCCTTTACTATAAAATCGCTGCTGCCTGCAGCAGTGGCTAGCGTTGTGTAATTATTGATAAATATACACTGAATGAGTGCATAAATGAGCAAACTAAAGAGAATAAGGACATAAATAGGGAGTTCATTAACAAGAATGTATTGACTGCCTACCTCATTCCAGGTAACATTTTAGATGCTGAAAATATGTGGCAGTGAACAATGAGGAATGGGAGGAAATTCTTCATGGGAGGGAGGGGAACTCCTCATGAAGGATACATTCTGGTGGAAGGAGATAGAGAAATATAAAAAGTAAACTATGTGGTGAAATTGAAGACAAGTAAAGCCAGAAACATCTTAGGGTTGAGGTTACAATTTGAAAGAGTGGTAAGGGAAGTCCTCACTGAAAAGATGACATTTGAAGATTGACATTGGCCTGAAGGAGGTAACAGTGTGGACTGAGAGAAGGCCATGGTAGGCCAGGAAACAGCAACAGCACATGTAAAAGCCGTCAGGCAGAAGATTATCTAGCAGGCTCTAAGAACCCCAAGGAGGCAGAAGAAAACAAAGCCAGGGAGGCAGCAGAGAGCCAGACCATGGAGGGCAAGTGTTAGCAAATTTGTTCCGTAAAGGGCCAGGGAGTAAATGTTTGAGGCTTTTGGGACCATGTGGCCTCCATCATAACTAGGCAACACAGCTATTTTAGTGTGAAAGCAGCTATAGACAATATGTAACATATGAGTGTGGTTTTGTTCCAATAAAACTTTATTTACAAAAATAGCTGGCTAACTTGCCATCCAGCTACTGTTTGCCAGCACCTGATGTATGACCCTGCAGGTCATTGTATGGATTTGAGCATTGACTTTGAGTGAGATGGGAGGAGGGGAGACAAAGATTTTGAGCATAAGCTCTAAAAGGACCCCTTTCCCTGTTGCATTCAGAATAGAGCTTGGGGCTGGTCGTGGTGGCTCACGCCTGTAATACCAGCACTCTGGGAGGCCGAGGCGGGTGGATCACAAGTTCAAGAGATCAAAACCATTCTGGCCAACATGGTGAAACCCCGTCTCTACTAAAAGTATAAAAATTAGCCAGGCGTGGTGGCGGGTGCCTGTAGTCCCAGCTTCTCGGGAGGCTGAGGCAGGAGAATGGTGTGAACCCAGGAGGCGGAGGTTGCAGTGAGCCGAGATCGCACCACTGCACTCTAGCCTGGGTGACAGAGCGAGACTCCGTCTCAAAAAAAAAAAAAGCTACACAGAGAATTACCATCTGACCCAGCAACCACTCCGAGGTGTAAAACCAAGAGAATTAAAAGCAGGTACTCAAACAAATACATGTGCACAGCACGATTAACAGTCAAAAGGTGGAAACAGCCTGAATGGCCATCAATGGATGAACAGATAAAGCATGGTACATTCCCGCAATGGAATACCATACAACCATAAGAAAGAAATGAAGCACAAGCAAATGCTACAGTCTTGAAAACATGATGCTAAATGCAAGAAGTCAGAAATGAAAGGCTGCGTATTGTAAGGCTCCATTTATATCAAATATGCAAAATAGGCAAATCCACAAAGATAGGACACAGACTGGGGATTGTTGGGGCTGGGGCTAGTGAGTAAAGGGTAGCAACTGCTTCATGGATATGGGACTTTATTGTGGGCTGATAGAACTAAAGTGTTAATATAGACTTCGTAAAATTATCCAAATATCCATTTGGATTGTAGGGACTTTTTTTTCTTTTATTTACATGTAATACGTTAAAGATTTATTCTGACAAATCACATTGAAAAAATGGACAGCAATTTTTATTCTACTGAAGAGAAAAAGTAAACTTCATACTTCTCTCTGCTCCCCTTGGCCCCAAATGCTTATTCTAAATGGCTAAGAGGGCTTTTTGTTTGTTTGTTTATTAAGACATGGAAAAAAAAAAAAAACACCAGAACTAGGAAGCGACAGGCTCACTGCCTCCTGACCCTGATGCCAGAGATGTATCCAGGTCTGTTCCAATGCCCATCATCAGCACCCACCTTCCAGCCATGGCCAGGTATTACGCTACTACTGTTTCTTACTATTTTAACTTACCTTACACTTAAAAAAAAATCCTAACCGTGTCCTTTCACCTCATTCTAGGTAATGATACCTGTAAAATCGCCGGGCGCGGTGGCTCACGCCCGTAATCGCAGCACTTTGGGAGGCTGAGGTAGGAGGATCACCTGAGGTCAGGAGTTCGAGACCAGCCTGGCCAACACGGTGAAACCCCATGTCTTCTAAAAGTACAAAAATTAGTCAGGCATGGTGCCATGCACCTCTAATCTCAGCTACTCAGGAGGCTGAGGCAGAATCATTTGAACCCAGGAGGTGGAGGCTGCAGTGAGCTGAGATCACACCATTGCACTCCAGCCTGGGTGACAGAGTAAGACTCCTTCTCAAAAAAAAAAGAAAGATAGGGAAGATTTGTTAGTAGTCTGTGAGTTCCACAGTTATGTCAAGCACATTAAAAATTCCTTAAATTCCTAATTACCTTTTCCTGTCTTTTTTCAAGAGGATTTAACTTCATCAGAATTTTTCTTTACATTTAAAACACCTGCATCTTCAGTTGCCTCATCATCCAGCAAAGTGAAGGTCACTCTTTTCAAGCTTTCTTTACATTGTTTACTGTCTTCACTTTCTTCCAGGTCATCATCTTCCTCCCTACACTACCAAAACTCTTATAAAAAGAAATATACTGCTTTCCATTAGAAAAACAAAAGGAAACATATTTTCCCTTAATAAAGTTCTTCTTTTATATGCCTAATGCAACCAAATACTCAGAAGTTCCAAAATCATTCAGGTATTACGGAAGAGAAGGTATCATTTAAGTGACATGCTATGTAAGAAACAGAACAAAAGTGTCCAATATATAGAAAATAAATTATTCATCAATTGATAATACAAACCATCAATCTCACAAAAATAACAGGATTTTTGGGGTACAAAACCAAATCAAGGTTCCTGGCAAGAAATGTTTGATTGCTACTGCCAGTAATATTTTTCTTCATTAAATGATCTCTAATGTCCCTTTAAATCCACAGACTTTCCTCTGGCTATCTTGAGAATATCTGATAGGAGAGAATCTAACTTCTTAAAACAAACATATGTGAAAACCACAAGTACCAATACATGATTGGACAATTCCAGCTCACAATGTAAAGGATGGTTCAAATACTCACATTTCAGAAATGCTTAGTTCTTCTGCTGCTTCTTCAGCAATTTCATCCACTTGTTTGAACCCAGATCATCATCATGATCACTTGCTATGTCTTCATCACTTTCAACTGGATCAAAAAAATCTTTGTACTTCACATTTCTGGAACTTTTACCCGACTGAAATAAAAAGATTTTTTAAACTATTAATTAGGAATAGAAAAATACATCATTACCATTCTGAAATGGCAAGTCATAGACTGAGAATATATTTTCAAATCACAAAAGACTTGTGTTCAAAATATACAAATGACTCTTAAAATTCAACAATAAGAAATTAAGCAACGCAATTATAAAATGAGCAAAAACCAGTTGATCTTTGACAAAGTTGCAAAAGCAGCTCAATAGAGGAAGGATAGCCTTTTCAGTAAATGGTGATGGTGCAACTGGACATCCATAGGCCAAAAAATTGAACCTCAGCCTGAACCTCACATTTTTACAAAAATTAACTAAAAAATGGATTATATACTTAAATGCAAAACTGAAACTACCAAACTTCAGAAAACATAGGAGAAAATCTTTGCATCTAGGGTTAATAGCTCTCTTATTTTAGACCAAAAGCATTAACCACTGAAGGGAAAATGGCAAGTTGGACTCTATCAAAATTAAAAGTGTTTGCTCTGTGCAAGACCATGAACAGGAATAAACATAATTACAGACCACTAAAAATATTTGCAAGCCAATATTCACAAAAGAACTCATGTATAGAACATATAACAAACTCTAAAACCTCAGCAGATAAACAAATAATCCAATCAGAAAATGGGAAAAAGACATAAAGAGATATTTCACTGAAGAGGATATTCAGATGGCAGGTAACCATGTGAAAAGATGCTCCACATCATTAGCCTTTAGGTAAATGCATTAAAGTGACAATGAAGTATCATTACCTATCACAATAAAAAATAGTAACAATAAAATGCTGGCAAGGATGTGGAGAAACTGGATCACCCATACATTATTGATGAGTTTGGCAATTCCCTACAAAGATAAAATGTTCTGTACCTTGACTGCATCAAATTAAATATCAAGTTGTGATATTGTACCATAGTTTTACAAGTGTTACCACTGGGGGAAACCCAATAAAGGCTACAGAGGATCTCACTGTACCATTTCCTACAACTTCATGTGAATCTACAAAATTTTATCTCAAAAATAAAAATTTGATTTTTAAAGTGGGCAAAATATCTGAAGAGACACTTCATCAAAAAAGATATACAGGCTGGGCGCGGTGGCTAACGCCTGTAATCCCAGCACTTTGGGAGGCTGAGGCGGGCGGATCACGAGGTCAGGAGATAGAGACCATCCTGGCTAAGACGGTGAAACCCCGTCTCTACCAAAAATACAAAAAAAATTTAGCCGGGCGTGGCGGCAGGCGCCTGTAGTCCCAGCTACTCCAGAGGCTGAGGCAGGAGAATGGTGTGAACCCGGGAGGTGGCGCTTGGAGTGAGCCGAGACCGCCCCACTGCACTCCAGCCTGGGCCACAGAGCGAGACTCCGTCTCACCAAAAAAAAAAAAAAAAAAAAAAGATATACAGACGACAAATCAGTATATAAAAATTTGCTAAATATCTTTTTTTTGGGAAATTCAAATTAAATCAACAATGAGATACCACCACACACCTATCAAAATTGCTAAAATCCAAAATCAAGGAAATTACAATTGCTATTAATAGTTAAATCCGTGGGGTGCTGGAAACTCTCATGTATTGCTTATGGGAAAGCAAAATAGTACAACCACTTAGGACAGCAGTTTGGCAGCTTCTTACAAGGTAAGACATAGTCTCATCACATGATCCAACAATAGGGTGTTCCTAGGCATTTGCATACTGATTTGAAAACTTACGTGCTCACAAAACCTGTACACAAATGTTTATAGCAGCCATCCATATTCATATTCACCCAAAACGAAGCAAATAAGATTTTTTCAATAAGTGAATGCGTAAACAAACTGCAGTACATTTCTACAATGGAATACTAGTCATTAACAAAAAGCATCATGCAAAACATGGATGAATCTCAAATGCATATTTCTAGGTGAAAATAAGGAAGTTTGAAAAACCTGCATACATAAATTGGAATGATTGATTCCATTTATATGATAATCTGGAAAAGGCAAACTGTAAAGATCATTGTTTGCCAGGGATTTGGAGGAGAAAAGAAAGATAAAGGCTGGGTGTGGTGGCTCACGCCTGTAATCCCAGCACTTTGGGAGGCTGAGGCGGGTGAGTTGTCTGAGGTCGGGAATTCAAGACCAGCCCTGCCAATGTGGCGAAACCCCATCTCCACTAGAAAAAAAAAATTAGCCGAGCATGGTGGCACACAGCTGTAGTCCCAGATACTTGGGAGGCTGAGGCAGGAGAATCGCTTGAACCCAGGGGGCAGAGGTTGTCAAGAGCCGAGATGGCACCACTGCCCTCCAGCCTGGGCGACAGAGCAAGACTCCATCCGCCCTGGGTAACATGGTGAAACCTGGTCTCTCTCTCTTTTGTGTGTTCGGATGTGGGGGGGGGGGGGGGGGCAGAGTTTTGCTCTTGTTGCCCAGGCTGGAGTGCAGTGGCGTGGTCTTGGCTCGCCGCAGCCTCCGCCTCCCGGGTTTGGGTGGTTCTCCTGCCTCAGCCTCCCGAGTGGCTGGGATTGCAGGCACGAGCCATCATGCCCGGCTAATTTTTTTTTTTTTTGGTAGAGATGGGTTTTCCCCATGTTGGTCAGGCTGGTTTCAAACTCCCGACCTCAAGTGATCTGCTCACCTCGGCCTCCCGGGGTGCTGGGAATGCAGGCGTGAGCCACCGCGCCCGGCGTAATTTATTAATCAGAAAGGAATAGATCGGCCTGGCATGGAGGCTCAGGCTTGTGATCCCAGGACTTTGGACGACAGAGCGCGGTGATCACTGGAGCCTAGGAGCTCCAGACCGGCCTGGGCAACATGGTGAAACCTTTCTTTCTTTTTTTTTTTTTTTCCTTTTTTGAGGCGGAGTTTTGCTCTTGTTGCCCAGGCAGGGTGCAGTGGCGTGGCCTGGGCTCCCCGTGGCCTCCGCCTCCCAGATTTGGGTCGTTCTCCTGCCTCAGCCTCCCAAGCGGCTGGGATTGCAGGCATAAGCCACCATGCCCAGCTAATTTTCTTTTTTCTTTTGTAGAGACGGGGTTTCTCCATGTTGGTCAGGCTAGTCCCAAACTCCTGACCTTAGGTGATCCGCCCGCCTCAGCCTCTAGGGGTGCTGGGATTGCAGGCTTGAGCCACCATGCCCAGCTAATTTTGTACTTTTTTTTTTTTTTTTTTTTTTTTTTTTTTGGTAGAGATGGGTTTTCTCCATGTTGGTCAGGCTGGTCTCAGACTCCCAACCTCATGTGATGTGCCCGCCTCCGCGTCCCCGGGTGCTGGAATTGCAGGCGTGAGCCACCACTCCAGGCCCAATTTATTAGTCAGAAAGGAATAGATCGGCCTGGCGTGGTGGCTCACGCTTGTGATCCCAGGACTTTGGACGGCCCAGCGCGGCGGATCACTGGAGTCTAGGAGTTCCAGACGGGCCTAGGCAACATGGTGAAACCCGGTCGCTTTTGTTGTTGTTGAGGTGGAGTTTTGCTCTTGTTGCCCAGACTCGAATGCAGTGGCGCGGTCTTGGCTCGCCACGGCATCCACCTCCCGGGTTTAGGTGGTTCTCCTTCCTCAGCCTCCTGAGTGGCTGGGATTGCAGGCGTGAGCCACCATGCCCAGCTATTTTGTATTTGTTTTTGTTGTTGTTTTTGGTACAGACGGGGTTTTTCCATGTTGGTCAGGAGGGTTTCTAACCCCCGACCTCAGGTGATCCGCCAGCCTCGGCCTCCCCGGGTGTTGGGATTGCAGGCCTGAGCCACCATGCCCGGCTAATTCTGTAATTTTTTTTTTAGTAGAGATGGGGTTTCTCCATGTTGGTCGGGCTGGTCTCCAGCTCCTCACCTCAGGTGATCCGCCCGCCTGGGCGTCCCAAGTGCTGGGACTGCAGGCCTGAGCCACTGCGCCTGGCCCCAAACAGGGTCTCTTAAGGGAAAAACAAAACAAAAACCACAAAGATTAGCCGGGTGTGGTGGGCCCCGCGGGTAGTCCCAGCTACTCTGAAGGCTGATGTAGAAGGATTGCTTGAGCCCGGGGTCGAGGTGGCAGTGAGCTATAATGGAGCTGCTGCACTCCAGACTGGGCGACAGAGCGGGACTCTGTGGCAGGAAAAGGGAAAGGAAAAAAAGAAACTAAATAAGAGGCTGCTACTTTTCCAAAAGAAATTTATTATTGACTACCAATAAAAAAAATACACTGTAGCTTTGTTACAATATACAAATAGCTAAACTTTATATAGCCATGACCCTCTTCTGGCACTGCTCTAAGCCTTTTCCTGCTCTGAAATAGCTACTGTTGTTACCTCCATTGCAGAGAAAATGGATGCCAGAGGTTGTTGTGGAAGGACCCACGGAAACTGACTATGAAATTGACTTGTTGTAAGTTTCAGACTTAAAGGTTCTTCCTGCTCTGCTCCTTACATTGCCACATTTTAGTTAAGGTACCTCTTACAATACTTGTCCTCTCTGTATTTGGAGGAACTTCTCTTGCAATTTGAAGGGGTTTTTTTGTTGTTGTTGTTGTTTTTGCACTAAGCATTTGGTCATAAGATCATCTGCGTTTTATGTCAGTTTAAGTACCTCTTTAGACATTATTCATTTAGGAATCTAAATAGGAGCTAGCATTGTGTGTAAAAGGAAAGAACAGCTGTTTACAACCATTTTTGTTTCATAATACAAATATAAATCAATATGTTAATGGTGATGCAGGCTGGGAGGGGAGGGAAAATATGCAGAGAGAAAAGCCCCATCTCTGCTTGGAGTTCAGCACTGGGTCTCTATTCCTCTCCATCTTCCTTGTCAAGGCTGTCACAGTGACAGAAGCACACAGGGCTGCCTTTTAGTGACACCTGCTGGGACAGACCTGGCAGAATGGATTGCAGATTTGCATATTTCCTGGCTGCCTCTGCTAGCCTGAGTCAGCAGCCCACTCCAATTCATGCTGAGCTTGGACGGCTCAGGTTTGAAAAATTCCCCCGTCCCTTGGAGCAACCGCTTGCCAGCCTCCTCATCATTCCTAAAGGAGAATGACATACATGCCAGCATGACAGAGGTCCAGAAATTTATAGAAGCTTCATTGTGAGCCTATATCCTTAACAGGGGCTCAAAATGCCAACACCGAATGAAGAGAGAGGTTTTGCAGTAAAGCAGGAAGTCATTAAAATAATGAATCACCAGGCTGGGTTTTGAGCTCCTTTCCCACTAATTTAATGGAAAGATTTATTGTCTTTACAATGTACAATGCCCATCATCAGTTGAAAATAGAAGCCAAAAATGCATTTAACGCCGGGTGCAGTGGCTCACGCCTGTAATCTCAGCTCTCTGGGAGGCTGAGGTGGGTGGATCACCTGAGGTCGGGAGTTCGAGACCAGCCTGGCCAGTATGGTGAAACCACATCTCTACTAAAAATACAAAAATTAGCTGGGCATGGTGGCACGCACCTGTAATCCCAGCTACTGGGGAGGCTGAAATAAGTTCATAAATTGAGCAGCTGTGAGGTAATTGGCCCAATTGCTACGTTACTTTCACCGCTTGAGGCTGAACAGTGCACAGGAGAGTGCAGGTTTACAGGTCTCTGAATAGTGCCGTCCAAAAATGGTGAACAACCACCCTGAAAAACAGCTTGGTGTTTTTTTGTTGTTGTTGTTGTTGTTTTCACAAATTAGAAACGTGCTTAGCTGTTTACCCACTAACTGCACTCATGGCCACTTCCCCTAGAGAAATAAAAGTTGATATTCATGCAAAAACTTGTGCATGAGTTTTCACAGAAGCTTTATTTTTAACAACCAAACTGTAAACAACCCAAATGTCCTTCAGCAGGTGGATGGCTAAACAAACCATGGTACAGCCATACAATGGACTAGTACTTAGTAATAAAAAAGCAATGAACTGTTGAATGATTTGCAATGACCTCAAAGGAATTAAACTTTAAAAATTCAATCTCAGGACGGGTGCGGTGGCTCATGCCTGTAATCCCAGCACTTTGGGAGGCTGAGGTGGGCAGATCATGAGGTCTGGAGTTCGAGACCATCCTGGCCAACACGGTGAAACCCTGTCTCTACTAAAAATACAAAAAATGAGCCGGGCATGGTGGCACGCGCCTGTAGTTCCAGCTACTTGGGAGGCTGAGGCAGGAGAATTGCTTGAACCTGGGAGGTGGAGGTTGCAGTGAGCCAAGATCGCGCCACTGCACTCCTTCCAGGCGACAGAGTGAGACTCCGTCTCAAAAATAAATAAATAAATAAATAAATAAATAAATAAATAATGCAATGTCAAAAGGTTGTACAATATATAATTTCATTATAAAAGGTTTTCAACATGACAAAATTCTAGAAATAGGGAACAGATCAGCAGTAGCCAGGGACTTAGAGAAGTGGGGTGAGTGTGATTATAAAGGGATATCATGAGGTCCTTTCTTCGGATGACAGCATAATGCTATATCTTGATTATGTTATTGGTTATATGTATCTACACCAGTGATAAATTTCTTAGAAGTATACACATATACACAAAGAATAAAAAAGAGTGCAGAAAAACACTTCTGAATCCAAGTGAGGTCTGTAGTAAAGTTAATTGTAATGTGGTTTTGCTAATGTAGAGTTGGGTCCTTTATAGCTGCAGTTCTGCATCTGCAGAGTCAACCAGCTGATTGAAAATACTCAAAAACAAAACCAATAAAGATAACAATACAACAATAAAAATACAAATTGCAAAAAACAGTGCGGAATAGCAACTATTTCTGTAGCACTTACATTGTATTATGTATTATAAGTAATCTAAGAATGATTTAAAGCAGTGGTCCCCAACATCTTTGGCACCAGGGAATGGTTTCCTGGGAAACGATTTTTCCACAGATGGGGTAAGGGCTGCGGGGGTGGTTTTGGTATGAAACTGTCCCACTTCAGATCATCAGGCATTAGACTCTCATAAGGAGCATGCAACTAGATCCCTTACATGCACAGTTCACAGTAGAGTTTGCACTCCTACAAGAATCTAATGCTGCTGCTGATCTGACAGGAGGTGGAGCTCAGGTGGTCATGCAAGCAATAGGGAGGGGCTTTACATACAGATTTATTACATGTATTATAAATACAGATTACATTTATTATAAATACAAATATATTTACAGAGCACACTACTCATCTCTTGCTGTGCAGCCTGATTCCCAAAAGGCCACAGACCAATAGTGGTCAACAGCCCCAGGAGCTGGGGGCTCCCGATTTAAAGGATGTGCATAGGTTATATGCAAATACTAAACCATTTTATGTCAGGGACTTGAACATCCATGGATTTTGGTGTCTATGGGGGTGCTTGTACAAAACCCCAGTGGCTACTGAGGGATGACTATGCTATGATTACATAAGAGGTTTTCATTATAGGAAGTGAGTTGAAGGGTACACAGGGACTCTTATCTACTATTTTGTAACTATTAATATTTTTAAATCTATAATTACTTCTAAAAAAGAAAAAAGCCGGGCGCAGTGGCTCAGCCTGTAATCCCAGCACTTTGGGAGGCTGAGGCGGGTGGATCACAAGGTCAGGAGATCGAGACCATCCTGGCTAACACAGTAAAACCGCGTCTCTACTAAAAACACAAAAAATTAGCCGGGTGTGGTCGTGGGCGCCTGTAGTCCCAGCTACTCAGGAGGCTGAGGCAGGAGAATGGCGTGAACCCGGGAGGCAGAGCTTGCAGTGGGCCGAGATCGCACCACTGCACTCCAGCCTGGGCGACAGAGCGAGACTCTGTCTCAAAAAAAAAAAAAAAAAGAAAATAAAAAGAAAAAACCCTGATGGACAACCTATCTGCTAGGTTGGTTAATTGTAAAGGGGAACATCACATTAATAAATTGGTTAATTGTCACTGGAGTATCAATGGTATATGACATCCTGGGTAGCCTGCAGATGAAATCCTAATAACCACATCCCATAGGCCTTTACAGCATGTAGTGCAGTAAGCCTTGTCAAAGGCAGTGACAATGCAGGACTGAGTTCCTAAGGTTTGGATGCCAGCAAGTTCTTTCTCAGATTAAGTAGTTTTGATGTATAAGCTTGTATTTGTCCTTCAAAACATTCTTATCTTGAGAAGTCTGCTGTACCAGTTCTCATCACAACTTGGAAAACATGTGCTTGGTGTGGGTAAGAGAAGTTTTCCTTTCATGTTTATTGGAGTTGCTCTGCACAAAAACTATTAATTGTGTAGGTTTTTGGCATTTAGAAAGGAGCAGGAGATTGCCCACTTCACTGGGCTTCACTGGTTGATATTTCTTCCTTTTGCCTCACTCTAACTTCCTTCAGAGACTTGATATACACTTTTGTAGTAATGGTAATGCATTAGTGAAAATAATTTGGAAATCATTGACAGCCATTTGTCCTAACTACATTGTTTTTGGATCTATTCAAAAGATAACATAAAACCGCCCAAATCTTTCCACATAGTCCTTTGAAGGTTTTACTCTTAGAAACCTATCTTAATAAAGTATCTATACTTGTCTGTGTAACAACATGAAGAGTATTGTCCACCTGGACATGGGTCCCCAGAGTGCTCATGCAGCAGACCCTCTCAGAACTCCATCCATTTCTCCCACTGCCTTTGGAATACCCTTTGACATAATGCTGATTTCTGATCCAGCAAACAGCCCCAGTGAGTTTCCTGAAACACTGAATTATTGCCAGGTGGCTTGAGCAAATAATTCTGCAAGGCAGGGTTATCCCCTTCTAAAAGAGGTTACCTACACAATGACTTAAGCTGTTTGACAGTCAGAGATGACTTTGAGGAAACAAATCTGGAATGCTGGTGATATATTAATAGTCTGGATATTTCTCCCCACCCAAATCTCACGTTGAATTGTAATCCCCAGTGCTGGCGGGAGGTGTTTGGATCCTGGGTGACTTGGTGCGGTCTTCATGATAATGAGTTCTCAGAAGACCTGGTTATTTAATAGTGGCACCTCCCCACAACCATATCTTTCTTGATCCTGCTTTCAGCCTGTGAGATGCACCTTTCACCATGATTGTAAGCTTCCTGAGGCCTCTCTAGAAGCCAAGCAGATGCAAGCACCATGCCTCCTGTAAAGCTTGCAGAACCATAAGCCAATTAAACCTCTTTTCTTTATAAATTACCCAGTCTCAGGTATTGCTTTATAGCAATGCAGGAATGGCCTAACACAACACAACACAAACTGGAAGAGGTGGTTTACAAAGCATGAGGGGAAACAAAGTTGTATTTCCCATAGTTACTCCAGGCTGAGGTGGTTGGAGCTTTCTTTCTCTAGATGGCAGGCCTAGTAGGGCTGGAAGGCAAATAAAAAATTCAATACATAGACATATATATATAGAAACATACTGGAAGGTAAAAATTAACTGCCATGCCATCATCTACTTTGCTTCTGTGAAAAATAGGCCTGGGACAATAGCATCATAACAAGATACCTCTGAGAGAAAGAAAATGGTCCCCAACTGGTTTGGTTTATTTTGATATTTTCCCTGAGGTTAAAGCCATGTATATGCTTTCTAAAATCAGTGGAAGAGGGGGTTTTGGAAAAATGGTAGCTTAAAACCCAAGCACTGGCTGGGCGCGGTGGCTCAAGTCTGTAATCCCAGCACTTTGAGAGGCCAAGGCAGGTGGATCACAAGGTCAGGAGATCGAGACCATCCTGGCTAACACGGTGAAACCCCATCTCTACTAAAAATACAAAAAATTAGCCGGGCATGGTGGCGGGCGCCTGTAGTCCCAGCTACTCGGGAGGCTGAGGCAGGAGAATGGCGTGAACCCAGGAGGCGGAGCTTGCAGTGAGCCGAGATCATGCTACTGCACTCCAGCCTGGGTGACAGAGCGAAACTCTGTCTCAAAAACAAAACAAAACAAAACAAAACAAAACAAAACGCCAAGCACTGACTCCAATCTACCTGCCTTTCCAGAGACAAATGGCTCCTGGGCCTTACAGATAGTTGGATGTCGGGTTCCAGGAAGGCTTTGGATTCTGTGAGCATCCAGGACAGAGAAAAAGCACCAGATACCAGCGTGAGAGCTCTTGAGTGAAAAGCTGAAAGCTTGGCCCCATAGATCTCGTGGCCTCTGCCAGAGTAATCAGCTTTCACAAGGGCCTTTTATCTCCCTGGCTCCCATGAGTACAAGGAGAAAATGAATGGCTGAGCTTGATCTTCACTGTGTTTGAGCCTGAAAAGACTAGTAGGGACTGAGAACCGAAAATCTTCCTTCAACTGCCTCATCTCCATTCCATTAGCCTGGCTGCTTTTATACCATATTCCCATTGTGTTGGTGGGACAGGGGAGAGAAAAAATGCCTTCACTTCAACATGACTGCTGACACCTAGGGAAATCAAACAACTCAATCTGGACTTCAGTGAAATTATATTTAACAAAAACACATAAAGAAGCCCAGAAGCTGCTAAAAGATTAACAGTCAGGATTAATGGAATTCATGCAAACTGATACAGAATTACTAGAGGCAATGGATACCAATTTGATTTAGAAGTAAAAGCATTAAGAATCAGTCACCATCAAAATCTATTATAATCTTAACTCATTTTATGATATTTTTGCTTTAACTAAAACCTTGCCCTGCTTTGAAGTAATTGTTTCCTTTACAGCCTTTCTCAAGTGATGGCTGCATTCTTTTCCACTCCTCACACTATCTGCTGGTGTATTTCTTGTTTTTCATTGCCATTTACAGAACATTATCTGTCCTAGACCAGATTTTCTTCTGCTTCTTCAGAAGTCCCCAGTCTTGAATCATAGCATTATACTATACCATCCCAGACCCTTATTATTGCTAGTATCTACCAGCCCCTATTATCAATGTTCTCCACACCCTTATTCTCTAAACATTTTATCTCTGTGAGAACTGCTATTTTCTTCAAGTTTTTCTTTTACAAAATTTGGTTACTTTAGGATCCACAAAGATGACCCTTGAACATGCACTTCCTAGACTCCTCTCCTCTAATAATTGTGTTTTCCACCTTATCTCAGCCACTCATATTCAAGGTATTTATTCATTACCAATAGCAACAAACTGTTCCCTACTTTCAACTTTAAGCATTCCACTTCTTTTTATAATTTGCCCTAAGTCCATCATTTTTTGACCTCTTCAGACAATAATCCATTAATCCTACTGCTTTTTCATTATCCCTCGACATCCTCATAGCCTCAATTTCTTCCTTATTCAACTTAAATTCCATAGCCAATATTATCTCTCACCTTGAATCTCACTTCTCTCTGACTTTATAGTATTCCTCTAGCAATTCACTATTTAAAATTTATGCCCAAACTCAAATGCCTTTAAATATTATAAATATACAATTATTATTCTTAAGTGAGCCCTAAATGCTGACCAGCCTTCAAATTATTTTTCTATCCAGCCAATCCTTCATTCTCCTGAATGACTATTTCATAACGCCATCCAACATGCACACTCTCAGCTGAGAACACCTTGCTAGGTATTTCATTAAGATACTAGAAGCAATCAGAAAAGAACTTTCACATATTCCCACCACCATGTTTACTGACTACCCACACCTGAGGTTGTGTACTCTGACTTCTCCTCAACTTTGGGAGAACTGCCTAAGATTCTAGCAAAGGTCATCTGTTTTACTTGTGCACTCATCCCATCTTGCCTAGTTACTTGGATCCAACACTTCCCCCTTCTTCCTCTCCTCTATCTCTTATTTTGCCTTTGTTGGAATTATCCAGTTGGTATACAAACAATTACTGTTAATTCTACCTTAAAATAAAACAATCAATGAAAACAAAACCTCTAAATGCGATTTTATTCTCCAGTTAAGAGCTCATTTCTATGGTTACATTTTATAGAAAAAATATCTTGGGTATAGTTGCCATCTCCAATAATTTTCTACTTTCTTTATGAACTCACTGTATTAAAACTGCTGTTTTCAAGGTCATGTAATCATCAAATAGCTCAATCTTACAATAGATACTACTTTTTACTTCTTGCTGTAGACTGAATATTTGTATTCCCCTGACATTTACATATTGAAACTTAATCCTCAATATTATGGCATTTAGAGATGGGGCCTTTGAGAGTTGAATAGGTCATAAGGATGAAGCTCTCACTAATAATATTAGTTCCCTTATAAAAGAGTTCCCAGCGAGCGCCATTCCCTGCTTTCATCAAGTGAGGACACAACCAAAAGATGGCCATTGGCGAACCAGGAAATAGGCTCTCACCAGACACTGAATCTGTTGATACCTTAATCTTAGTCTTCTCAGCCTCCAAAACTGTGAGAAATAAATTTCTGTTGTTTATAAGACATTTCATGTATGGTGTTTATTGTAGCAGTACCAAGACAGAAATTGGTACCAATAAGTGGAGGTGTTCCTGTAACAAATACTTAAAACTGTGGAAGGGGCTTTGGAACTGGGTCATGGGTAGAGATTGGGAGAGTTTTAAGGTGCATGCTAGAAGAAGCCTACATTGCTGTGAATGGATTTTTAAAGGCTATTCCAGTGAAGACTAAGAAAAAAACTAGAAGAGTCATAGAGAAAGCTTGCATCTTCTTAGAGAGTATCTAGGTACTCATGAACAGAATATTGGTAGAAATACAGACAATAAAGGCCATTCTGATGAGGCCTCAGTCCGAAATTAGGAACATGCTGTTGGGGACTGGAGGAAAAGCTACCCTTGTTATAAAGTGGCAAAGACCTTAGCTAAACTGTGCTTGTGTTCTAGTGTGTTTTGAGAAAGACAGAACTGTGAGTGATAAAATTGTATACTGAGCTGAAACGATTTCTAAGGGAAGTGTTAGTGGAGTGGCTTAATTCTTCCTGACTGCTTATAGTAGAATGCAAGAAGAAAATGCAATTAGTTCCTTTATAAAATGGGCTTAGGCTGGACGCAGTGGCTCACACCTGTAATCCCAACATTTCCGGAGGCCAAGGTGGGTGGATCACCTGAGGTCAGAAGTTTGAGACCAGCCTGGCCAACATGGTGAAACCCTGTCTCTACTAAAAATACAAAATTGGCCGGGCGTGGTGGTGCATGACTGTAATCCCAGCTGCCCTGAAGGCTGAGGCAGGAGAATCACTTAGAACCTGGGAGGCAGAGTTTGCAGTGAGCCAAGATAGTGCCACTGCACTCCAGCCTGAGCGACAGAGGGAGACTGTCTAAAAAAAAAAAAAAAAAAAAAAAAGAGGCTGTGAACCTATGAAATCAAAACAAGTTTAAGTGTTTCCAAAATACCATGGTGAGTCAGTCATAGGACAGACAGTTCCCTTCCAAAAGGGAGAAATGGGAAAGAAGAAATGATGACAGGTTCTGAGCATGTCCAAAATCCAATAGGGAAAATTCCAATAAACCTTTTTGCCTAGCTGCTGTCCTCCAGGCCCACTGGGGTGGGAGTCCCGCATTTTGGACCTACTGAGGTGGTGATCCTGCCTCTGCAGCCTTGCTGGGTAGGAGTTGAGCTCAGAAGGCTCTTGGAGGGTTTGTCCTAAGGGCTCTGGGCAGCCCTGCCACCACAGTGGCTCTCTGCCTGGGCCCATAGCTCTCCAAGGTCCTGAAGGTGCTGGTGGCCTCTCTGAAATAGTGATTTCCTTGGAGCCCTTACACTCTGGGCCTGTGGTGGGAGTGGCAGCCCTGATGACCTCTGAATTATGTGAGAGGGAAGAATCATTTTTCTCTTGTCTTGAAGTACCTTGCTTCTGTGGAGATGGCTGATTAGGTCTGTGGTATGTATTCATACTAATGGTCTTATCGAATGGCTACTTGGCTACACATTTAATGTTCTCTTCCAAACAAACTTTCTCATTTTGGGGAAGATAATTGGCTGAGAATTTTCTAAACCTTAAAGTTATGGTTTCTTTTTGCTTAACAATTTTATCTTCAGATAATTTCTTTATGATAAAAACCCACAAAAACTGGATGTAGACAGAAAACTGGATATAAATAGAATATGCCTCAAAATAATAAAAGCCATATATGACAGAGGTCCACAGCTAGTATTTTACTGAATGGCAAAAAACTGAAAGCCTCTCCTCTAAGATCTGGAACATGACTAGGATGCCCACTCTCACCACCGTTATACAACATACTACTGCAAGTCCTAGCTAGAGCAATCAGACAAGAGATGGAAATTAAGGACATCTAAATTGGAAAGAAAGAAGTCACATTATGCTTGTTTGTGGATGATATGCTCTTATATATGGAAAAACGTAGACTCACCAAAAACCTATTAGAACTGGTAAACAAATTCAGTAATATTTCGTGGTACAAAATCAGCATACAAAAATCAGTAGCATTTCTATATACCAACAGTGAACAATCTGAGAAAGAAATTTAAAAGAATAATTCCACTTACAACAGCCATAAAAATGTTAAACACCTAGGAATTAACCAAATAAGTCAAAGATATCTACAGTGAAAATGTGTCTGGAATTGGTGGGTTCTTGGTCTCACTGACTTCAAGAATGAAGCCGTGGACCCTCGCAGTGAGTGTTACAGCTCTTAAGGTGGCGTGTCTGGAGTCTGTCCCTTCTGATGTTCAGATGTGTTCGGAGTTTCTTCCTTCTGGTGGGTTCGTGGTCTCGCTGGCTCAGGAGTGAAGCTGCAGACCTTTGCGGTGAGTGTTACAGCTCTTAAGGTAGCGCGTCTGGAGTTGTTCGTTCCTCCCCGTGGGCTCGTGGTCTCGCTGGGCTCAGGAATGAAGCTGCAGATCTTCATGGTGAGTGTTACAGCTCATAAAAGCAGCGTGGACCCAAACAGTGAGCAGTAGCAAGATTTATTGCGAAGAGCGAAAGAACAAAGCTTCCACAGTGTGGAAGGGGACCCGAGAGGGTTGCCAATGCTGGCTCGGGCAGCCTGCTTTTATTCTCTTATCTGGCCCCACCCGCATCCTGCTGATTGGTAGAGCGAGTGGCCTGTTTTGTCAGGGCGCTGATTGGTGCATTTACAATCCCTGAGCTAGATACAAAGGTTCTCCACGTCCCCATCAGATTAGATACAGAGTTTCCACACACGGGTTCTCCAAGGCCCCACCAGAGCAGCTAGATACAGAGTGTCGATTGGTGCACTCACAAACCTTGAGCTAAACATAGGGTGCTGATTGGTGTGTTTACAAACCTTGAGCTAGATACAGAGTGCCGATTAGTGTATTTACAATCCTTGAGCTAGAAATAAAGGTTCTCCACGTCCTCACCAGAGCAGCTAGATAGTGTCGATTGGTGCACTCACAAACCTTGAGCTAAACACAGGGTGCTGATTGGTGTATTTACAATCCCTGAGCTAGATATAAAGACTCTCCACGTGCCCACCAGACTCAGGAGCCCAGCTGGCTTCACCTAGTGGATCCCGCACCGGGGCTGCAGGTGGAGCTGCCTGCCAGTCCTGCGCCGTGCGCTCGCATTCCTCAGCCCTTGGGTGGTCGATGGGACTGGGAGCCGTGGAGCAGGGGGTGGTGCTCGTCGGGGAGGCTCGGGCCGCACAGGAGCCCATGGAGTGGGTGGGAGGCTCAGGCATGGGGGGCTGCAGGTCCCGAGCCCTGCCCCGTGGGAAGGCAGCCAAGGCCTGAAGAGAAATCGAGCGCAGCGCCGGTGGGCCAGCACTGCTGGGGGACTCAGTACACCCTCCGCAGCCACTGGCCAGGGTGCTAAGTCCCCCACTGCCCGGGGCCAGCAGGGCTGGCTGGCTGCTCCGAGTGCGGGGCCCACCAAGCCCATGCCCACCCGGAACTCCAGCTGGCCCACAAGTGCCGCACACAGCCCCGGTTCCCGCTCGTGCCTCTCCCTCCACACCTCCCTGCAAGCTGAGGGAGTGGGCTCCGGCCTTGGCCACCCCAGAAAGGGGCTCCCACAGTGCAGTGGGGGACTGAAGGGCTCCTCAAATGCCACCAAAGTGGGAGCCTAGGCAGGGGAGGTGCCGAGAGCAAGCAAGGGCTCTGAGGACTGCCAGCACGCTGTCACCTCTCAAAAACTATAAAATACTGATGAAAGAAATTGAAGAGGACAACAAAAAATGGAAATATATTCCTTGTTAATAGACTGGCAGAATCCATATTGTTAAAATATCAGTACTACCCAAAGCAATCTAGAAATTCAGTGCAATTCCTATCAAAGTACCAATGACATCCTTCACATAAATGGGAAAAAAGTCTTAAAATTTATATGGAACCACAAAAGACTCAAAACAGCCAGTTATTTCAGCAAAAAGAACAACAGTGGGCGAGAGTTAGCGGCCTCCGGTGCGGGATGCCCGCGGAGCCTGGTGGAGCTGGCCTGCGGCTCCTGGGACCCGCTCTCCAGGCCACAGACGTGGCCCAGGGGCCCAGCCCACTAGGCAGGCCTCGCCCAGACACGATTGCCCTGCCCAAGAGGGGAAAGCGACTCAAGTCGCTCCTCTGCTCCAGCCGAGTGACTGTGGAGGATTACGCCAACTCGGATCTGGCGGTCGTGAGGTCTGGATGAGTCAAGAAAGCCGCAGCCAATGCTGTTCAGCAGGAAGTAAAATCTCTTTGAAGCTTGGAAGCCTCTCAGGTTCCTGCAGAGGAAGCTCATTCTGGGGCTCGTGAGCCCTGTGACATCATCGACAGCAGTGATGAGACTGATGCCCAGGAGGAAAGCATCCATGAGAGAACTGTCTCCAGAAAAATGAAAAGCAAGAGGCACAAAGAAGAACTGGACGGGGCTGGAGGAAAAGAGTATCCCATGGATATTTGGCTATTGCTGACCTCCTATATCCGTTGTGAGGACATTGTGGTCTGATCTCTGTACCATATGTATGAGCCATTTGCTGCTGGAATCTCCAAGAATCCAGCCATTCCAGAAAGCACCCCCAGCACATTAAAGAATTCCAAATGCTTACTTTTCTGGTGCAGAAAGATTATTGGGAACAGACAGGAACCAATGCGGGAATTCAACTTCAAGTTCAAAAAACAGTCCGCTAGGTTAAAGAGCAAGTGTACAGGAGGATTGCAGCTTCCCATCCAGTACGAAGATGTTCATACCAATGGAGACCAGGACTGCTGCCTACTGCAGGTCACCACCCTCAATTTCATCTTTATTCCGATTGTCATGGGAATGATATTTACTCTGTTTACTGTCAATGCGAGCACGGACACGCGGCATCATCGAGTGAGACTGGTGTTCCAAGATTCCCCTGTTCATGGTGGTCAGAAACTGTGCAGTGAACAGGGTGTGCAAGTCATGCTGGACCCAGTGCACAGCGTTTGGCTTTTTGACTGGTGGCTTCCTCAGTACCCATTCTCCCTGACAGCATAGTTACTGCTTCCCATCCCTTGGGGCCAGCCCCAAGTCTAAGTCCATTAGTAATCAGATTCCAGTTTGGACAGGGTGGGTGGATTGTGTATCTGGTTAGTAATGTACATGCTCTTCAGGTTCTAGGGCTCCTGTTAGGGGAGGAAGAAATGTTGAATCAAGAGGAAAAAGAACTACTATGATTTATAAACATATTTTAATGTAAAAATTTGCATTTAAAAGGAGTGGCCCTGTTTTCTGTGTTAAAACCCCATTTGGTGCTATTGAGTTTGTTCTTTATTCTTTTATCCCAGTGAAAATTGTTGATCTTGCTCTAGGGAAAAATTAAACTCTTTGAATCTCCAAACAAGAGAGAAAAAAAAAAAAAAAAACAACAACAGTGGAGGAATCACATTACCTGACTTCAAAGAGCTACAGTAACCAAAACAGCACGGTACCGGCATAAGAACAGACACAGACCAATGGAACAGAATAGAGAACCCAGAAACAAATGTAAACACCTACAGTGAACTCATTTTTGACAAAAGTGCCAAGATCACACACTGGGGAAAAGACAATTTCTTCAATAAATGGTGCTAGGAAAAGTGGCTATCTGTATGTAGAAGAATAAAACTAGACCCCTATCTCCTGCCATATATAAAAATCAAATTAAAATCAATTAAAGACCTTAATACATCAAACTATGCAACTCCTACTAGAAAACATTAGGGGAACTATCCAGGACATTGGTCTGGGCAAATATTTCTTGAGTAATACCCCACAAGTACAGATAACCAAAATAAAATGGAAAAAATGGGATCACATCAAGTTAAAAAGCTTCTGTACAACAAAGGAAACAAATGACAAAGTGAAGAGACAACACATAGAATGGGAGAAAATATTTGCAAACTACATATATGACAAGGGATTAATGACCAGAACATGTAACAAGCTCTAATAACTCTATAGGAAAAAATCTAATAAACTGATTAAAAATGGGCAAAATTTTTATTTGAATAAGCATTTTTCAAAAAAAGACATACAAATCACCAACAGGCATGTGAAAAGGTGCTCAACATTACTGATCATCAGAGAAATGTAAATGAAAACTACAATGAGATATTATCTCACCCCAGTTAAAATGGCTTTTACTCAAAAGACAAGCATTAACAAATGCTGGAGAGGATGTGGAGAAAAAGGAACCCCCATACACTATTGGTGGGAATGTAAATTATACAACCACTATGGAGAACAGTTTGGAGGTTCCTCAGAAAAATTAACAATAGCGCTATCATATGATCCAGCAATTCTACTTTTAGGTATATACCTAAAAGAAATCAGTATATCTAAGAGATATATTTGCTCCCATGTTTGTTACAGCACTGTTCATAATAGCTAAGATTTGGAAGCAACCTAAGGGTCCATCAATAGAAAAATGAATAAAGAAAATGTGGTACTTATCACAATGGAGTACTATTCAGCCATAAAAAAGAATGAGATCCTGTTATTTGCAAAAACGTGGATGGAACTGGAGGTCATTATGTTAAATGAAATAAGCCAGGTGATATGGTTTGGCTCTGTATCCCCACCCAAATCTTATGTCAAATTGTAATCCTCATGTGTTGAGAGATGGACCTGGTGGGAGGTGACTGGATCATGGCAGCAGATTTCCTCCATGCTGTTCTTGTGATAGTGAGTGAGTTCTCATGAAATTTGATAGTTTAAAAGAGTAGGACTTTCCCCCTCATTCTCTTTCTCTCCTGCCGCCATGTAAGACGTTCCTTTCTTCCCCTTCATTTTCCACCATGATTGTAAGTTTCCAGTCACCTGCCCAGCCATGTGGAACTGTGAGTCAATTAAACCTCTTTTCTTTATAAACTACCCAGTCTCAGGTAGTTCTTTACAGTAGTGTGAAAATGGACTAATATCCCAGACACAGTAAGACAAACTTCACATTCTCACTTATTTGTAAGATCTACAAATCAAAACAGTGAACTAATAGAGACAGAGAGCAGAAAGATGGTTATCAGAGGCTGGCAAGTGTAGTGAGAGGGTGAAGGGTATGTAGGGATGGCTAATGAGTAACAAAACAAATAGAAAGAATGTAGAAGACTGGTCATTTACTTTTACTTGGTTACTGAAGACATTGGTCTATTTTCCAGAACTCCTCTCAAGTTATTTTAGCCAGTTTCAGTTTTTTTTTTTTTTTTTTAATACATCTGTGGGTGGTGTGGACTGGGAGCATCCTGGTCTTCCATGTTGCTGATGTCACTTTTCTCAAGTCAACAGTTTTAAATACAATCCATAAACTGATGACTCTCAACTTCTAATCTCCAAGGAAGTCTTATCCCTGAATCTCATAGTTGTATCCAATTGCCCTTCTGTCATCTCATTTTAAACTTAACTCATAATCTGCTTCATTGTCTCAAATTTATTCCTGCCACCTTCTTTCCCATCTTACTAAATGGTAACTTCATTGTTTTATTTGCTCAAACAAAAACTTTGGAATCCTCATGAGTTTTCATGCAAAGCCTCAGCAAGTCCATTAGCTGTTTATTAGAAATATATCCTTTACCTGACTTTTTTTTTTTAAATCATGTTCATTGCCACAACTCAGATGCAAAATTATTATCATCTCCAATTTGGATCATCACAATAGTCTCTTGTCTTTTATTATCTTTCTCCGTTCCTTGCCACTCTCAGAAGAGTCAGAGTAATACTTGTAAAATGTAAATCATATCAAGTTACTTTAGCGTTATTGAGAATCTAGAGCAGTACAGTCCAACCAAACTTTCTGTGCTGATGTACACTGTGACAGTTTGAAATGTGGAAAGTGTGACTGAGGAACAAAATGTTATTGTATTTAAGTTTAAATAATTTTATTTTAATGTTACATAGTCATATGTAGCTACTTGCTATCTTATTGAATAGCACCACTACAGATGGACAAATATCAAATCCCAGGGACTGGTAAATATGGAAAATGTTGAAATGGTACACAGAGCTGAACTGGAGCCATCAATGCATATACTTCACTGAACAGACAAACCAGAAGTGTTTTAAACATGCCTCTCTACAAACTTTTATCAGACACTCAATCTTCTAGCACCTTGATCTTGGACTTCCCAGCCTTCATAACTGTGAGAAATAAATTTCTGCTGTTTATAAGTTTTCTGGTTTATGATGTTTTGTTATAACAGTCAGAATGTAATAAAACAAGGGGTAAATTCTGCCCGCATTATTCCACCTTGGCCAGAAGCAGGCATCCTCAGTTTCTTTAAATTGATGCTTTGTAAATTTCTATCTAGTTTTTAAGATGTTTATAGAAAAGAGGATTAGTAAAAATCACTTTAGGCTTCCGCAACTACTTGTATTCTATTCCTGATATTGTATTTTCTTTTCTGACTAGCTATCATTATGTGCTATTAATTGTAACTGGCAAATTATTTTTATTAATAACTTTAAGTCTAAAATGTTGGTATATTCCTCTAGAATGACATATTATTTTCTGATAAACTCTTATTGATACCATCATGTTTCTTACCAGTTTAATCTGGGTGAGTGATGAGGGCCAGCTTTCTGGTCCACAGGTGCCATCTAGCTGTGTCCACACATGGTGGAAGGGGCAAGGCAGCTCTCTGGGGCCTCTTTTTAAAAAGCATTAGTCCTGAGGGCTCTTTTCTCATAACCTAATCACCTCTCAAAGGCCCCACCTCCCAATGCCATCACATTCATATGTTAATTATGTTTCAACGTATAAATTTTGGGAGACACAAACGTTCGGACAATAGGACCCTCTCACCTTAAACAAGAAAATAAGCAGACAAAAATATAAAATAATGGTTTCAGACACTGGATCTCAGGCACTGTATTAGTTTGCTGGGGCTGCCATAACAAGGTAACACAAACTGGGTGCCTTAAACATCATAAATATATTATCTCACAGGTGCAGATATTAGAAGTCTGAAATCTAGATCTTGGCAGTGTTGATGTCACATGTGAGGGAAGTATTTGTTCTAAATCTCTCTCCTTGGCTTTTAGATGGTTGTCTTCTTCTCCTATGTCTATTCAAATACCCTTTCTTCTATGTGTGTCTGTATATCCAAATTTTTCTTTTTTATAAGGACATCAGTCATAATGCATTAGAGCCTGCCCTCATTGTATCTTGATTAACTTTGTAAAGATTGATCTCTAAATAAGATTACATTCTGGGGTACTGGGAGTTAGAACAACAAACTTTTTTGAGCAGACAAAATCTATCCTGTAACAGGCACTGAATAACTATGATTCCCTGAGAGACAAGAAACAAATGCAATAATCCCTATCATTTTCCTCTTTTACTGCTTGAGTTCCCAAGCTACGGTGCAGGCAAGGGGAACCCAAGTGTAGGATGGCAGACTACCAGATTTGAGGATATGGAATTTAGTCTCAGGAGACTAAGGGGACTATAACTCATGTGGGAGAGTGTCAGAAAGGAGACAGCTGCACAGAAAGATAAAGCCAGAGATTCCAGAGGGTTCCCATCAAGTATTCATCTGAGGATATATGTACAAGAAAACTACCTGTATTCGAGGGTTGCCAAGACCACCCTCAGGTTTAATCATTGCTACAAGAACTCACAGAACTCAGAAAAGCTGTTATGCTCATAGTTAAAATTTGTCACAGTGAAAGGATATAGAGTAAAATCAACCATGGGAAAAAGCACCTAGGAGAGCGTCCAGAAGAAACCGGGTACACATTTGTCTTCCCTCATTGGAGTCATGTGGACAGCACTTCATTTTACCACCAACGGTGTGTGCAACACACATAAAGTATTGCCAGACAGTGAAGCTCACTGAGCCTTGATGTCTTGTTTTTTTTTATCCAAGGCTGGTCATATAAGCTTATCTGGTCTTTGTTTCCAGCTCCTCAAGAGGCCAAGCTGATACCAGTTGGCCCAATGCCCCACCATAAGTCACATCATCAGCATAAACTTTCTGGTGCAGTCCTATATCCTCAGGTAATAAACATGTACCAGGCAAAGAAATACAACAGGAAGCTATCTCAAGGATTTAGAGGTTACCTTCCAGGAGCCAGGCAAGGGACAATTCTTTCTTTGGAATGTGCAGTGTGTGTACAGCCCAGCCCTGCTGAATTAATCCTTTATTGCATAGTACTCAACATTAGTAAAAGAACAATACAAAAGGATTAGAAAAAACAGCACCTGGGACACACACAGGGCTGGTAGTAAAGACTGGTACCACAAATAAGACTTGTAAATGTTATAATTCATTGGGGCATTGATTAGGGTATTAATTAGCCTCACACCAAATATTGCTTTGGTCTTCCCTGACAGATTTTGAGAGCAAGAACCAAAATAATCAAATTGGTTTCAAGAAACCTAACTATATTCCAGAACAACCATCAGGAATATTTTAATATTATAAAAATATCCAGCACTCTGGTACTGGTACAAAAACAGACACATAGGCCAATGGAACAGAATAGAGAACGCAGAAATAAAGTTACACACCTACAACCAACTGATCTTTGACAAAGTCAGCAAAAATAAGCAATGGGAAAAGGACTCTGTATTCAATAAATGATGCTAGGACAACTAACTAGCCATACGCAGAGGAATGAAACTGGACCCCTACCTATCACCATATACAAAAGTTAACTCAAGATGGATTAAAGATGTAAATGTGAGACCTCAAACTATACAAATATTAGAAGAAAATCTAGGAAATACCTTTCTTAATATTGGCCTTGGCAAACAATTTATGGCTAAGTTCTAAAAAGCAATAGCAACAAAAACAAAAATTGACAAATGGAAACTAATTACACTAAATAAGTTCTTCACAGCAAGAGAAACTATCAAGGGTATAAACAGATAATTTACAGAATGGGAGAAAATATTCATAAACTGTGCATTTGGCGAAGGCCTTATATCTAGAATCTATAAGGAACTGAAATCAACAAGCAAAAAAACAACCTCATTAAAAAGTGGGCAAAGGATATGAACAATCACTTCTCAAAAGAAGACATACAAGTGGCCAAGAAACATGAAAAAATGCCCATCATCACCAATCACCAGAAAAATGCAAATCAAAACCATCTCACACCAAGTCAGAATGGCTTTTGTTAGAAAGCTTAAAGACAGCAGTGGCTAACAAGGCTGTTTAGAAAGGGGAATACTTATTCACCACTGGTGGAATGTAAATTACTCCAGCCACTGTGGAGAACAGTTTGGAGATTTCTCAGAGAACTAAGAGTGGAACTACTGTTTGATCTAGCAACTATATTATGGGTTTATACCCTAAGGAAAGTAAGTCATTCTACTAAAAGGACACATGAACCTGTATGTTCATCGCAGTGCTATTTGCAATAGCAAAGACATGGAATCACCCCAGGTGCACATCAACTCTGGATTGGATAAAGAAAATGTGGTACCTCTATGCCAGGGAATACTATACAGCCATAAAAAGAATAAAATCTGCAGCAACATGGATGCAGCTGGAGGCCATTATCCTAAACTAATTCAGAAACTTGAAGCCTAATATTGCATGTTCTTACTTATAAGTGTGAGGTAAATACTGAGTACCCATGGACGTAAAGATAAGAATAATAGACACTATGAAATACAAGTGGGGGAAAGAAAGGAGGGAGCAAGGGCTGTAAAACTACCTATTGGGCACTCTGTGAACTACCAGGGAGATGGATTCATTCGTATTTCCAACCTCAGCATCATGCAATATACCTCTGTAATAAACCTCTACATGTACCCACTAAACCTGTAATAAAAGTTGAAAATATATATCTAGCAATGCTATGGTCTGAATGTTTGTATCTCCCCTCAAATTCATGCATCTATACCTAATCTCCAATGTGATAAAATTAGGAGGCATGGACATTGGGAGGTGACTAGGTCAGGAGGGTGGAGCCCTCATGAATGGAATTAGTGCTCTTATAAGGGGATAAAGAGACCACTGCACAACAACAATGCAATGGCTATCTGTGAATCAGGAAGCAGGCCCTCACCAGACTTGAAGTCTGCTTTTCCCTTGATCTTGGAGCTCTCAGCCTCTACAACTATTAAATTTCTCTTCTTCAAGCTACTCAATTTTGGCATTTTGTTACAGCAGCCAGAATGAACTAAGACAAGCACCAAACAAGGTTAAAATCACAGTATCTGGTATCCAAAAAAGTTTACCAGGAGTGCAAAGAAGCAGGCAAATGAAACCCATAATAAGAGGAAGAGTCAACCAATCAAATGTTACCCATAACTGAAACAGATGTTAAAATTAGAAGGGCATAAAACAGTTACTATAAGTATAGTTCATATGTTTAAGAAGTCATGTAAGGACATAGGACATATAAAAATGGCCTAGATTTTTTTCTAGATAAAAATAAAAATGTCTGAGATGAAAACTGCACTGGGTGTCATTAATGGCAGATTGGACATGGCAGAAGTAAAGATTAGTGAGTCACAAGATAGAGGAATACAGACTGTTCAAAATGAATCACAAAGAAAAAACTTTTTAAATTAAACGCATGATTAAGATGTGGGTTAACTTCGGCTAGGCGCTGTGGCTCATACCTGTAATCCCAGCACTTTGGGAGGCTGAGGTGGACGGATCACGAGGTCAGGAGATTGAGACTATCCTGGCTAACACGGTGAAACCCGGTCTCTAATAAAAAATACGAAAAATTAGCCGGGCATGGTGGCGGGCCCCTGCAGTCCCAACTACTCCAGAGGCTGAGGCAGGAGAATGGTGTGAACCCAGGAGGCGGAGCTTGCAGTGAGCCGAAATCGCGCCACTGGACTCCGGCCTGGGCTACGGAGCAAGACCCCGTCTCAAAAAAAAAAAAAAAAAAAAAAAAAAAAAAAGATGTGGGTTAATTTCAAGTAGTATAATATATGTGTGATTAGACCCCACAATGAAGATAACAGGAGAGTCAGAAACAGAATTGAAGAAATAATGGTTATTTTTTTCCTAAATTTTCTGAAAAATAAAATATCGACATACAAGAAAATTAATGAACTGCAAGCACAAGAAACGTTAAGAAACTATACCAGGAACATCATAATCAATTTTCTACAAACTAGTGAACATAAAATATCTTCAAAAAAGTCAGAGAAGAAAACACATGGAGAACAAAAATTTTTATAAACAGGGAACAAAAATAATGATGGCAGCAAATCTGTTGTGAGAAACAAGTGAAAGACTGTGGAAGAATATCGTTAAAGATTGGAAAGGGGAGGGGCGCAGTGGTTCACCCCTGTAATGCCAGTACTTTGGGAGGCCGAGGCGGGCGGATCACAAGGTCAGGAGATCGAGACCATCCTGGCTAACAAGGTGAAACCCCGTCTCTACTAAAAGTACAAAAAAATTAGCCGGAGGTGGTGGCAGGCCCATGTAGTCCCAGCTACTCGGGAGGCTGAGGCAGAAGAATGGCCTGAACCCGGGAGACAGAGCTTGCAGTGAGCCGAGATGGCACCGCTGCACTCCAGCCTGGGCGACAGAGCGAGACTCCATCTCAAAAAATAAATAAATAACTAATAAAAGATTAGGAAGGGAAAATATGACCTGTGAACCCAGCATTCTTTTTGTTTTGTTTTGTTTTGTTTTGTTTTGAGACGGAGTCTCGCTCTGTCGCCCAGGCTGGAGTGCAGTGGCACCATCTCGGCTCACTGCAACCTCTGCCTCCGGGGTTCACGCCATTCTTCTGCCTCAGCCTCCCGAGTAGGTGGGACTACAGGCGCCCACCACCACGCCCAGCTAATTTTTTTGTATTTTCAGTAGAGACTCAGTTTCACCGTGTTAGCCAGGATGGTCTCGATCTCCTGACCTCGGTATCCGCCCGCCTGGGCCTCCCAAAGTGCTCAGATTACAGGCATGAGCCACCGCGCCCGGCCTGAACCCAGTATTCTTAATCATACTTATGGGTTGAATTGCATCCCCCAAAACACATATGCTTGAGCCCTAACCCCCGGTATCTGTAAATGTGACCTCATTTGCCTACAGGATTATTGTATATGTAAGTAGCTAAGAAGAGAACATGCTGGGGTAGGATGGGTCCTACTCCAGGGTTTCTGGTGTTCTAATAGGAAAGGAAGATGCCATGTGAAGACATGCACAGAGGGTGGACAACAGAGAGACACAGGGAGAATGCCAGGTACAACAAAAGCAAAGGTTGGCATTGTGCAAGCAAAGGAATGCCAAAAAATGGCCAGCCTACCAGCACAAGCTATAGAGAGGTAAGGAAAGGTTATCCTTCAGGTTTCAGAGGAAGCATGTCTCTGCCAACACCTTAATTCCACCCTCTAGCCTTCGGAATTGTGAGATAATAAATTTCTGGTAGAATTTCTTAATTCTCAGGGAACCTCAATGTTTTCTCTTAAGGCCTTCAATTGATTGGATAAAGCTCACCCACTGTATTAATCTGTTTTGTGTTGCTATAAAGGTATACCTGAGGCTGGGCAACTTATAAGGAAAGAAAGTTTATTTGGCTCATGGTTCTGCAGGTCGTACAAGAAGCATGGTGCCAGCATCTGCTTCTGGTGAGGCCTTAGGAAACTTTTACTCATGGTGGTGGAAAGCTAAGGGGGAGCAGGTGTGTCATGGTGAGAGAGGGAGCAAGAGGGAGAGGAGGAGGTGCTGGGCTCTTTTTAACACTCAGATCTCATGGTAACTGATGGGGAGGGCACCAAGCCATTCACAAGGGATCTGTCCCCATGACTCAAACACCTCCCACCAGGCCCTACTTCCAACACTGGGCATCAAATTTCAGCATGAGATTTGGAGGGGACAAATATACAAATGATGTCACCCATATTATGGAGAGTAATAGGCTTTACTAAAAGCCTACTGATTTCAATGTTTATCATTGCTAAACAGTGCCTTCACAACATCAATACTGCTGGCTGACTAAACTGGGTATCATCGCTTACCCAGAATGACACATAAAATTAACCATTTCAATTCACCCCTTGCAAATATGTATTCATACAAATTTCCTTAAGCCATACTTAATCTCCAAATAAAGACAATAACAAGGTCATAGTTCTGCCTAACATGACACAACTATGCTGTGTGTAAACAAAAACTAACCCTTTCCCCAGAAGAGGATGATAGGTGCTTAATGACATTCACTCTTCTTGATATCCTATAAATTAAATGCTATGATGTAAAGTTAACAATATTAAATACTGTGATGTGAAATGGATACATATTATGTTAGATGATAAGATGATAAAAGAGGGAAGAAAGAAAGATATATATATATGGAGAGAGAGAGAGAAGAGAGGGAGGGAGACATATAGATATATGTGATATATATCACAAACATATATATAACATTACTATATACAATACACATAATATATATCACAAACATATATAATACAATAAAAAATACTCAGTCATTATTCACATTTCTGTAAGTGGTCATATGATTATACCTGGTATTTATAGCCACCTTCTTCCACTACTCAATCTTTATTTCTGGTGCCCTCAGCCAGACCATTGGTTGATTAGAGTTCTTTGCCTAGTGGAATAACCCAGACATTTATTCCAGAAGGTAGTGGGCCTAGTCCTGTCTGAATTAGGTTGTCATAGTTATCCATTGAATTTATCACAGTGCGTGTTAGTAGTAGAAGTCACCCAAAGGGATCTCCTGTTTTGCAGAATACTCTTTCTTACCTCATTTGTGGAGTAACAGTCTAATTTCCCCTTGGTAATTAGTGTCAATCATCACAGTCAGTATGTTAATTGCCTTCCTTACCCATTGATTCTGAAACATGAGGATCTCAAACTATCTGGGTGGCAGTCTAAATGTTCACACTAATAGAGTCATTGTTGTGTTTCCCGGCAGAAACACTGCGTAAAGGGAATGTAAATCCACATCCACAGTAAGTGTGTGTTCCAGTTAGAACAAAAAACTGACGCTGCCATGATGGGAGTGGGGCCATGTAATCAAACTTCCTCTAGGAAGCTAGATGTTTAACCAAGATATGGTGCCATATCAGGGACTCAGTGTTGGTTCCTACTGCTGGCCGATTTGGCAGTTAGTTGTTGCTGCAGTCATGCTGGCCTTGGTGAGTGAAAGTCCATGTTTCTGAGCCCATGCATAGTCTTCATTCCTGCCACTGTGGTTATTTGGTTCATGAGACCAGTGGGCAATGACAGGAATGGCTGGGGAAAGGGGCCAGCTAGAATCATAGAACAGATCACACTGTCCACTTAATTGTTGTAATTCTCCTCTTCTAAGGTCACTGTTTGATGAGCATTCACATGAGACACAAATATATTCGTGCTCTTTACCCACTCAGAAATGTCTATCCACATATCTCTTCCACAGACCTTGTAACCAGTTTTCAAATTGTATTTCTTTCAAAGTACCTGACCAACCAGCCAAACCACTTGCCATAGCCTGTGACTCAGTCTGGCCATTTCTCCTTCCAAGTACAATGAATAGCCAGGTTTACTTCTTGACCATGGCTACTGGGAGGATTTGTGTTCACCACTGTCCTTTAGGAATGTTCCAGAATGGGACTGTAGTGCTATGACTGCCTATTACAAAGAACCCCCTAGGGCCAGGTAGATGTTTTCTCCTTCTCTGCCAACCAATCACAGACAAGTCTCCATGAGGCTGTAGAGGCAGGATGAGAGAGAGAAGATAATATAGCCAAAATGGAGCCCATGGGCATTTGGGCCACTTACTCATATAAATTACTTGCATTTTCAGAGTCTGCTCAGACCCAGTTTTGTACAAAACATTTCCATTTGATGACGGAGTTCTGCTGTGCACACCCAACTCTGTGGCCTGGTGGGTCAGACAACACTGAGTTTATAATGGACACCTTAGATTGCACGGTAAGTTGATACCCCATGGTTAAATGTTTAGTCTCTACTAAGACCCAGTAGCAAGCCAAAAGCTGCTTCTTTAAGGACAGTAATTATCCACAGAGGATGGTAGGACTTGACTCCAGAATCCTACGGGTCTGTGTTATAATTTACTTTCAGTAGCCTGCCAAAGGCTGAAAAAGCATCCTTATCTGCCACAGCCACTTCAATACCACTGACTCGGTTGGATCACCTGGCTCGAGTAGCAGAGCAGCTTGCACAGCAGCCTGGAACTGTTGCTGAACCTTTTCTTCTTCTGGGCCCCACTCAAAACTAGCAGCTTTTAAGTTCACCTCATTAAATGTGCCAGAGTGGCACAATCAAATGAAGAATACGTTGCTTCCAAATTACAAAGAGGCCAATTAGACATTGTGCCTTTCCCTTTGATTGTAGGAGGGGCCAGATGCAATAAGTTATTATTCATCTTAGAAGAATTATCTTGACATGCCCCCAATACAACTGGAACCCAAGTTTACTGAGGCCAAAAGCCCCTGAGTTTTTTTTTTAATTTGTTTCCAACCGTTTGGCACACAAATGTGTTACCAATAAGTATAGATTAGTTGCTACTTTTTGCGAACTAGGACCAATCAGCATAATGTTATCAATGATTAACAGACCAACATAAAATCTTGTAGAACATCAAGGTCCCTATAAATTATTTATGACATAAAGCTGGAGAGTTGTTGTACCTTGAGGTAGGACAGAGAAAGTGTATTGCAAACATTTTCTGGTAGTCTTTAATCTTAGATATGAAGGAGAAAAAGGCATTTTCCAGACAAATGGCTGCATGTCATAAACCAGGGTATATTTTAATCTATTCAAACAATGAAACCACAACCGGTATAGCAGCTGCAAGCGGAGTTACCAGCTTGTTAATGTTAAGATAACCCACTGTTATTCTCAAAGATACATGTTTCCAGCACAGGCCAAGTAAGTAAGTTGAATGGGGATGTGGTGGGTCTCACCATTTCTACACCTTTTTTTTTTTTTTTTTTTTTTGAGACGGAGTCTTGCTCTGTCGCAGTGCAGTGGCGCGATCTCGGCTCACTGCAAGCTCCACCTCCTGGGTTCAGGCCATTCTCCTGCCTCAGCCTTCCGAGTAGCTGGGACTACAGGCACCTGCCACTACACCCGGCTAATTTTTTTAACTTTCAGTAGAGACGGGGTTTCACTGTGTTAGCCAGGATGGTCTCGATCTCCTGACCTTGTGATCCGCCTGCCTCGGCCTCTCAAAGTGCTGGGATTACAGGCGTGAGCCACCGCACCCAGCCCCATGAAAGACTGTTTTTAAAATCTGTTTTAGGTTTACAGAAAAATTAAGAGAAAGGTACAAAGATTTTCCACATATCTCCTACCCACCTATACATGATTAGCCTCCTTCATTATCAACCTTTGCTACAAGAGTGGTGCATTTGTTACAATTGATAAGCCTACATCGATACATCATTATTACCCAAAGTCCATAGTTTACACTAAGGTTCAATCTTGTATTATACATTCTATGGGTTTGGACAAATGTATGATAACATGTATCCATCACTACACAGTATTTTCAATGTCCTAAAAATCTTCTGTGCTCTGCCTATTCATCCAATTACTGGTATTTTCACTGTCCTCATAGTTTTACCTTTTAGAGACTGTCGTATAGTTAGACTCATAGAGTATGTAGCTTATCAATTATTTCTTTCATGGATCATGCCTTTGGTGTTGCATCTAGAAAGCCATCAGCATACTCAAGGTCATCTATGTTTTCTCTTGTATTATACTCTATGAGTTTTATAGTTTTGTGGTTTACAGTTAGGTCTATGGTCCATTTTGGGTTAATTTCCATGCAGGGTTAAGGTCTGTGCCCAGATTCAATTTTTTTTTTTTTTTCAAAAGGATGCTTGTTTGTTGAAAAGACTACCGTTTCTCCATTGTGTTGTCTTTGCCCGTTTGTCAATGATCAGTTGCCTGTATTTATGTGTGTCTGTTTTGGGGCTCTCTATTCTGTTTCATTGATCTATTCCTCTATTCTGTCACCAATACCACACTAATCACTGTAGCTTTATGGTAAGTCTTGAAGTAGGGTAGTGTCAATCCTGCAACACCGACCGCACTTTTCAGGTTTTTGACGGCAGCAGTGATCTTTGCAATCCCTCCAGGTATATGGTACGGTTTTGTTTTACTATGTTCCTAGGTAGAGGCAGTTACAGTGGTTTCTACTTGGCCTTTCCTATGATAATAGCCCTCGCTCCAGAGGTTAGGGAACCAATTTGTAGATTTGACCTGCTGCTATTTCTACTCCAATTATGCTTCTTGGAACTGGGAAAATAACCACAAGATGGATTTAGGCACACCCTGGGCCCACTGTGAGATAGACTTCAGCTAAAACTCTATTGATCATTGACCCTCATAGGCCCTTCCTGTAACTGATAGACCACAGTGATGTTTTGAGCCTTTTGACATTAATGTCAGTTGAGAGTCAGTGTTTAATTGTCTCCAAACATCTGATTATCTCTTTTTTCCCAAGTGCAGTTACTCTAGTTAAAGGCTGTTGGGGCTGGGCGCAGTGGCTCATGCCTGTAATCCCAGCACTTTGAGAGGCCGAGGCAGGTGGATCATGAGATCAGGAGTTCGAGACCAGCCTGACTAACATGATGAAACCCTGTCTCTACTAAAAACACAAAAGTTAGCTGGGTGTGGTGGCACACATCTGTAATCACAGCTATCCAGGAGGCTGAGGCAGGAGAATCGCTTGAACCTGGGAGGCGGAGGTTGCTGTGAGCCAAGATCGCGCCACTGAATTCCAGCCTGGGCAACACAGTAAGAGTATGGCTCAAAAAATAAATAAATAAAATTAAAAAATAAAGGCTGTTGGTTCCTTTAAGGGAGGACTGCAAGAAAGATTAACAATATATATATTTTTCAATGTACCAGGATCCCTCCCCCAGGAAACGAGACTCCCCTTCATTCAAGGGAGTATAGGTCTGTAAACTGGCTCTGATCTAAGATTTGACTGACAGCCACATATATAAGTAAAAAAACTTATGCCTGGTTTACAGATGGTTCTGCACAATATGGAAAAACCACCAAAAGTGAACATCTGCAGCACTGTCGAGCTTTTCTAAGATATATCTCTGACAAACTCTGTGGAAGGGAAATCTACTCAGTGGGCAGAACGTTAGACAAGGCACTTGGCTGTGCACTTTTCTTGGAGGGAGAAAAGGCCAGCTGTGAAATTATATGCAATTCCTGGGTTGTGACCAATAGTTCAGCTGGAGGACCAGGGACTTGGAAGGAATATGATGGAAGACTGGTGACAAAGACATTTGGGAATGACATGTGGGGACAGATCTCTCTGAGTGGGAAAAAAATAATGTGAAGATATGTGTATCTTATGTGAATGCTCATCAAAGGATAAACAATTGAGGAGAATTTTAATAATCAAGAGGACAGGATGACCCATTCTGTGGATACCACTCAGCTCCTTTCCCCAGCCACCCCTGTCATTGTCCACTGGCTTCATTTAAAAAGTGGCCATGGTGGCAGGGATGGAGGTTATGCATGGGCTCAGTAACATGAACGTAATCACCAAGGCTGACCTGCCTGTGGCCAGCACTGAGTGTCCAATCTACCCACAGCAAAGACCAACACTGAGTCCTTAATATGGCACCATTTCCCAAGGTGATCAGCCAGCTACCTAGTGGTAGATTACATTGAACGACTTCCATAATGGAAGGGGCAGCATTTTGTTCTTAGTGGAACAGATAGTTACTATGGACATGGATTCAACTTCCCTACATGCAATACTTCTGCTGCCAACTAGCATCTGTGGACTTACAGAATGCATTATTCACCATCATAGTATTCCACACAGTATTGCTTCTGATCAAGTAGCTCATTCAATGGTCAAAGAAGTGTGGTAATGGGCTCATGCTCATGAAATTCAATGGTCTTACCATGTCTCCCACCATCCCGAAGCCTGGTCTGGTAGAATGGTGGAATGGACATTCAGAGACTCAGTTATAGTGGCAGCTATGTGGCAACAGCTTGGAGGGCTAGGAAAAACATTTCCAGAAGACTATATATGCTCTGAATTTGTGACCAATATATAGTGCTGTTTCTCCAATATTCAGAATTTACAATTTCAGAAATCAAGGGGTGGGAAAGGGAAAGGTATCCTTCAGTATTACACCTAGTGTTCCACTAGCAAAAATTTTTCTCACTATTCCAGTGAATTTATGTCCTGCTGGCCTAGAGGTCTTAGTTGGATATGAAGAAATGCTTCCAACAGGAGACACAATAATGATTTGAAGTAAAATTTAAGACTGCCACCCCATCACCTTGGGTTTCTCATACCTCTCCATTAATAGGCAAAAAGAGAGTTATGTTATTGGCTGGGGCAGTTGGTCCCAACTTCCAAGTGGAAACTGGACTGCTACCCCACAGTGGAGGTATGGAAGCATTATGTTCATAATACAGAGGATCCCTTAGGGCATTTCTTGGTAGTGCCATCCCTGTGATTAAGATAAATGGAAAACTGCAGCAAGCTAATCCAGGCAGTAATACTAACAGCTCAGATGATACAGGAATGAAAGTTTGGGTCGGTCTACTAGGTAAGGATCTAATAAAAAGCTGAGGTGCTCACTGAAGGCAAAGGGAATATAGAATGGGTGTAGAAGACGGGAGTTATAAGCACCTGCTAGGACCACATGGTGAGTACAGAGACCAAGGCTGTAACTGTCATGAGTATGTCCTTCTTATATTTTCTAAATATGTTGTGTTCATATATGTCTATATTAAGCAAATATCTTTGTTTTTCCCCTCTCTTAGTCCCTTATTATGTATAATAACATGTGTTGACTTTACTTCATAGTCTTTAAGTATTATTGATTTTACATAGTAGTATTTATGTTATACAATGTCAGGAGAAGAGTAAACATTACTCATGGACTTCACCTCTTCCTGGGAAGGGATTAGTGCATTTATGGCTGTAAACAGGGTAGTTATATGATGTTGGGCAGAAATATGACCTTGTCATTGTCTTTGTTTGGAGATTAAGTATGGTTTAATGAGAAACACATGGGTACAAAGTTGACAAAGGGTAGACTTGTGATGGTTAATTTTATTTGTCCACTTGGCTGGGCTAAGAGACCCTTAGCTGGTAAAACATTATTTCTGAGTGTTTCTGTGAGGCTGTATCTGAAAGACATTAGCATCTAAATCAGTGGACTGAGTAAAGATGATGGCCCTCACCAGTAAAGGTTGGCATCCTCCAATCTGCACCTGGGACTACAGGCGCCCGCCACCACACCCGGCTAATTAGAAAAAATCATGGAGGAAAGGCAGGGTTTTTTTTTTGTTTGTTTGTCTCTGCCAGATCTGGGATCTCTATTTTCTCCTGTTCTCAGGCATCAGTGTTTTAGATTCTGGGACCTTCAGACATGGACCTAGACTTACACTGTCAGTCACCCAGTTCTCAGATCTTTGGATTCATACTGGGGCTTACACCATTAGCACCCCTAGTTCTCAGAACTTTGGGTTTGGACTGGAATTGCACTACATGCTTTCCTAAGTCTTCAGCTTGAAAACAGTAGACTGTGGGACTTCTCAGTGTCCATCACCACCTGAGCTAATTCCTCATAATAACTTTGTTCTAGATATCTACATATATCCTGTTGGTTCTGTTTCTCCAGACGACATTGACTAATATATGGCTTATGATAGCTCTATGAGCTTTGGTGTCAGTTGAGCCTAAGTAGAAAACCCACTTCACATAAGCACTGTAGGCTGATTGGCTAAAAGTATTACTTGTTAGCCCAGTAACACCTTAGTGGAATTGCAGAAAAGGTAACAAGATTTTCACATACACAAAAATAGGCATACTATACATAACTAAATATAGCTTCAGTTATACCCCCAAGAGACTTCAAAAAATTTAAAATTTATATGCCTCTTCCAATTATTGTAAGCTAACAAATAATTATAGTTTGATTAAGCTGATAAATACATCAAATACTTGCTAAATCTGAATTTAGGAAAAAACAAGGTTTACCTATGAATTAATATAATGGCCTGATTTACTTGGTTAAAAATATAAAAGGCAAAAGAATGCTAACAGAATGTTGACATTTTAAAAAGCAATTTTTAAAGTTTTAATATTTGGCTTATAAACATGGGAAAATAGTTTGGGTACTTTTAATAATCAAGGTAAGGTAAAGGTAAGACTTGTAGAGTGGGTGAATCTCGAACTTGGCAAACCTTCTCTCCAGAAAGCAATGGTAACGTTTGGTTAAAATGTAGAAACAACCTTTTTTTTTTTTTTTTTTTTTTTTGAGACAGAGTCTCGCTCTGTCGCCCAGGCTGGAGTGCAGTGGCACAATCTCGGCTCACTGCAAGCTCCGCCTCCCGGGTTCACGACATTCTCCTGCTTCAGCCTCCTGAGTAGCTGGGACTACAGGCACCCGCCACCACGCCTGGCTAATTTTTTGTATTTTTAGTAGAGATGGAGTTTCACCGTGTTAGCCAGGATGGTGTCAATCTCCCGACCTCGTGATCCACCCACCTCGGCCTCCCAAAGTGCTGGGATTACAAGTGTGAGCCACCAGGCCTGGCCCCAAACAACCATTTAAGCACTTCGGAGATTAACCAAAACAACAAGTTGAGACACATTTTCTTAAGAAATTCTAAAATCTCAGTTAGGGCACTTGGATTTGTTGGCATTCTAGCCTGGAGCTATTCCCAGTACCCTCCTCCTTGCCCCCGTGTGGCAGGCATTAAGGAATGGCAGCTCCACTGCCATAAGGATCTGACTTTATTTAAAGCAGAACACAGAAAGTTTCATGCCAGGGGCATTGCCAAAAACAGGAGTGATCTTAGTGGCAAAAAGTCAGGGAAAGCCAACACCATAGCCAGCCTGAGATAACAATACTGGTTGGGGAAGTAACAGACTGGCATCTCAGTCAGAAATTTAGAAGGCCAATCCAGGAAATGAGACAGCCAGAGTTAGATTTAATAAGATACTACTTATCTGTGATGGTCTGGAGGGCTGTGCCCATATACAATGTTGCACACATGCCCAGGAGACACCACAGAGGGCTCTAGCAAAGGGACTCATTCCTGGCTGGATCTGAGGCCTTACTAACATAGAAAGTAAAAGCTAGGACAGATGTGTAAACTGCCTAAATATTGAATGTGTTTTTGTTTTTTTGTTTGTTTGAGACAGAGTCTCGCTCTGTCGCCCAGGCTGGAGTGCAGTGGTGCCATCTCGGCTCACTGCAAGCTCCGCCTCCCAGGTTCACGCCATTCTCCTGCCTCAGCCTCCCGAGTAGCTGGGACTACAGGTGCCCACCACCACGCCCGGCTAATTTTTTATATTTTTAGTAGAGATGGGGTTTCACCGTGTTAGCCAGGATGATCTCGATCACCTGACCTCGTGATCCGCCCGCCTTGGACTCCCAAAGTGCTGGGATTACAGGCATGAGCCACTGCGCATGGCCCAATATTGAATGTGTTTTCTATGCCACACACGGATCCGTTGGCAGATGGTGGAAGCCTTACTAGCTCACAGAATTTCAGTACTGCCTCTAACCAGTCATTGACCATTAAGGTATGCTGACCTGGGGCAACTCCTAATAAGCCAGGCATGAAAATGAAAATATGATGAGGGAGAAAAAAATAGCAAAGGCACAAGCAGCCACACACTCTGGAGGAATTAGAATTAGCTCAGGCAAGTCATTGAACAAACAATAACTACTTCTGAGAGAAATAGAATTCAGGGTTGATATAATATCTTACAGAAAATGTCCAGTTTTCAACAACAAAAACATGAGACATGCAAAGAAACTACAAAGTGTGATCTAGACACACACATACACAATAATAGCAGTCCACAGAAAATTGTAAAGGGGACCCAGATGTTGGATTTGACATACACAAACTTCAAAGCAACTAGTATAATTATGTTCAAAGAAGTGGCAGAAGACATTTTTGAAGAAGTAAAGAGTGATGAAACAACTCATCAAATAGAGAATATAAATACAGAAATAAAAATTTTTGAAAGGACCAAGTAGAAATTCTAGCATGGAAAATTACAGTAACAGAAATAAAAATTCACTGGAAAGGGTTCAAACACATTTTATTTTGCAGAAAGAAGAATCAGGAAACTTGAAAAGAAATGAATAGAAATTATTCATCCTAAAGATCTGAAAGAAAAAAGTAGAAGAAATAGGGACTATCTTAGAGACTTGTGGGAAGACAAGAATGTGTATATATCTTTTTCTTTTTTTACTCCCTGAATATGAGCATTTACATGAATAGATTTCCCAATGTTTAAATTTGCTTTTATGCCCAGAATGAATACTTCTTGGTTGATATATTTTTATCACATATATGTTGCATATGTTTTATTCATAATTAGACTATAGTTGTTAATGTTTTAATTACAGTATTTGAATCTAAGTTTATGAGTGACATTAGCCTTTTTATTCCAGTCTTGTAATGTCCTTAGCAGGTTAAGCTGTTATTCTACAATGAATTTGGAAATGTTTACTCATTTCTTCTCTGTGCAAGTATTTGCATAAAACTGACATTATTTTTTATCTTAAAATAATTTTTAGAATTCATCATACAGCCATCTGAGACTGGAGATTTTAGAGAAGGAGAAGCAAAACTTTTATTGATACAATCACTTTCTTTAGGAACTAGAGTAAAATTTATTTTTCTTATTTCTTTTCACGTCATTTCCAGTAGTTTATATTTTTCTAGGAATGTAACAAATTTATTTACTTTTGAAATTTAACAGTATAAAATTCTTCACAATATAATCTTATCTTTTTGGTGTTTGCATCAACTGTAATGATACCAGCCATTTCATATATGATACTATTTGGGTATTTTCTACTTTTTTTGGGAAAAGAATTATCAGTGGTTTGCGGCCAGGCGCAGTGGCTCACACCTGTAATCCCAGCACTTTGGGAGGCAGAGGTGGGCAGATCACCTTAGGTTGAGAGTTTGAGACCAGCCTGACCAACATGGAGAAACCCCGTCTCTACTAAAAATACAAAATTAGCCGGGCATGGTGGCGCATGCCTGTAATCCCAGCTACTCTGGAGGCTGAGGCAGGAGAATGGCTTGAACCCGGGAGGCAGAGCTTGCAATGAGCCGAGACCGTGCCACTGCAGTCCAGCCTGGGTAACAGAGCAAGACTCCATCTCAAAAAAAAAAAAAAAAAAAAAAACTAAAAAGGAAGCACCAGCCGGGTGCAGTGGCTGACACCTGTAATCCCAGCACTTTGGGAGGCCAAGGTGGGTGGATCACAAGGTCAGGAGATCGAGACCATCTTGGCTAACACAGTGAAACCCCGTCTCTACTAAACATACAAAAAATTAGCCAGGTGTGGTGGTGGGCACCTGTAGTCCCAGTTACTTGGGAGGCTGAGGCAGGAGAATGGCGTGAACCCGGGGTGCAGAGCTTGCAGTGAGCCAAGATCGCGCCACTGCACTCCAGCCTGTGCAACAGAGCGAGAGTCTGTCTCAAAAAAAAAAAAAAAAAAAAAAAAAAAAAAAAAAAAAAAAAAAAGATGTTACCTTAGTTTCCATAGGAGATTTTAACTTCTTTGGACATTGTTTAAAGCTATAATTACTGTCTAGCTTATCAAGTCACTTACATATGTCTCAGGGCTACCTTGAAAGAACTGAAGATTTTCCTTATTTTCGTGCTCGAGGCAACCCACAGGCCCCTAAGAGGAGTCCAAGCTCCATCTTATATACTAGGATCATTGTGTAGCAAAAAGTGAGCTCAGAAAACATACTAGAATTCCTAATATCAAAGAAATAATATCAAAGGAAGAAACACAATAAATATCCCATTTCATATTTGTTAGTGCCTTAGGAGGGGCAGCCCATTGGCATTGTTGGGGAAGCTAAGCGTACAAGGTAAAGTAATCTCCAGTGCAGGAGGTGAAGTCATCTCCAATGGTGAAGTATTGGTCTGGGGCAATGTTCTCTGAAGTTAAGTCATCTCCAGCAGTGAATTCCTGGACTAGGCAGACCACTGTCATCTGGGATGTGAGACTGGGATATCCTTCCCAAGTGGATAGCCACTAGGGTTGGTATGAATCATGTTTTTGTTCCTCTATTGTATTATAACAAGGCTGAGCCACTTGAGGAATTTGAAGGCAATGTTGTGCCTGGGAATTTGACTTGCAAATATTCTTAAGGTCAAGGGGCTTTGTGGGTGCACAGCTAGCTAAGGTAATGTCTGCATCTAACATGCTGCTGTAACTGTACCAAAGTGCTGGAACTTGACTGGCACAATTAACACTATAATTAATAGCGTCTAAATCTGAATCTCCCAATAGTCCAAGGTTTTTCTCAGATGGGTGATAAGAAACATTTTACTACAAATAGGTTTTAAATCACACAGCCTGATTTGCGTGTATGTTGTTAATAAGGTGTCAGGTTTTTTTGCCAATTAAAATCTTGAGGCTGAGGTTGGATATCCATCATTAGATTGTAGGTGGGTCCTCCAATTTAGCCACTTAGTATGAACTCTTTTCTCCAGTTTTTGGTTTGTTGGTGATAGGCAAGTGGATGAGGTTTGGGGCTGTATTAACAATACTTGATGGCTTGTGGACCACAGGATTTGCTATGTCTATTTGAAACAATGGCTTACTTGGAGGGTTTGGACTACCAGATTGCAATGAAAACACCCAAATCAATAGTAATAAAACCAATTGTCAACATAATAGTGTGTAGCAACACTTGATGCTTTTGTTATCTAATGATGATTATTTTTCTAGTGTATATTATTACCAGGGCAGGTATATGCAAACCTACCCTCAAAGGCTGAGGGAGCTGAAAGGCCAAAGAGGCTGACAAATCCGTATTCTTAGAAAGAAACGTTTAATATGAACAGAAGCTATGTTTCAGGCGGCCACTAGAGGGTGAATCCTTGCACTCGCCCTCTAGAAAGTATTCTTTATATAGCAAGCCTTCTTTGGGTAAAACATTTGCAGCTGGTTATGTCTGAGACCCCTTAGTGAAACTGGTGACTACTGGGGAAGTTAGATAAGCATCTTTATGAAGGGTTAGCTATGCTGCAGGGATTGTTTCTTTATGAGGGGTTAGCTATGTTGCAGGCATTGTTTTTATATGACGAGTTATCTATGTTGAAGGCATTGTTGCTACATGATGAGTTAGCTATGTTGCAGGCATTGTTTCTATTCGAGGAGTTAGCTATGTCGCAGGCATTGTTTATGAGGGGTTAGCTATGCTGCAGGCATTGTTTCTATATGAGGAATTAGCTATGCTGCAGGCACTGTTTCTTTATGAGGGGTTAGCTATGCTGCAGGCATTGTTTCTATATGTGGAGTTAGCTATGCTGCAGGCATTGTTTCTTGACCTTGCTGCTGGAATGCCTTGGTATGCTGGAGTGAAACATCAGTCCTTATGGCAGTTTTGCTTCAAGATGGCATTACTCTTGCCATGCAACAGGCTGTTTTCCTACAATAATTTTGGAATATAGTGTTTATTCTCTCAATATCTGAATGTGAGTTTAAGTTACAAATTGTAGTTTTCTATCTTTCATTCTGCCATTTTTCGGGCTGGCTTTTGGGCAATAATTTTAATTTCTGAGTGTAATCAGAGGACGAGCTCAGATAAATTATCCATCCCTTATAAAATGAAAATTGAGGAAAATTTGGGGGGTAAGTTTAGGTTGAAGTGAGTTCCATATCAGATGAACAGGTGCCTGTCTTGTGAAACAATCTGATTAGCAAAAGTACCTAAGAGAGTTGTATCCTCAATCTGGGATCCGTTTGAATCTCCCTTTAAATATAGATAATGGTGATGAGAAGATTTTTTAAAGTTGCTATAAGCCAGTTCTGCATCTTTAACTTAAGAGAGATTAAGGTCTGGGACAAGATAGAGGCCACTTAGGAATTCATTTATTATTTTGTAACTTAAGTAGGAGTCATTTGAAGAGCCCACAAGACTTCCCAATTAATCCAGCTTCCTGGGGGCCTATTGGGAAAATATAATTTCATTGAATGTTGTTTCTAAGAGACCACCATTGTATTTGAGAGTAAAATGTATACCTTGGAGCTATAAACTGTTTCTGTCCTTCCAAAATTCATGTGTTGCAATCCTAACCCCAAATGTGATGGTACTGGGAGGCAGGATCTTTAATAGATGATTAGGCCATGAGAGCAGAGCCATCACAAATGGAATTAATGTGCTTATAAAAGAGTCCCCAGAGAGCAAGCTTGACCCTTGTGCCATATGAGGACTCAAAAATATAGTACCACCTATGGATGGGAAAATTAACCCTCACTGGACACAAACTTGGTGGCACCTTGATTTTGGACTTCCCAGCCTTCAGAAGGTGAAAAATACATTTCTTTTGTTCATAAACTATTCAGGCTATTGTATTTTGTTAGAGAATCCCCCAAAGACTAAGACAAAATATTGGTTCCAAGAAGTTAGGGTGTTGCTGTAATAAATAATGGAAATGTGGTAGCAGCTTTGAAACTAGGTAATGACTAGGAGCTGGAATAGTTTTCAGGTGCACGCTAACAAGCACTTATGTTTCCACAAGTGGCTTTAAATGATTAATTCCAGTGAGGGCTCAGAAGGAGAGGAGGAGAGCTGCAGAGAAAGGGTAAATCTTCTTTGAGAATGCCAAGATGGCCATAAACCCAATGTTCATAGAAATATGGATGATAAAAGCCATTCTGATGAGGTTTCAGACAGAAATGAGAAACATGTCATTGTAATTGGAAACTGGAAGAAAGACAATTCTCATTATAAAGTGACAAAAAATTGGATGAACTGTGTTCATATTCTAGTGTTTGATGGAAGGTAGAATTTTTGAGAAAATGAATGGATATTTTACAAAGGAAATTTCTAAGTCAAGTGTTGAAGGTGGAGCTTGGCTTTTCTTGAAGGCTTATAGTAAAATTCAAGAAGAGAGAAATGGCCTAAATGTTATTGTTAATCAAAAGGGAAGCAGATCTTAAAATTTTTGATTCTCAGCCTATCCACATTGAAAAAAAATAAGAAAGCTGTCCAGGTGTTGTGGTTCACACCTGTAATTCCAGCATTTTTGGAGGCCAAAGTGGGAGGATCATTTGAGGCCAGGAGTTCAAGATCGGCCTGGTCACCAGAGTAAGACTCTGTCTCTACAAAAAATTTTAAAATAATTTAAAAATTTAGTCAAGTGTGGCAGCACACATCTGTAGTCCCAGATATTTGGGAGGCTAAGGCAGGAGGAATAGTTGAGCCCAGGGGTTTAAGACTGCAGTGAGCTATGATTGCACCATTGCACCCTAGCCTGGGCAACAGAGCAAGACCCTACCTAGAAGAAGAAGGAGAAGGAGAAGGATTCATCCTCCTTTTAGGGAGAGAACAAGGGCATGGTCAAGTGACCATTTGATAAGGAGACTGGTATGGATTGGGAATCTAACACAAGCCAAGTGCTATTTCTCAAAACAATGACAGAATGACCAGGAAGGAATTTTGGAGATTATGGAATCTGTCTCTCTCATTACAGGCTTATGCAAGGACCTGGAGGGAAGAATGATTTCAAAGCTCTGCTCCCTGAATTTGAGCAAAATTGTCCTTGGCCACACCGGCTGTGGCTCCAGTGTGCCCAGGTGCAGCACAGGACATGGTGGTCTGCCCTCCACACAGCACAGATGATAAACCTTGGCAGGGTACATGTGGTGCCATCTCCAAAGAAGTACAAAATGCATAAACCATGGGGGTATGGCTACCCCCACATAGATTTTGAAGAATGAAGCCAGGCAGAGCCTCAGGCTCAAGACTCAAGCAGTGGGCTATCGTAAGGTTGGAGCCAACACAGAGAGTTGCCACTAGGGTTATGCCTAGCAAAACCATGGGGCCCCTCCTCCAAAATTCATATGTTGAAATACTAATTCCCAATGTTATAGTATTAGGAGGTAGAGTCTCTGGGAGGTGATTAGGCAGAACTCTCATGAATGGTATTAATGCCCTAATAAAACAGACTCCAGAGAGCCAGCTCACCCTTCTGTCATATAAGGACTCATCAGAAAGGCACCATCTATGCATCAATAAATGGGCCCTCAGCAGGTATCAAATCTACTGGCACCTAAATCTTGGACTCTCCAGTCCCTGGAACTGTGAGAAGTAAACATCTATTCTTTATAAAGTACTCAGTCTTTACTTTTTGTTATGGCAGCCTGAATGGAGTAAGATACCTCTCTTTCCAGAGAAAGCTGGATTTAGTTAAGATCTTTCCTGCAAAGATTGTGTGTGATGAGGAAGCTTTTTTCCACACAGTAGTCTGGAAGGGCCTATTGTATCCCTTTGGAGGTGAAGTCAAACTGAGGCTGAGAAATTTTTGAAATAGATACTGAACAATACATATTAGCCACTTCCATAATAGGAAAATCTTTATTGGTTGCTGATTGAATAGAATCAGAAATTTAAATGCATAGGGTGATGGGCCCCCCACCAGGTTACTTAAGGGTGTAGGTCTTCTGCTTGGCCCCTGAGGGCCAACTGGTGAGCCAAGGCAATGGTTTCCAGCTGAGGAACAGGTGTTCCTGGGAACCCAAACATCCTGGAGTGTACAGGTAACCTACCAAGAAAAAATAATCTCATTGCATGCAGTAGGCAATGACCCAAAAAATTAGCTTAAAAGCAGCTTAGAAATGTGTGGCAGGGCAGGTCTCTGGAGTTTTCCTGTTGCTGCCCAGGAATGTCCTGTATGTAAGTCCTAAAAGCCTCATGTACTCATCAAGCTGGACTTGTCCAAGTTATTATTTGGTCACTTAGCCCCTTCCCAGGGTGTGGGGACATTCTTCTAAATAGTCCTGTTTTTTTTCTCATAACAAAATAATATTGGGTATTGAATATGGGAGCCTTAACAAATGGGACCATAGCATTTTAGCTGTAGTAGTCTACCATGAGGCAATCTTCATTCTTCCCAGGTCTAAGAATTGGCAAAATTGGGCTGTTAAATGGAGAAGCAATGGGAATGATCATTCCTTTACTAATTTTCTTTTATATAAGATATTTTAATCCTTGAAAAGGTTGTTTTTAGTTATATTAAACTTTATAAACTATTTTAACCTGGGGCACATGGGGTCCTGTTTTATCAATCCAATTCGTAAATGCCAAATAATTAAATTTAATTTGTTATTCATTGTGTTGGAACATAATTTAGAACAATGGGTATTATGATTGGGAAATTTAGGAAAAGATATAAAGTGAAACATACCTATTTTTCTCTACTTTATATTTAGCTACTCTCATAAAATGATTAGGGCATCTTGTTTAAATCTAGTGGGATCCCCAGGTGTAACTCTAATTTGAGCTCCAGTATTAAAGCCATGAAGTTCTGTCAATTGCTATATTTAAGCCAATACTAACGTTAATCCAGGAACTATGTTGTAGAGGTATGAAAGCCAATCAGTGCACTTTTATCTCTGTTATATAAATTATTTTAGTAAATTTTGGATTTCCAATTGGGTTAAATTACAAAACTTTGTTTCTTCATCATCATCATCAATGCATTTTTCTAGGAGTATTAGTAGCATTTCTTCTCCTTATATAAATACTTTTTCTTTCTTTTTTTTTTTTTTTTTGTTATGGGCTTCTAGCCACCTAAAGACATGGTTTTGGGGTGGAGCCAAGATGGCCCAATAGGAACAGCTCCAGTCTACAGCTCCCAGCATGAGCAACACAGAAGATGGGTGATTTCTGCATTTCCAACTGAGGTACCAGGTTCATCTCACTGGGGAGTGTTGGAAAGTGGGCACAGGACAGTGGGTACAGCGCACCGAGCATGAGCCGAAGCCGGGTGAGGCATCGTCTCACCCGGGAAGCGCAAGGGGTCAGGGAATTCCCTTTCCTAGTCAAAGAAAGGGGTGACAGATGGCACCTGGGAAATCGGGTCACTCCCACCCTAATACTGCGCTTTTCCAACAGTCTTAGCAAACAGCACACCAGGAGATTATATCCCGTGCCTGGCTTGGAGGGTCCTATGCCCACAGAGCCTCGCTCATTGCTAGCACAGCAGTCTGAGATCAAACTGCAAGGCAGCAGTGAGGCTGGGGGAGGGACGCCTGCCATTGCTGAGGCTTGAGTAGGTAAACAAAGCGGCCAGAAAGCTTGAACTGGGTAGAGCCCACTGCAGCTCAAGGAGGCCTGCCTTCCTCTGTAGACTCCACCTCTGGGGGCAGGGCATAGCCAAACAAAACGCAGCAGAAACCTCTGCAGACTTAAATGCCCCTGTCTGACAGCTTTGAAGAGAGTAGTGGTTCTCCCAGCACGCAGCTGGAGATCTGAGAACGGACAGACTGCCTCCTCAAGTGGGTCCCTGACCCCCGAGTGGCCTAACTGGGAGGCATACCCCAGTAAGGGCAAACTGACATCTCACACAGCCGGGTACTCCTCTGAGACAAAACTTCCAGAGGAATGATCAGGCAGCAACATTTGCTGTTCATCAATATCTGCTGTTCTGCAGCCTCCGCGACTGATACCCAGGCAAACAGGGTCTGGAGTAGACCTCCAGCAAACTCCTACAGACCTGCAGCTGAGGGTCCTGACTGTTAGAAGGAAAACTAACAAACAGAAAGGACATCCACACCAAAACCCCAACTGTACATCACCATCATCAAAGACCAAAGGTAGATAAAACCACAAAGATGGGAAAAAAACAGAGCAGAAAAACTGGAAACTCTAAAAATCAGAGTGCCTCTCCTCCTCCAAAGGAACGTAGCTCCTCACCAGCAACAGAACAAAGCTGGATGGAGAATGACTTTGACGAGCTGAGAGAAGAAGGTTTCAGATGATCAAACTACTCCGAGCTAAAGGAGGAAGTTCGAACCAACGGCAAAGAAGTTAAAAACCTTGAAAAAAAATTAGACAAATGCCTAACTAGAATAACCAATGCAAAGAAGTCCTTAAGGGACCTGATGGAGGTGAAAACCACAGCATGAGAACTACGTGACGAATGCACAAGCCTCAGGAGCCGATTCGATCAACTGGAAGTAAGGGTATCAGTGATGGAAGATCAAATGAATGAAATGAAGTGAGAAGAGAAGTTTAGAGAAAAAACAAGGAAAAGAAATGAACAAAGCCTCCAAGAAATATGGGACTATTTAAAAAGACCAAATCTATGTCTGATTACTGTATCTGAAAGTGATGGGGAGAATGGAACTAAGTTGGAAAACACTCTACAGGATATTATCCAGGAGAACTTCCCCAATCTAGCAAGGCAGGCCAACATTCAGATTCAGGAAATACACAGAACGCCACAAAGATAATCCTCTAGAAGAGCAACTCCAAGACACATAATTGTCAGATTCACCAAAGTTGAAATGAAGGAAAAAATATTAAGGGCAGCCAGAGAGAAAGGTTGGGTTACCCACAAAGGGAAGCCCATCAGACTAACAGCTGATCTGTCGGCAGAAACCTTACAAGCCAGAAGACAGTGGGGGCCAATATTCAACATTCTTGAAGAAAAGAATTTTTAACCCAGAATTTCATATCCAGCTAAACTAAGCTTCATAAGTGAAGCAGGAATAAAATACTTTACAGACAAGCAAATGCTGAGAGATTTTGTCACCACCAGGCCTGCCCTAAAAGAGCTCCCGAAGGAAGCACTAAACATGGAAAGGAACAACCAGTACCAGCCATTGCAAAAACATGCCAGATTGTAAAGACCATTGAGGCTAGGAAGAAACTGCATCAACTAATGAGCAAAATAACCAGCTAACATCATAATGACAGGATCAAAT